>NC_000023.11:55395019-55711075 GCF_000001405.40 Homo sapiens | reverse complement strand
TTTTGTCATATGTATTTTGCTCTGGCCAGAACAGAAAATGATAATTTTCCTTAGTGTTGCAGCTTGGCCCCCAGGGCTATGGTGCAGGAAGCCGGGTCACTAGGTTGAATCAGGGAAAGGAAACCCAGAAGCCTGGCATGCTGGCAAAAGAGCAAGAATTTCTTATGAGTCAGACTTCTGGTCTCTCTCTCTCTCCCCCCGCTCCCCCGTGCAAACCAGTTGAAAGAATGGTAAAAATAACTGTTTATTTCCTGTGTAATGTTTGATTAATGGATAAAAAGGATTTATGAGGATTTGTGAGGCTAGTCTTAAGCTGTAGCAAATCTGGCATTCTTTGTATGTCTTTCTGTATTGTTCTGTCATAAAAGAGGAGTACCTTAGGATGGAACATGGCCCTAGGACCCCAGAGCCCACTATTCAAGATGGCCCAGAAAACTGGTTACAAACTTTGCTGCAGTTCCCTGAAAAAAAACTGGATGAGGTTTCCCTCTTGCCTTTTATGTCCTTGGAAGCTTGACATTATAACCACGTGGCCATGCTTTCTCTTTTTACAATAGTAGCCCAGGTTCAGGTTTTAATTCCTGGCTTGCAGAATGAGTCCTTTATCTTCTGTCTGTCTGTATAATTATATGTGTTATGTGTGTGTAATATAAAAGAGCATTAATTAATTGGTTTAATAATAATAAGAGCTTAAATTAAATATTTTGTCAGAAAAGTAAAAGTGTAATGCCTTTTATTTAGTTCATGTGACTTAATCTTTGGGAAATAAAGACCTTTCTAAATATTATTGGTAAAATAAAAATATCTTCAAAAATGTAAGCATTTGGTCTAAATTAAGCAGGTTAGACATTAAGTTTGCTAAATGCTTTAAGTCCATAAACTGCTTCTTTGACTTTTGAAAATTGTTCAATTTACCTAACTTGGACATTAGATTCTAGATAAGGCCTGGGGACAAGTTGAATTAGGCATGCTCCCTAGCTATGCAAAGAAAATTATAAAGAAAAGACATTTTATAAAACAAAGGATGTTGTATGGTAAATTCTTGTCCTAAAGTAAAACGAATAGTTGTTTAACAAGAGCAATGTTTAGGACAAGTCAGAAAGTCCAAGCATGTCATAGATGGTCTGTATAAGTCATGAAAGAATTTGCAAAGGGAATTTATGCAAGAAATGTGCAATTTAAAGGTGATTAGCCCTCCTAAATACTTCATAAAATGCCACTATGACTCTTAACTGTACAACTTGCCTGTTTTACAGCTAGGTAAGGCCTGGGACACATGAAGTTAGAGACTAGAAAGAGTCATACCTTATCTGCACTTCTATCTGAGTCCTAGGCTCCACATCTAGTACATAATTAAAATCCTAAACTTACCAAGGTTTTCATCGAAAGTAAAAATTGCCAAAAGTTAACACTGTAACATGTAATTAAGACTATTAAAGAAACAGTTCTACATGTAAGGCTTGTAAGGAAAGTGAATTGTGTTTTTGGTAAAAAAAAAATATATATATATATATAAAAAGTCATGGAAATGTGGATTTTTTTTTTTTTGCCAAAAGGGTTAAAGGATTGTTTTACATTATGATAAAGCTAAAGGTTTAAGCAAGTTGTGGAAGGTTTGTGAAAAACTATTTGTAAAAGAGATTCTGTATGTGGACATTGCCTAAAATTAAAGGAGTATTATTCAGTTTTTCTGTAAATTTAGCATTGGAATAAAAGCACAACAGGTTTTTCTTAGAGCAAAAACATGCTTATGATCTGCTCTTAAACAAAAATTTGAAAAGGGTATTAAAAGGTTTCTGAAAATCTTACCTTATGGTCAAACTGATTAAGATTGATTATATTTGTCTATAAAGTTTTATTAAGAATTGGGTTTGCATCATTCTCAGCAAACTAACACAGGAAAAGAAAACCAAACACCAAATATTCTCACTCATAAGTGGGAGTTGAAAAATGACAATGGACACAGGGAAGGAAACATAACATACCAGGGTCTGTCAGGGGGTGGGAGGCAAGGGAAGGGCTAGGATTAGGACAAATACATAATGCTCGCAGGGCTTAAAACCTAGATGACAGGTTGATGGGTGCAGCAAAGCACCATGGCATATATATACCTATGTAACAAACCTGCATCTTCTGCACATGTATCCCAGAACTTAAAGTATGTTAAAAAACAATATAAAGTAAAATAAAATAAAATAAAATAAAACTGGGTTTGACATCAATAATGCACTAATGCAATAGTGACATTTGGCTTATTTTGTGTAAAACTTATACAGGAAGCATTGTCAAATATGAAATGGTATTTGGCTTTCTTTGAGCTGTAATTCTATAAATGTGTTTTTGACATATGTTATAAAATTATGGATAACTATAATTCTGATATGACTTTGTATATGTTATTAATAATTATATTTGTTACATAAAATCATTTTACATCACAGAGGTAATCAAATTTCTTTGTGAATTGTGTTATTGTATTTTATTTTATTTTTATTTTTTAAATATACGTTAAGTTCTGTGGTACATGTACAGAATGTGCAGTTTTGTTACATAGGTATACACATGCCATGGTGGTTTGCTGCACCCATCAACCCGTCATCTACTTTAGGTATTTCTTCTACTGCTATCCCTCCCCTGGCTCCCCATGCCTGGACATGCCCCAGTGTGTGATGTTCCCCTCCCTGTGTCCATGTGTTCCCATTTTTCAAATCCCACTTACAAGTGAGAACATGCAGTGTTTGATTTACTGTTCTTCTGTTAGTTTGCTGAGAAAGATGGTTTCCAGCTTCATCCATGTCCCCGCAAAGACATGAACGCATCCTTTTTTATGGCTGCATAGTATTCCATAGTGTATATGTGCCACATTTTCTATATCCAGTCTATCATTGATGGGCATTCGGATTGGTTCCAGGTCTTTGCTATTGTGAATACTGCTGCAATAAACGTACGTGTTCATGTTTCTTTATATTAGAATGATTTATAATCCTTTGGGTATATACCCAGTAATGGGATTGCTGGGTCAAATGGTATTTCTGATTCCAGATCCTTGAGGAGTAACCACACTGTCTTCCATAATGGTTGAACTAATTTACACTCCCACCAACAGTATAAGAGTGTTCATATTTCTCCACATCCTCTCCAGCATCTCTTGTTTCCTGACTTTTTAATGATTGCCATTCTAACTGGCAGGAGATAGTATCTCATTGTGGTTTTGATTTGCATTTCTCTAATGACCAGTGATGATGAGCTTTTTTCATATGTAAGTAGGCTGCATAAATATCTTCTTTTGAGAAATGTCTGTTCATATCCTTCGCCCACGTTTAGATGGGGTTGTTTTTTTTCTTGTAAATATGTTTAAGTTTCTTGTAGATTCTAGATATTAGCCCTTTGTCAGATAGATAGATTGCAAAAATTTTCTCCCATTCTGTAGGTTGCCTGTTCATTCTGATGATAGTTGCTCTTGCTGTGCAGAAACTCTTTAGTTTAATTAGATCCCTTATGTCAATTTAGGCTTTTGTTGCCATTGCTTTTGTTGTTTTAGTCATGAAGTCTTTGCCCATGCCTATATCCTGAATGGTATTGCCTAGGTTCTCTTCTAGGGTTTTTATGGTTTTAGGTCTGATGTTTAAGTCTATATTTCACATTGAGTTAATTTTTGTATAAGGTGTAAGGAAGGGGTCCAGTTTCAGTTTTCTGCGTATGGCTAGCCAGTTTTCCAAACACCATTTATTAAATAGGGAATCCTATCCCCATGGCTTGTTTTTGTCAGGTGTGTCAAAGATCAGATGGTTGTAGATGTGTGGTGGTATTTCTGAGGCCTCTGTTCTGTTCCATTGGTCTACATATCTGTTTCGGTACCAGTACCATGCTGTTTTGGTTACTGTAACCTTGTAGTACAGTTTGAAGTCAGGTAGTGTGAGGCCTCCAGCTTTGTTCTTTTTGCTTAGGATTATCTTGGCTATGCAGGCTCTTTTTTGGTTCCATATGAAATTTAAAGAAGTTTCTTCCAATTCTGTGAAGAATGTCGTTGGTAGCTTGATGGGGATAGCATTGAATCTATAAAATACTTTGGGCAGTATGGCCATTTTCACGATATTGATTCTTCCCATCCATGAGCATGGAATGTTTTTCCATTTATTTGTGTCCTCTCTTATTTCCTTGATCAGTGGTTTGTAGTTCTCTTTGAAGAGGCCCTTCACATCCCTTGTAAGTTGTGTTCCTAGGTATTTTCTGTTTGTAGCAATTGTGAATGAGACTTCACTCATGATTTGGCTCTCTGTTTGTCTGTTATCGGTGTATAGGAATGCCTGTGATTTTTGCCCATTGATTTTGTATCCTGAGACTTTGCTGAAGCTGTTTATCAGCTTAAGGAGATTTTGGACTGAGACCATGGAGTTTTCTAAATATACAAGCATGTCATCTGCAAAGAGAGACAATTTGACTTCCTCTCTTCCTATTTGAATGTCCTTTATTTCTTTCTCTTGCCCAATTGCCCTGGCCAGAACTTCCAACACTATGTTGAATAGGAGAGCTGTGAGAGAGGGCATCCGTGTCTTGTGCTCATTTTCAAACGGAATGCTTACAGCTTTTGCTCCTTCAGTATGATATTGGCTATGGGTTTGTCATACATAGCTCTTATTAGTTTGAGATATGTCCCCTCATTACCTAGTTTATTGAGAGTTTTTAGCATGAAGGGGTGTTGAATTTTGTTGAAGGTCTTTTCTGCATCTATTGAGATAATCTTGTTTTTTTGTCATTGGTTCTGTTTATGTGATGGATTACATTTATTGATTTGCTTGTGTTGAACCAGCCTTGCATCACACGTATGAAGCCAACCTGATCATGGTGGACAAGCTTTTTATGTCTTACTGGATTTGGTTTGCCAGTATTTTATTGAGGATTTTTGCATCAATGTTCATCAGGGATATTGGCCTGAAATTTTCTTTTATTGTTGTGTTTCTGCCTGGTTTTGGTAGCAGGATGATGGTGGCCTCATAAAATGAGTTAGGGAGGAGTCCCTCTTCTTCTATTGTTTGGAATAGTTTCAGAAGAAATGGCATCAAATCCTCTTGTACCTCTGGTAGAATTTGGCTGTGAATCCGTCTGCTGCTGGACTTTTTTTGGTTGGTAGGCTATTAATTACTGCCTCAATTTCAGAATTTGTTATTGGTCTATTCAGGGATTCAACTTCTTCCTGGTTTAGACTTAGGAGTTTGTGTGTGTCCAGGAATTTGTCCATTTCTTCTAGATTTTCTAGTTCATTTGCATAGAGGTGTTTATAGTATTCTCTGATGGTAGTTTGTATTTCTGCAGGATCAGTGGTGATATCCCCTTTATTATTTTTTATTCCGTGTCTTTGTTTCTTCTCTCTTTTCTTCTTTGTTAGTCTGGCTAGTGGTCTATCTATGTTGTTAATCTTTTCAAAAAACCAGTTCCTGGAGTCATTGATTTTTTTGAAGGTTTTTCCTGTCTCTATATCCTTCCATTCTGCTCTGATCTTAGTTATTTCTTGTCTTCTGCTAGCTTTTGAATTTGTTTGCTATTGCTTCTCTAGTTCTTTTAATTGTGATGTTAGGGTGTCGATTTTAGATCTCTCCTGCTTTCTCTTGTGGGCATTTCATGCTATAAATTTCCCTCTACACACTGCTTTAAATGTGTCCCCAAGATTCTGGTACATTGTGCCTTTGTTCTCCTTGGTTTCAAAGAACATCTTTATTTCAGCCTTCATTTCATTATTTACCCAGTAGTCATTCAGGAGCAGTTTTTTCCGTTTCTATATAGTTGTGCGGTTTTGAGTGAGTTCCTTATCCTGAGTTCTAATTTTATCGCACTGTGGTATGAGAGACTGTTTGCTATGATTTCCGTTCTTTTGCATTTGCTGAGGAGTGTTTTACTTCCAATTATGTGGCCAATTTTAGAATAAGTGCAATGAGTTGCTAAGAAGAATGTATAGTCTGTTGATTTGGGGTGCAGAGTTCTGTAGATGTCTATTAGGTCCGCTTGGTGCAGAGCTGAGTTCATTTCCTAGACATCCCTGTTAACTTTCTGTCTCATTGATCTGTCTAATGTTGACAGTGGGGTGTTAAAGTCACCCACTATTATTGTGTGGGAGTCTAAGTCTCTTTGTAGGTCTCTAAGAACTTGCTTTGTGAATCTGGGAGCTCCTGTTTTTGGTGCATGTATATTTGGGATAGTTAGCTCTTTTTGTTGCATTGATCCCTTTACCATTATGTAATGCCCTTCTTTGTCTCTGTTGATTTTTGTTGGTTTAAAGTCTGTTTTATCAGAGACTAGGATTGGAACCTCTGCTGTTTTTTTGCTTTACATTTGCTTGGTAAATATTCCTCCATCCTTTTTTTGAGCCTATATGTGTCTTTGCATGTGAGATGGGACTCCTGAATACAGCACACTGATGGGTCTTGACTCTTTATCCAATTTGCCCATCTGTGTCTTTTCATTGGGGCAGTTAGCCCATTTACATTTAAGGTTAATATTTTGTGTGAATTTGATCCTGCCCTTATAATGCTAGCTGGTTATTTTGCCCGTTAGTTGATGCAGTTTCTTCATGTGTTGATGGTCTTTACAATTTGGTATGTTTTTGCAGTGGCTGGTACTGATTGTTTCTTTCCATATATAGTGCTTCCTTCAGGAGCTCTTGTAAGGCAGGCCTGGTGATGACAAAAATCTCTCAGCATTTGCTTGTCTGTCAAGGATTTTATTTCTCCTTCACTTATGAAGCTTAGTTTGGCTGGATAAGAAATTCTGCATTGAAAATTATTTTCTTCAGAATGTTGAATATTGGCCCCCACCCTCTTCTGGCTTGTAGGGTTTCTGTAGAGAGATCCACTGTTAGTCTGATGGACTTCCCTTTGTGGGTAACCCGACCATTCTCTCTGACTGCCCTTAACATTTTTTCCTACATTTCAACCTTGGTGAATCTCATAGTTATGTGTCTTGGGTCTGCTCTTCTCAAGGAGCATCTTTGTGGTGTTCTCTGCATTTCCTGAATTTGAATGTTGGCCTGCCTTACTAGTTTGGGGAAGTTCTCCTGGATAAAGTCCTGAAGAGTGTTTTCCAACTTGGTTCCATTCTCCCTGTCACTTTCAGGTCCACCAATCAAACATGGATTTGTCCTTTTCAAATAGTCCCATATTTTGGGGGGTCTTTGTTCACTCCTTTTCATTCCTTTTTCTCTAATCTTATCTTCTCACTTTAATCATTAAGTTGATCTTCAATCTCTGATATCCTTTCTTCCTCTTAATTGATGTGGCTATTGATACTTGTGTATGCTTCATGAAGTTCTCATGCTGTGTTTTTTTTTTCTTTTTATCTCAATCAGGTCATTTACTTTCTTCCGTAAACTGGTTATTCTAGTTAGCAATTCCTCTAACCTTTTTTCAAGGTTCTTAGCTTCCTTGCACTGCGTTATAACATGCTCCTTTTGCTCAGAGGAATTTGTTATTACTCACCTTCTGAAGTCTACTTCTGTCTATTCATCAGACTCATTCTTTGTCCAGTTTTGTTCCCTTGCTGGCAAGGAGTTTTGATCCCTGGTGGAGAAGAAGTGTTCTGGTTTTTGGAATTTTCAGCCTTTTTGTGCTGGTTTCTTCCCATCTTCATGGATTCATCTACCTTTGGTCTTTGATGTTGGTGATCTTCAGATGGAGACTCTGAGTGGACATCCTTTTGGTTGATGTTGATGCTATCCCTTTCTGTTTGTTAGTTTTCCTTCTAACAGTTGGGTCCCTCTGCTGCAGGTCTGGTGGAGTTTGCTGGAGGTCCACTCCAGACTGTTTTTCCCTGGGCATCACCAGTGGAGGCTGCAGAACAGCAAATATTGCTGCCCATTCTTTCCTCTGGAAGCTTCATCCCAGAGGGGCACCTGCCAGATGCCAGCCAGAGTTCTCCCATAGGAGGTGTCTGTCAGCCCCTACTGGGAGGTGTCTCCCAATCAGGATACACAAGCATCAGGGACCCACTTGAGAAGGCAGTCTGTTTCTTATCAGAGCTCAAATGCTTTGCTAGGAGATCCGTTGCTCTCTTCAGAGCCAGCAGGCAGGGACGTTTAAGTCTGCTGAAGCTGTGCCCACAACTGCCTCTTCCCCGACATGTTCTGTCCCAGGGAGATGGGGGTTTTATCTATAAGTCCCTGACTGGGGCTGTTGCTTTTTTTCAGAGATGCCCTGCCCAGAGAGGAGGAATGTAGAGAGGCAGTCTGGCCACAGCGACCTTGCTGAGCTACAGTGGGCTCCACCCAATTTGAACTTCCCAGCAGCTTTGTTTACACTGTGAGGGTAAAACCACATACTCAAACCTCAGCAATGGTGGACACCCCTCCCACCACCAAGCTTGAGCATCCCACGTTGACCTCAGACTGCTGAACTGGCAGTGAGAATTTAAATCCAATGGGTCTTAGCTTGCTGGGCTCCATAGGGGTTGGGACCTACTGAGCCAGACTACTTGCCTCCCTGGCTTCAGCCCCCTTTCCAGGGGAGTGGATGGTTCTGTCTCACTGGCATTCCTGGTGCCACTGGGGTATGGAAAAAACCTCCTGTAGCCAGCTCGATGTCTTCCCAAACCACCACCCACTTTTGTGCTTGAAACCCAGAGCCCTCATGGTGTAGGCACCAGAGGGAATCTCCTGGTCTGTGAGTTACAAAGACTGTGGAAAAGTGCAGTATCTGGGCCAGAGTGCATTGTTCCTCACAACACAGTTCCTCACAGCTTCCCTTGGGTAGGGGAGAGTATTCCCCGATGCCTTGCAATTCCCAGGTGAGGCATCGCCCCACCCTGCTTCTGCTCACCCTCTGTGGGCTGCAGCCACTGTCTAACCAGTCCCAATGAGATGAACCAGGTACCTGAGTTGGAAATGCAGAAATCACCAGCCTTAAGCGTCAATCTCACTTGGAGCTGCAGACCAGAGCTGTTCCTATTCAGCCATCTTGCCAACAAATCCTGTGAATCGTGTTTTTAACTGTGGCTGTATTAAGACATTTTGTCATCCACAAATGATTGTCTTGTTTTGGTCCTCTTTAGAAGGTGGTTTATAGTCAGCTATAGAACTCTAACAGGTGTTCTTAAATGCAGGTTTCTGATAATTTTGGAAATTGTGACATTAGAATAGAGGAAAAAACTTTCAGGACTCTCATGGAAAGCTGAAATATTCATGAATATCAAACAGAAATTAACTGCATGGACTAAACTGAGGAAGTTTTTAACTGTGCTTAAAATGTTGCTGGTTCTTTGTTTTGTTTTTCAGAGTCAAGAAAACTTATTTTCAGCTATTTACAACTTTAAGCAATTGAGTAAAGTATTCCTGTAAAAAAAAATTGGAACATTTTGTTTCTCTCTACCTAATTTCTCCACAACTTGGAAACTATTTGTGAGTATTCTTAATTTATGGCAATATAGTTATTTGCATAAGTGCAATAGAAATCTGTTTTCATTTGTAATGAACACAATTGGAGAAACTGCTTATTTTTGCAAAGGCTTTGACTGGAATGGTCTGCTTTCCTTTAAGAAATCAATTTTGACTTGTAGAACCAATAAAAACCCCTTGGGGAACTGGCCTCATATGCTGCATTTTAGGAGTCCCTGTACAGGGTTTCTGACCTATAGTAAGTAAAGAGTGTCACTTTCTCAGAAGCCCAGAGGCCCCAAGTTATCCTGTAACATGAAGATGAGAAGAATTTACTCAACTCATAGGTATTTAAGGACTCAAAGCCATGGCAGGACTTGTCTCTAAAAAAAGTCTTATCTAAGATTTTTTCTATGGAACAGAGTCCCATCAAAGCCAGTTAAAAAGTCTTTGTGAAAAATTATTATTCTTGCTGCACTTTAGACAAATAATCAGGCCTTGTATAATAAAGCACCTCAGTCTTACCATAATTTGTTTTTACCAAAAATGAGAAACTGGAAAGAGAAATATTATGTTTCAAGTACTATGGTACACTTGTTATTAAATTATAGCCTCATTAGTTTTGTTTAAGTTTGTTTCTGCAATTTAGGCTAACCCTGCTTATCCCGATGAATGAACCAGTGATCTCTGGCTGCTACTCAGAAGAAACAAGAGGGTTGGGTAATGTAAAAATCTGGATCAATATTCTAATCCTGGGCACCTAATGGAATCATCTAGCAACCCCATATCAGCTTGGTGTCAACAGTTGCCCAGTTCATGGAAAACCTTCTAATTTAGTTTACTTGAAATAATTTTACTTATTTCTCTTCACTGTTGTGATATATATTGCTGTTGTAGTCTTTGTATAGGAATGCAGGATAAGCTTACTCAATATTTTCTTAAACTGAATACTTATTAATCTTTTAGATAGCACCTTTTGTCAAAACTCAGAGTTATGACTGGCACTCACCATACTGATGCTTTCTGACTGAGCTCTCTACCCTGAACACAAGAGACCCTAATATTCAGGTAGGAATATCATTGCCCCTATTCAGCCTGAAGAAGTTACAGATCATGGATCTTCATCCCTCTGCAACTCTTAGAATTATGGATTCTCTTATAAAAGGGAGGGGAGAAATGTCAGAAGTGTTTGAACCAGAGCATCTCCATCTTGAGTAGAGACTGGGTAAAATAAGGCTGAGACCTACTGGGCTGCATTTCCAGGTGGTTAAGGCATTCTAAGTCATAGGAGGAAATATGAGGTTGGCACAAGATACAGTCATAATGACCTTTCTGATAAAACAGGTTGCAGTAAGGAAGCCAGCTAAAACTCATCAAAACAAAGATGGCGATGAGAGTGACCTCTGGTCGCCCTCACTGCTACACTCCCACCAGCACCATGAGAGTTTACAAATGCCATGGCAATGTCAGGAAGTTACCCTATAAGGTCTAAAAAGGAGATGCATGAATAATCCACGCCTTGTTTAGTATATCATCAAGAAATAATAATAAAAATGGGTACTGAGCAGCCTTCAGGGCTGCCCTGTCTATGGAGTAGCCATTCTTTTATTCCTTTACTTTCCTAATATCTTGCTTTCACTTTACGGACTTGCTATGAATTTTTTCTTGTGAGAGATCCAAGAACTCTTTCTTGTGGTTTGCATCAGAACTGCTTTCCTGTAACAGAACTATAATTGATGAGTTGCTGGAAGCTCTAAGTGGACAAGACTGAGAGTTAAAAACTCCAAGGAGACCAGGCATGGAGTGGAGAAGGGGCACCATTTTGTGCCCTCCAGGAACTCTACCAGCTCTGCCTCACAGTGAACATTAGAGAAAAATCCCATCTAGCTTCTGACAGGGGGAGTGAAAAAGTCACTATTTTGAAACACATCAGAGTACTCCATTTTTGTTTTACTTAATAGAAGACGAAACTACAATTGACCCTCAGACAACATGGATTTGAACTGCACAGATCTACTTATATGTGGATTTTTTTTGTAAGTATTACATATTGGAAGAATTTTTGGAGATTTGTGACAATTTGAAAAAACTTGCAGATGAACTTCATAGCCAAGAACTGTCAAAAAATTAAGAAAAATGTATGTCATACACTATGGGAGGCCAAGGTGGGTGGATGACCTGAGATCAGGAGTTCAAGACTAGCCTGGCCAACATGGCAAAACCCCATCTCTACTGAAAATAAAATAAAATAAAATTAGCCAGGCATGGTGGCATGTGCCTGTATTCCCAGCTACTGGAGAGGCTGAGGAAGGAGGAGCACTTGAACCCAGGAGGCAGAGGTTGCAGTGAGCTGAGATAGCACCACTGCACTCCAGCCTGGGTGACAGAGTGAGTCTCCAAAAAAACAAAATGGTAAGTCATGAATGCACAAAATATTAATATATGTAGATACTAGTCTATTTTATCATTTGCTACCATAAAATATTCACAAATCTATTATTAAAGTTTCAAATTTATCAAAATTTACAAACATAAACCATACATGACACCATTCTCAGTTGACAGAAATGTAAACAAATGTGAAGATACAGAATCAAATCATATCTGCATAAAATTAACTGTTACAATACTGTACTACTATAATAATTTCATAGTCACCTCCTGTTGTCTTTCCAGTGGGCTCAAGTGTTTTATCACTTAAAATGCCCTGTGACACTAATTATCTCTGCATAAGCAGTTTATCTCTCCAGAAAATTGGATAACAAAGTAAAAAGTGATCTGTCAGAGTTCTCACTAATTTTTTTATCGTGCTTAGTGCAGTATTGTGTAACCACCCGACAAGTTCTTCCTGCCCACTGCACAAAGATCACAGCACTACAATAAAGAAAGAGTTTAATTGACATGCCACATCAGAAACTGAGTTATTACCCAAATCAATCTCCTGGAAGGCTCCTAGGTTAGGGGTTTTTCCAAGGCAGTTTGGGGGAAGGGGTGGAGGTGGCTAGGAAATGGTTGCTTGCTGCTAATTGGTTGGAGTGCAATTACAGGGGTGTGGGAAATGATCTTTCTTAAGGCTGAATTTCTTCTGGGTAGGGCCACAAGAGCCATCATTTGGTGGGTCCAGGTGGAGCCATGGGTTTCAGACATACACAAAGCCTGAAAAGGTATCTCAAAAGGCCAATCTTAGATTCTACATTAGTGATGTTATCTTGTGACCTCTGGAATAATGGCTTGCAATCTTTTATGTCTACACCTCAGCAGAATTCAGGCTCCTTTCCTCCTCCTAGCCTAGTGGTCTCTCATTAGGTTTACAAAGGCAGTTGAGTTTCAGGGAAGGGCAATTATCATTTATACTATAACCTAAATGTTTTCCAAAGCTAGCTTGGCAGCTTGAAGGCTAAAGGCCAGAGGAGGGTTGGCTAGATCAGATCTCCCCCACTTCCATAATTTTCTCACTGATATAATTTTTACAAAGGCAGTTTTAATTGTAAACCTTGAATAATACCATGGGACCTATACAAAGTGCCAATAGCGATGCTGGAAGTGCTCCCAAGAAACATAGAAAAATAATTACATTACAAGAAAAATTGGAATTGTTTGATGTATACCATAGATTGAGGTTTGAAGCTGTGGTTGCCTACCATTTCAAGATTAATAAATCCAGTGTAAAGACCACAGTAAAAATAAAAAAAGAAAAGAAATTTCATGAAGCTGTTGCTGGAGCTATGCCAGCACGCATGAAATCCTTGCACTTTTTGCAAAATACCTTTTTATATTGTATTGAAAATACAGTTTTTATTTGGCCGCAGTGTTGCTATAAGCATTGCATTCCTACAGACTTCGATATGATCTAACAACTTAAAGCAAAAGGAAGGTGAAAGATCTAAAGCTGAAGAATTTAATGCCAGTAAAAAATGGCTTGATAAACTTAGAAAGAAGTTTGCCTTCTAAAATGTTAAGATAACAGGAGAAGCAGCTTCTGACAATCAACAGACACAGAGGTCCCAGACATTAAGAAAATCATTGAGGAGAAAGGATATCTGCCTGAACAACTTTTAATGCAATGAATGTGCCCTATTCTGGGGGAAAAAGCCACAAATGATATTTATTAGTAAGAAAGAGAACCACCACCAGGATTTAAGGCAGGAAGAGATAAGCTAACTCTACTGTTTTGTGCAAATGCAGTTGGGCTTATGATCAGAACTGCCCTTATCTATAAAGCTGCTAATCCCGAGTAATGAAGGGAAAGATAAACAGCAGCTGCCAGTCTTTTGGTTGTACAACAAGTAGTCCTGGACAATGAGAACACTTTTTCTAGATTGGTTCTATTGATGCTTTGTCCCTGAATTCAGAGATATCTTGCCAGTAAAGGACTTTTTTAAAAAGTTATTTTGATATTGGACAATGCTTCTGGCCACCAAGAACCTCATGAGTTCCACACCAAAGGCATCAAGGTGGTCTACTTGCCCCCAAACACATCTCTAATTCAGCCTCTAGATCATAAGATTATAAGGACCTTTAAGGCTCATTACACATGGTACTCTATGGAAAGGTTTGCCAATGCTACAGAAGAGAACCCCTATAGAGAAACCATCCAGAAAGTCTGGAAGAATTACACCATAGAAGATGTTATTGTTGCTATAGAAAGAGCCATGAAAGCCATCGAGCCCAACACAATATATATCTGCTGGAAAACAATGTGTCCAGATGTTGTGCATGACCTCAGGATTTATGACAGAGCCAATCAAGAAAATCATGAAAGAGACTGTGGACATGGCAAAAAAAAATGATGGGGAGTGAAAGTTTTCAAGATGTGTATCATACGGAAATTCAAGAGCTAATAGATACCACCCATACCAGGTGACAATTTGATGGAGATGAGTGCTTTAGAACCAGTTCCAGATTGTGAGGAAGAAGACTTAGAAGAACCTGTGGAAGAAAACAAACTGACATTAGACAATCTGGCACACAGGTTCTGATTACTTGAGACAGTTTTGACTTCTTTTACAATATGTACTCTTCTATTATATGGGCACTGAAACTAAAGCAAACAATAGAAGGATTGGCACCATAGAGAAACATTTTTAGAGAAATGAAAAAGCAAAAATGTCAGTTGTTTGGCTCTGCATCCCCGCCCAAATCTCATCTCAAATTGTAATCCCCATATATCAAGGGAGGGACCTGAGGTGATTGGATCATGGGGGCGGTATCCCCCATGCTGAGTTCTCATAAGGTCTTGAAACCGCCTTTGCAAAATTATAACTGAGGAAATTATGACAGTGAGAGAGATCAGACCTAACAGACTCCATCTTGCTTCTAACATTTAAGCTGTCCTTGTTCATTCCAAGGCATAGACCGAACTAACTTTTGGAAGGAATTCAGTTCATAGTTTGACTCTGAAACAAAATTGATAATTGCCCTTTCCCCCCAGAAAAAACTCTTCTTGCCTGAGAACCAGTCTGCCTTTGCAGGACTAACAAATTGGCTACAAGATTAGAAATTACAGTTTAGGGTTCATGCAGCCTCTGGCCCCAAGAATCTGAACCTTTCCAAATTGATCCTGGGGATAACATCACTATTGTAAAACCAAGAATCAGTGCTTCAGTATTTTGCAGACCTTACACACGATAAATCAGCTGACACCACTCAGAACAGTAACTTGGCTCCACCAGTTCTGCCATCCCACGCAGGAACAGAAAACAGCAAGAAAAACTCACTTCGACTCCCCTGTGATTCCATCTCCAACCTGACCAATCAGCACTCCCTACTTCCCCAGCCCCTACTCACCAAATTATCTTTAAAAACTCTGATCCTCGAATGCTCAGGGAGACTGATTTGAGTAATAATAAAACTCCAGTCTCTCACACAGCCAGTTCTGTATGAGTTACTCTTTCTCAATTGCTATTCTCCTGTCTTGATAAACTGGCTCTGTCCAGGCAGTGGGCTAGGTGAACCCATTGGGCAATTACAATCTGATCGTTTTAAAAGAGGCAGTATTCCCTGCATGCTCTCTCTCTCTCCTGCCATCATGTAAGACATGCCTTGCTTCCCCTTCACCTTCAGCCATGATTGTAAGTTTCCTGAGGCCTCCCTAGACATGCAGAACTGTGAGTCAAATTCATCCTCTTTTCTTCATAAATTATCCAGCCTCAGGTAGTATCTTTATAGCAATGTGAGAAGAGACTAATACAGTCCGGCAGAAATTATGATGTGTTTCTCTAAAGTTAAACAGGATATACCTGCCTCTCTTGCTTCACCTTTCATCTCCTCCACGTCTTTCATCTCTGCCACATCTGAGACAGCAAGACCAACCTCTCTTCTTTCTCCTCCCCCTCAGCCTAGTCACTGTGAAGACCTTTATGATGATCCACTTCCACTAAATG
Organism: Homo sapiens; assembly: GCF_000001405.40. Taxonomy (NCBI): domain Eukaryota; kingdom Metazoa; phylum Chordata; class Mammalia; order Primates; family Hominidae; genus Homo; species Homo sapiens. Next base: position 55,695,334 of record NC_000023.11, on the reverse strand, counting down.
AATAGTAAATTTATTTTATCTTCTTTATGATTTTCTTAATAATATTTTCTTTCCTCTAGCTTTTTTATTGTAAGTATACAGTTTATAGCATATATATATATACATAAAATATATGAAATATATGTTAATCAACTGTTTATGTTATCAGTAAGACTTCTCATCAACAGTAGGCTGAGTAGTTAAGTTTTGGGGGAGTAAAACGTTATACATCAGTTTTTTGCTGTCCAGATGGTCAGCACTCCTAATCTCCACATTATTCAAGGATTAATTTTTCTTTTCTTTTTATTTTTTTTTTTTACCATAGCCTAACCTGCTAGGGTATTATCAGGGCCTTTTCTATCTGGAAAAAGGGGAATGCTCAACTCCAGCCCACTCTAGCCATCTTGCCCCACCTAAAGGGATAACCTAACTGAGAAGCTCTGTTGAAGTTCATAGTCCAGGGGCACAAGCTCACCAAAGACTGAGACATAGTTATAGAACTGTAGAATTTCCCATCTTCCACACCTTATTTACACATTGTTAAAGTGAACTAAATAAAGCCTGAGAAGGACTCTGTGCTTCTATATTTGAGTCCTTGTGGACAAACTGCAACCTAACTTAATAGGTAGACAAGATTGAAAATCTAATTTAGGAATATGCTCCTGTAACAACGGCTGAATCTTGGCCAATCCCAGAAGCCATACTTCAACCACTCATACACTGCTGAGTGTTCAAAGTGTATTCAAATAAGGCAAATGCCAACCTGTAATCAATCCAGCTGTTTCTGTTCCTCACTTCCTATTTCTATATGTTACTCTATTTTTTTTTTGTCTATAAATTTGTTCTGACCACAAGGCACCCCCAGAGTTTCTGAATCTATTGTGATTCTGGGGACTGCCCAATTCGCAAATCGTTCACAACTTAATTAAGCGCCATTAAATTTAATTAAGCTGAAGTTTTTCTTTTAACAACATTTAATAAAGGCATATTTCCTGCAGTTCCTTTTACCCAGTACATCATGTCTCCACATTTCAACAAAAAATTAGAAAGCATACTAAAACGCAAGAAAAAAAACAGTTTGAATAAACTGAACAGATATGGAAACCAGAGGCAGATAGGGTAGGAATGTTGGAATTATCAGACCAGAAAATTTAAAATTATGATTAATATTCTATGGACTTTAATGGGAAAAAAAGCAGATGACATGCAAGAAAAGACAAATAATGTAAACAGGGAGGTGAAAATTCTAAGAATTTAAAAATGCTAGAAAGCCAAGCCTAGTGGTACATGACTGTAATCCCAGCTACTCAGGAGGCTGAGGAAGGAGGGTTGCTTGAGGCAAGGAATTTAACACTGTAGTGCACTATGATTCTGCCTGTGAATAGCCACTGCACTCCAGCCTGGGCAACATAGCAATATCCCATCTCTAGTTTTTTTTTAATGCTAGAGATAAAAAACACTGTAAAATAATTGAGCCCACAAAAAAAAATTGCGGACTCATTATTAGAAAACACAGCTGAGGTAAAAACCCCTGAGCTTGAGGATATGACAATAAAAACTTCCAAAACTTAAAAGCAAAGCTGAAAAGACTGAAAGAAAACCTCAAAAGTCCAAGAATTGTAAGACTACTACAAAAGGTGTAACATGCATGTAATACAAATACCAGAAGGAGAATACATTGAGAAAAAAAAACAGATGATATATTTGAAGCAATATGACTGAAAGTTGCCCCTCTTTCCCAATTAATGTCAGACAGCAAACCATAGATCTATAAAGTTCAGAAAACAAGAAGCAGGATAAATGCCAAAAAACTACTCTCAGGCAAATTATATTTAAACTTCAAAATATCAAAAATAAAGAAAAAATATTGAAAGACGCCAGAAGAAAAACATACCTCGCCATGGAGGTACAAAAATAAAAGTTACATATGGCTTCTTCCCAGAAGCCATGCAAGCAAGAGTGTGGAGTGAAATATTTAGAGTTTTTGAGAAAAAAATACATCAACCTAGAATTCTGTTAAGAATTAAACATGACAACTTTAACATTGCTGTTACATCAGAAATAAACTTATGTGATGATCTGGTAAAAAAATTAATAAATACAGAAACATTGAGTGATACAAAAGCAACATGTAAAAATCAGTTGAATTTCTATTTAATAACAATGAATTTTCCAGAAAGGAAATAAAGAATACAATCTCATTTACAATAACATCAAAATAATAAAATACTGAGGAATAAACTTAACCAAGGAAATAACTTACACACTGAAAACTGTAGACACTGATAAAATAAATTAAAGCAGACACCAACAAATGGAATTTTAAAAATATATACTTTAAGTTCTGGTATACATGTGGAGAACGTGCAGGTTTGTTACATAGGTATACACGTGGCATGGTGGTTTGCTACACTCATCAACCCGTCATCTACATTAGGTATTTCTCCTAATGCTATCCCTCCCACAGTCCTCCATCCCCCGACAGGCCCCGGTGTGTGATGCCCCTGCCTTGTGTCTATGTGTTCTCATTGCTCAATTCACACTTATGAGTGAGAACATGTGGTGTTTGATTTTCTGTTCTTGTGTTAGTTTGCTGAGAATGATGGTTTCCAGCTTCATCCATGTCCCTGCCAAGGACATGAACTCATCCTTTTTTATGGCTGCATAGTATACCAAGGTGTATATATGCTAAATTTTCTTCATTCAGTCTATCTTTGATGGGCATTTGGGTTGGTTCCAAGACTTCGCTATTGTGAACAGTGCCACAATAAACATATATGTGCATGTGTCTTTATTGCAGAATGATTTATAATCCTTTGGATATATACCCAGTAATGGGATTGCTGGGTCAAATGGTATTTCTGGTTCTAGATCGTTGATGGATCGCCACACTGTCTTCCACAATGGTTGGAATAACTTAGACTCCCACCAACAATGTAAAAGCGTTCCGATTTCTCCACATCCTCTCCAGCATCTGTTGTTTCTTGACTTTTTAATGATTGCCATTCTAACTGTCATAAGATGGTATCTCATTGTGTTTTGATTTGAAATTCTCTAATGACCAATGTGATGAGCTTTTTTTCATATGTTAGTTGACTGCATAAGTATCTTCTTTTGAGAAGTGTCTGTTCATGTCCTTCAAGCACTTTTTGATGGGATTGTTTTTTTTCTTGTAAATTTGTTTAAATTCTTTGTAGATTCTGAAGGTTGGCCCTTTGTCAGATGGATAGATTGCAAAAATTTTCTCCAATTCCGTAGGTAGCCTGTTCACTCTGATGATAGTCTCTTTTCCTGTGCAGAAGCTCTTTAGTTTAATTAGATCCCATTTGTCAATTTTGGCTCTTGTTGCCATTGCTTTTGGTGTTTTAGTCATGAAGTCTTTGCCCATGCCTATGTCCTGAATGGTATTGTTTAGGTTTTCTTCTAGTGTTTTTATGGTTTTAGGTCTTACATCCAAGTCTTTAATCCATCTTGAGTTAATTTTTGTATAAGGTGTAAGGAAGGGGTCCAGTTTCAGTTTTCTGCATATGGCTAGCCAGTTTTCCCAACACAATTTATTAAATAGGGAATCCATTCCCCATTGCTTGTTTTTGTCAGGATTGTCAAAGATCAGATGGTAGTAGATGTGTGGTGTTACTTCTGAGACCTCTGTTGTGTTCCATTGGTCTATATATCTGTTTTCGTACAAGTACCATGCTGTTTTGGTCACCATAGCCTTGTAGTATAGTTTGAAATCAGGTAGCGTGATGCCTTCAGGTTTGTTCTTTTTGCTTAGGACTGTCTTGGCTATGTGGGCACTTTTTTGGTTCCATATGAAATTTAAAGTAGTTTTTTCCAATTCTGTGCAGAAAATCAATGGTAGCTTGATGGGGACAGCGCTGAATCTATAAATTACTTTGGACACTATGGCCATTTTCACAATATTGATTCTTTCTATCCATGACTATGGAAAATTTTTCCATTTGTTTTTGTTCTCTCTTATTTCCTTGAGCAGTGGTTTGTAGCTCTCCTTCAGGAGGCCCTTCACATCCCTTGTAAGTTGTATTCCTAGGTATTTTTCCTCTTGGTAGCAATTGTGAATAGGAGTTTACTCATGATTTGGCTCTCTGTTTGTCTGTTATTGGTGTATAGGAATGTTTGTGATTTTTGCACATTAATTTTGTGTCCTCAGACTTTACTGAAGTTGCTTATCAGCTTAAGAAGATTTTGGACTGAGATGATGGGGTTTTCTAAATATACAATCATGTCATCAGCAAACCGGGACAATTTGACTTCCTTTTTTCCTAATTGAACTCATTTATTTCTTTCTCTTGACTGATGGCCCTGGCCAGAACTTCCAATATTATTTTGAATAGGAGTGGTGAGAGAGGGCATCCTTGTCTTGTGCCGCTTTTCGAAGGGAATGCTTCCAGTTTTTGCCCATTCAATATGATATTGGCTGTGGGACTGTCATAAATAGCTCCTATTATTTTGAGATATGTTTCTTCAATATCTAGTTTATTGAGAGTTTTAGCATGAAGGGGTGTTGAATTTTGTCAAAGGCTTTTTCTGCATCTATTGAGAAAATAATGTGTTTTTTTCATTGGTTCTGTTTATGGGATGGATTATGTTTATTGATTTAAATATGTTGAACCAGCCTTGCATCCCAGGGATGAAGCCCACTTGATCAGGGTGGATAAGCTTTTTGATGTGCTGCTGGATTCCGTTTGCCAGTATTTTGTTGAGGATTTTCACACTGATGTTCATCAAGGATATTGGCCTGAAATTTTCCTTTTTGTTGTGTCTCTGCCTGGCTTTGGTATCAGGATCATGCTGGCCTCGTAAAAGGAGTTAGGGAGGATTCCCTTTTTCTATTGTTTGGAATAGTTTCAGAAGGAATGGTACCAGTTCCTCTTTGTACCTCTGGTAGAATTCGGCTGTGAATCCATCCTGTCTTGGACCTTTTTTGATTGGTAGGCTATTAATTACTGCCTCAATTTCAGAGCCTGTTATTGGTCTATTCAGAGATTCAACTTCTTCCTGGTTTAGTCTTGGGATGGTGTATGTGTCCAGGAATTCATCCATTTATTCTAGGTTTTCTAGTTTATTTGCGTAGAGGTGTTTATAGTATTCTCTGATGGTAGCTTGTATTTCTGTGGGACCAGTGGTGATATCCCCTTTATTAATTTTTATTGCATCTATTTAATTCTTCTCTGTTCTCTTCTTTCTTTATTAATCTGGCTAGTGGTCTAACTATTTTATTGGTCTTTTCAAAAATCCAGCTCCTGATGTCATTGATTATTTGAAGGGTTTTTGCTGTCTCTATTTCCTTCAGTTCTGCTCTGATCTTAGTCATTTCTTGTTTTCTGCTAGCTTTTGAATTTGTTTGCTCTTGCCTCTCTATTGCTTTTAATTTTGATGTTAGGGTATCAATTTTAGATCTTTCCTCCTTTCTTTTGTGGGCATTTAGTGCTCTAAATTTTCCTCTACATGTACTTTAAATATATCCCAGAGATTCTGGTACACTTGTGTCTTTGTTCTCATTAGTTTCAAAGAACATCTTTATTTCTGCCTTCATTTTGTTATTTACCCAGTAGTCATTCAGGAGCAGGTGGTTCAGTTTCCACGTAGCTGTGCAGTGTGGAATGAGTTTCTGAATCTTGAGTTCTAATTTGATTGCACTGTGGTTTGAGAGACTGTTATGATTTCTGTTGTTTTCCATTTGCTGAGGAGTGCTTACTTACAATTTTGTGGTCAATTTTAGAATGAGTGTGATGTGGTGCTGAAAAGAATGTATATTCTGTTGATTTAGGATGGAGAGTTCAGTAGATGTCTGTTAGGTTTGCTTGGTCCGGGGCTGAGTTCAAGTCCTGAATATCCTTTTTAATTTTCTGTTTCATTGATCTGCCTTATATTGACCGTGGGGTGTTAAAGTCTCCCACTATTATTGTGTGGGAGTCTAAGCCTCCTTGTTGGTCTCTAAGAACTACGCAAATAAACTAGTAAATGTAGAAGAAATGGATAAATTTCTGGACACATAAAACCTCCCAAAACTAAATCAGGAAGAAATTGAATCCCTGAATAGACCAATAAGTAGTTCTGAAATTGGGTCCCTTCCAAGATGGCCAAATAGGAGCAGCTCCAGTGTGCAGCCCCCAGTGTGATCAATGCAGAAGATGGGTGATTTCTGCATTTCCAGCTGAGGTACTTGATTCATCTCATTGGGACTGGTTGGACAGTGGGTGCAGCCCATGGAGGGTAAGCCGAAGCAGGGTGGGGCGTCACCTCACCAGGGAAGTGCAAGTGGTCAGGGGATTTCCCTTTCCTAGCCATGGGAAGCTATGACAGGCTGTACCTGGAAAAACGGGACACTCCCACTCAAATACTACACTTTTCCAACAGTCTTAGCAAACGGCACACTAGGAGATTATATCCTGCCTCTGGCTCAGCGGGTCCCATGCCCATGGAGCCTTGCTCAATGCTAGGGCAGCAGTCTGAGATCGACCTGCGAGGCAGCAACCTGGCAGGGGAGGGGCGTCTGCCATTGCTGAAGCTTGAGTAGGTAAACAAAGCTACCGGGAAGCTCGAACTGGGTGGAGCACACCACAGCGCTGAAAGATGTGCTGCCTCTATAGACTCCACCTCTGGGGGCAGGGCATAGCTGAACAAAAGGCAGCAGAAACTTCTGCAGACTTAAACGTTCCTGTCTGAGAGCTCTGAAGAGAGCAGTGGTTCTCCAAGCATGGTGTTTGAGCTCTGAGAATGGACAGACTGCCCCCCGAAGTGGGTCCCTGACACCTATGTAGCCTAACTGGGAGACACCTCCCAGTAGGGGTCCACTGCCACCTCATACAGGTGGGTGCCCCCCTGGGACAAAGCTTCCACAGGAAGGATCAGGCAGCAATATTTGCTATTCTGCAATATTTGCTGTACTGCAGCCTCCTCTGGTGACACCCAGGCAAACAGGGTCTGGAGTGGACCTCCAGCAAACTCCAACAGACCTGCAGCTGAGGGACCTGACAGTTAGAAGGAAAACTAAGAAATAGAAAGAATAGCATCAACATCAACAAAAAGGACATCTACAGCAAATCCCTATCTGTAGATCACCAACATCAAAGACCAAAGGTAGAAGAAACCACAAAGATGGGGATAAACCAGAGCAGAAAAGCTAAAAATTCTAAAAACGAGAGTGCCTCTTTTCCTCCAAAGGATCACAGCTGTTCACCAGGAATGGAACAAAGCTGGACAGAGAATGCCTTTGACAACTTGACAGAAGTAGGCTTCAGAAGATCAGTAATAACAAACTTCTCCTAGCTAAAGGAAGATGTTCAAACCCGTGGCAAGGAAGCTAAAAACCTTGAAAAAAAGATTAGATGAGTGGCTAACCAGAATAAACAGTGTAGAGAAGACCTTAAATGACCTGATGGAGCTGAACACCATGGAACGAGAACTATGTGATGCATGTACAAGCTTAAATAGCCGATTTGATCAAGTGGAAGAAAGTATCAGTGATTGAAGTTCAAATTAATGAAATAAAGCAAGAGGAGAAGTTTAGAGAAAAAAGAGTAAAAAGAAATGAACAAAGCCTCCAACAAATATGGGACTATGTGAAAAGACCAAATCTACGTTTGATTGGTGTACCTGAAAGTGATGGGGAGAATGAAACCAAGGTGGAAAACACTCTGCAGGATATTATGGAGGAGAACTTCCCCAATCTAGCAAGGCGGGCCAACATTCAAATTCAGGAAATACAGAGAACACCACAAAGACATTCCTCGAGAAGAGCAACCCAAGACACATAATTGTCAGATTCACCAAGGTTGAAATGAAGGAAAAAATATTAAGGGCAGCCAGAGAGAAAGGTCGGGTTACTCACAAAGGGAAGCCCATCAGACTGATAGTGGATCTCTCAGCAGAAACTCCACAAGCAAGAAGAGAGTGGGGGCCAATATTCAACATTCTTAAGAAAAGAATTTTCAACCCAGAATTTCATATCCAGCCAAACTATGCTACATAAGTGAAGGAGAAATAAAATCCTTTACAGAAAAGCAAAGGCTGAGAGATTTTGTCACCACCAGGCCTGCCTTACAAGAGCTCCTGAAGGAAGCATTAAACATGGAAAGGAACAACTGGTAGGAGCCACTGCAAAAACATGTCAAAATAGCAAACATGATGCTATTAAGAAACTGCATTGGGAAGGAGCCAAGATGGCCGAATAGGAACAGCTCCGGTCTACAGCTCCCAGCGTGAGTGACACAGAGGACGGGTGATTTCTGCATTTCCATCTGAGGTACCGGGTTCATCTCACTAGGCAGTGCCAGACAGTGGGCGCAGGTCAGTGGGTGTGTGCACCTTGCGCAAGACAAACCAGGGCGAGGCATTGCCTCACTCAAGAAGTGCAAGGGGTCAGGGAGTCCCCTTTCCTAGTAAAAGAAAGGGGTGACAGATGGCACCTGGAAAATTGGGTCACTCCCACCCAAATACTGCGCTTTTCCGACAGGCTTCAAAAATGGCACACCAGGAGATTATATCCCGCACATGGCTCGGAGGGTCCTATGCCCACGGAGTCTCGCTGATTGCTAGCACAGCAGTCTGAGATCAAACCGCAAGGTGGCAGCGAGGCTGGGGGAGGGGCGCCCGCCATTGCACAGGCTTGCTTAGGTAAACAAAGCAGCTGGGAAGCTCGAATTGGTTGGAGCCCACCGCAGCTCAAGGAGGCCTGCCTGACTCTGTAGGCTCCACCTCTGGGGGCAGGGCACAGACAAACAAAAAGACAGCAGTAACCTCTGCAGACTTAAATGTCCCTATCTGACAGCTTTGAAGAGAGCAGTGGTTCTCCCAGCACGCAGCTGGAGATCTGAGAACGGGCAGACTGCCTCCTCAAGTGGGTCCCTGACCCCTGACCCTGGAGCAGCCTAACTGGGAAGCACCCCCCAGCAGGGGCAGACTGACACCTCACACGGCTGGGTACTCCAACAGACCTGCAGCTGAGGGTCCTGTCTGTTAGAAGGAAAACTAACAAACAGAAAGGACATCCACACCAAAAACCCATCTGTACATCACCATCATCAAAGACCAAAAGTAGATAAAACCACAAAGATGGGGAAAAAACAGAGCTGAAAAACTGGAAACTCTAAAAGGCAGAGTGCCTCTCCTCCTCCAAAGGAACGCAGATCCTCACCAGCAATGGAACAAAGCTGGGTGGAGAATGACTTTGACGAGCTGAGAGAAGAAGGCTTCAGATGATCAAATTACTCTGAGCTACGGGTGGACATTCAAACCAAAGGTAAAGAAGATGAAAACTTTGAAAAAAGTTTAGAACAATGTAAAGCTAGAATAACCAATACAGAGAAGAGCTTAAAGGAGCAGATGGAGCTGAAAACCAAGGCTCGAGAACTACGTGAAGAATGCAGAAGCCTCAGGAGCCAATGCGATCAACTGGAAGAAAGAGTATCAGTGATGGAAGATGAAATGAATGAAATGAAGCGAGAAGGGAAGTTTAGAGAAAAAAGAATTAAAAAAAAACGGGCAAAGCCTCCAAGAAATATGGGACTATGTGAAAAGACCAAATCTACGTCTGATTGGTGTACCTGAAAGTGACGGAGAGAATGGAACCAAGTTGGAAAACACTCTGCAGGATATTATCCAGGAGAACTTCCCCAATCTAGCAAGGCAGGCCAACATTCAGATTCAGGAAATACAGAGAACGCCACAAAGATACTCCTCGAGAAGCGCAACTCCAAGACACATAATTGTCAGATTCACCAAAGTTGAAATGAAGGAAAAAATGTTAAGGGCAGCCAGAGAGAAAGGTCGGGTTACCCACAAACGGAAGCCCATCAGACTAACAGCGGATCTCTCAGCAGAAACTCTACAAGCCAGAAGAGAGTGGGGGCCAATATTCAAGATTCTTAAAGCAAAGAATTTTCAACCCAGAATTTCATATCCAGCCAAACTAAGCTTCAAAAGTGAAGGAGAAATAAAATCCTTTACAGACAAGCAAATGCTGAGAGATTTTGTCACCACCAGGCCTGCCCTAAAAGAGCTCCTGAAGGAAGCGCTAAACATGGGAAGGAACAAACGGTACCAGCTGCTGCAAAATCATACCAAAATGTAAAGACCATCGAGACTAGGAAGAAACTGCATCAACTAACAAGGAAAATAACCAGCTAACATCACAATGACAGGATCAAATTCACACATAACACTATTAACTTTAAATGTAAATGGACTAAATGCTCCAATTAAAAGACACAGACTGGCAAATTGGATAAAGAGTCGAGACCCATCAGTGTGCTGTATTCAGGAAACCCATCTCATGTGCAGAGACACAAATAAGCTCAAAATAAAAGGATGGAGGAAGATCTACCAAGCAAATGGAAAACAAAAAAAAGGCAGGGGTTGCAATCCTAGTCTCTGATAAAACAGAATTGAAACCAACAAAGATCAAAAGAGACAAAGAAGGCCATTACATAATGGTAAAGGGATCAATTCAAGAAGAAGAGCTAACTATACTAAATATATATGCACCCAATACAGGAGCACCCAGATTCGTAAAGGAAGTCCTGAGTGACATACAAAGAGACTTAGACTCCCAGACAATAATAATGGGAGACTTTAACACCCCACTGTCAACATTAGACAGATAAACGAGACAGAAAGTCAACAAGGACACCCAGGAATTGAACTCAGCTCTGCACCAAGCAGACCTAATAGACATCTACAGACCTCTCTACCCCAAATCAACAGAATATACATTTTTTTCAGCACCACACCACACCTATTCCAAAATTGACCACATAGTTGGAAGTAAGGCTCTCCTCAGAAAATGTAAAAGAACAGAAATTATAACAAACTGTCTCTCAGACCACAGTGCAATCAAACTAGAACTCAGGATTAAGAATCTCACCCAAAACCGCTCAACTACATGGAAACTGAACAACCTGCTCCTGAATGACTACTGGGTACATAAAGAAATGAAGGCAGAAATAAAGATGTTCTTTGAAACCAACAAGAACAAAGACACAACATAACAGAATCTCTGGGACGCATTCAAAGCAGTGTGTAGAGGGAAATTTATAGGACTAAATGCCCACAAGAGAAAGCAGGAAAGATGCAAAACTGACACCCTAACATCACAATTAAAAGAACTAGAAAAGCAAGAGCAAACACATTCAAAAGCTAGCAGAAGGCAAGAAATAACAAAAATCAGAGCAGAACTGAAGGAAATACAGACACAAAAAAACCCTTCAAAAAATTAATGAATCCAGGAGCTGGTTTTTTGAAAGGATCAACAAAATTGATAGACCACTAGCAAGACTAATAAAGAAAAAAAGAGAGAAGAATCAAATAGACGCAATAAAAAATGATAAAGGGGATATTACCACCGATCCTACAGGAACACAAACTACCATCAGAGAATACTACAAACACCTCTATGCAAATAAACTAGAAAATCTAGAAATGGATAAATTCCTCGACACATACATCCTCCCAAGATTAAACCAGGAAGAAGTTGAATCTTTGAATAGACCAAAAACGGTGCTGAAATTGTGGCAATAATCTACAGCTTACCAACGAAAAAGAGTCCAGGACCACAGGGATTCACAGCCGAATTCTACCAGAGGTACAAAGAGGAACTGGTACCATTCCTTCTGAAACTATTCCAATCAATAGAAAAAGAGGGAATCCTCCCTAACTCATTTTATGAGGCCAGCATCATTCTGATACCAAAGCCGGGCAGAGACACAACCAAAAAGAGAATTTTAGACCAATATCCTTGATGAACATTGATGCAAAAATCCTCGATAAAATACTGGCAAACTATATCCAGCAGCACATCAAAAAGCTTATCCACCATGATCAAGTGGGCTTCATCCCTGGGATGCAAGGCTGGTTCAATATATGCAAATCAATAAATGTAATCCAGCATATAAACAGAACCAAAGACAAAAACCACATGATTATCTCAATAGATGCAGAAAAGGCCTTTGACAAAATTCAACAACCCTTCATGCTAAAAATTGTCCATAAATTAGGTATTGATGGGACGTATTTCAAAATAATAAGAGCTATCTATGACAAACCCACAGCCAATATCATACTGAATGGGCAAAAACTGGAAGCATTCCCTTTGAAAACTGGCACAAGGCAGGGATGCCCTCTCTCACCACTCCTATTCAACATAGTGTTGGAAGTTCTGGCCAGGGCAATCAGGCAGGAGAAGGAAATAAAGGGTATTCAATTAGGAAAAGAGGAAGTCAAATTATCCCTGTTTGCAGATGACATGACTGTATATCTAGAAAACCCCATTGTCTCAGCCCAAACTCTCCTTAAGCTGATAAGCAACTTCAGCAAAGTCTCAGGATACAAAATCAATGTACAAAAATCACAAGCATTCTTATGCACCAACAACAGACATACAGATAGCCAAATCCTGAGTGAACTCCCATTCACAATTGCTTCAAAGAGAATAAAATACCTAGGAATCCAACTTACAAGGGATGTGAAGGACCTCTTCAAGGAGAACTACAAACCACTGCTCAATGAAATCAAAGAGGATACAAACAAATGGTAGAACATTCCATGCTAATGGGCAGGAAGAATCAATATCGTGAAAATGGCCATAGTGCCCAAGGTAATTTATAGATTCAATGCCATCCCCATCAAGCTACCAGTGACTTTCTTCACAGAATTGGAAAAAACTACTTTAAAGTTCATATGGAACCAAAACAGAGCCCTCATCGCCAAGTCGATCCTAAGCCAAAAGAACAAAGCTGGAGGCATCGCACTACCTGACATCAAACTATACTACAAGGCTACAGTAACCAAAACAGCATGGTACTGGTACCAAAACAGAGATATAGACCAATGGAACAGAACAGAGCCCTCAGAAACAACGCCGCATATCTACAACTATCTGATCTTTGACAAACCTGACAAAAACAAGCAATGGGGAAGAGACTCCCTATTTAATAAATGGTGCTGGGAAAACTGGCTAGCCATATGTAGAAAGCTGAAACTGCATCCCTTCCTTACACTTTACACAGAAATCAATTCAAGATGGATTAAAGACTTAAATGTTAAACCTAAAACCATAAAAATACTAGAAGAAAACCTAGGCATTACCATTCAGGACACAGGCATGGGCAAGGACTTCATGTCTAAAACACCAAAAGCAATGGCAACAAAAGACACAATTGACAAATGGGATCTAATTAAACTAAAGAGCTTCTGCACAGCAAAAGAAACTACCATCAGAGTGAACAGGCAACCTACAAAATGGGAGAAAATTTTTGCAACCTACTCATCTGACAAAGGTCTAATATCGAGAATCTACAATGAACTCAAACAAATTTACAAGAAAAAAACAAACAACCCCATCAAAAAGTGGGTGAAGGACATGAACAGTCACTTCTCAAAAGAAGACATTTATGCAGCCAAAAACACATGAAAAAATGCTCACCATCACTGGCCGTCAGAGAAATGCCAATCAAAACCACAATGAGATACCATCTCACACCAGTTAGAATGGCAATCATTAAAAAGTCAGGAAACAACAGGTGCTGGAGAGGCTCTGGAGAAATAGGAACACTTTTACACTGTTGGTGGGACTGTAAACTAGTTCAACCCTTGTGGAAGTCAGTGTTGTGATTCCTCAGGGATCTAGAACTAGAAATACCATTTGACCCAGCCATCCCATTACTGGGTATATACCCAAAGGACTATAAATCATGCTGCTATAAAGACACATGCACACATATGTTTATTGCGGCATTATTCACAATAGCAAAGACTTGGAACCAAGCCAAATGTCCAACAATGATAGACTGGATCAAGAAAATGTGGTACATATACACCATGGAATACTATGCAGCCATAAAAAATGATGAGTTCATGTCCTTGACAGGGACATGGATGAAATTGGAAATCATCATTCTCAGTAAACTATAGCAAGGACAAAAAACCAAACACTGCATATTCTCACTCATAGGTTGGGAATTGAACAATGAGAACACATGGACACAGGAAGGGGAACATCACACTCTGGGGACTGTTGTGGGGTGGGGGAAGGGGAGAGGGATAGCATTAGGAGATATACCTAATGCTAGATGACGGGTTAGTTGGTGCAGTGCACCAGCATGTTACATGTATACATATGTAACTAACCTGTACATTGTGCACATGTACCCTAAAACTTAAAGTATAATAATAATAATAAAAAGAAACTGCATCAATTAACAGGCAAAACAATCAGCTAATATCATAATGACAGGATCAAATTCACACCTAACAATATGATCCTTAAATGTAAATGGGCTAAATGCCCCAGTGAAAAGACGCAGATGGGGAAATTGGATAAAGAGTCAAGACCCATCGGTGTGCTGTATTCAGGAGACCCATCTCACATGCAGAGACACACATAGGCTCAAAATAAGGGGATGGAGGATGATCCACCAAGCAAATGGAAAGCAAAAAAAAAGCAGGGGTTGCAATCCTAGTCTCTGATAAAACAGACTAAACCATCAAAGATCAACAGAGACAAAGAAGGCCATTACATAATGGTAAAGGGAACAATTCAACAAGAAGAGCTAATTATACTAAATATATATGCACCCAATACAGGAGCACCCGACTCATAAAGCAAGTCCCCAGAGACCTACAAAGAGACTAACACTCCCACACAATGATAATGGGAGACTTTAACACCCCACTGTCAATATTAGACAGATCAACAAGACAGAAGTTTAAGAAGGATATCCAGAACTTGAACTCAGCTCTGCACCAAACAGACCTAATAGACATCTACAGACCTCTCCACCCCAAATCAACAGAATATATACATTCTACTCAGCACTACATCGCACTTATTCCAAAATTGACCACATTGTTGGAAGTAAAGCACTCTTGAGCAAATGTAAAAGAACAGAAATCACAACAAACTATCTCTCAGACCACAGTGCAATCAAATTAGAATTCAGGATTAAGAAACTCACTGAAAACCAAAGAACTATATGGAAACTGAACAACCTGCTCCTGAATTACTACTAGGTACATAATGAAATAAAGGGAGAAATAAAGATGTTCTTTGCAAACAGTGAGAACAAAGACACAACGTACCAGAATCACAGGGACACGTTTAAAGCAGTGTGTAGAGGGAAATTTATAGCACTTAATGCCGACAGGAAAAAGCAGGAAAGATCTAAAATCAACACCCAAACATCACAATTAAAAGAAGTAGAGAAGCAAGAGCAAACAAATTCAAAAGCTAGCAGAAGAGAAGAAATAACTAAGATCAGAGCAGAACTGAAGGAGATAGAGACACAAATAGCCCTTCAAAAAAATCAATGAATCCATGAGCTGTTTTTTTGAAAAGATCAACAAAATAGATAGACTGCTAGCAAGACTAATAAAGAAGAAAAGAGAGAAGAATCAAATAGATGCAATAAAAAGTGATAAAGGGGATATCACCACCGATCCCACAGAAATACAAACTACCATCAGAAAATACTATAAACACCTCTATGCAAATAAACTAGAAAATCCAGGAGAAATTGATGAATTCCTGGACACATCCACCCTCAAAAAACTGAACCTGAAAGAAGTGGAATCTCTGCATAGACCAATAACAGGCTCTGAAATTGAGGCAATAATTAATAGCCTACCAGCCAAAAAGAGTTCAGGACCAGACGGATTCACAGCCAAATTCTACCAGGGGTACAAGGAGGAGCTGGTACCATTTCTTCTGAAACTGGTCCAATCAATAGGAAAAGAGGGAACCCTCCCTAACTCTTTTTATTAGGCCAGCATCATCGTGATACCAAAGCCTGGTATAGACACAACAAAAAAGAGAACTTTAGACCAATATCCCTGGTGAACATGGATGCAAAAATCTTCAGTAAAATACTGGCAAACCAAATCCAGCAGCACATCAAAAAGCTTATCCACCACAATCAAATCGGCTTCATCCTTGGGATGCAAGGCTTGTTCAACATACGAAAATCAATAAATGTAATCCATCACATAAACAGAACCAAAAACAAAAACCCCATGATTATCTCAATAGATGCAGAAAAGGCATTCAACAAAATTCAACAGCTCTTCATGCTAAAAACTCTCAATAAAGTAGGTACTGATGGAACATAGCTCAAAATAATAAGAGCTATTTATGACAAACCCACAGCCAATATCATACTGAATGGGCAAAAACTGGAAGCATTCCCTTTGTAAACTGGCACAAGACAGTGATGCCCTCTCTCACCACTCCTATTCAACGTAGTGTTTGAAGTTATGGCCAGGGCAATCAGGCAAACTAAAGAAATAAAGTGTATGCAATTAGGAAAAGAGGAAGTCAAATTGTCCCTGTTTGCAGATGACATGATTGTATATTTAGAAAACCCCATCATCTCAGCCCAAAATGTCCTTAAGGTGATAAGGAACTTCAGCAAAGTCTCAGGATATAAAATCAATGTGCAAAAATCACAAGCATTCCTATACACCAATAACAGACAAACAGAGAGCCAAATCATGAGTGAACTCCCATTCACAATTGCTTCAAAGAGAATAAAATACCTAGGAATCCAACTTACAAGGGATGTGAAGGACCTCTTCAAGGAGAACTACAAACCACTGCTCAATGAAATAAAAGAGGACACAAACAAATGGAGGAACATTCCATGCTCATGGATAGGAAGAATCAATATCGTGAAAATGGCCATACTTCCCAAGGTAAGTTATAGATTCAATGCCATCTAGTTATAGATTCAAGCTACTAATGGACTTGGAATAAACTACTTTAAAGTTCATATAGAACCGAAAAAAAAAAAAGTCCACATTGGCAAGACAATCCTAAGCAAAAAGAACAAACCTGGAAGCATCACGCTACCTGACTTCAAACTATACTACATGGTTACAGTAACCAAACAGCATCGTACGGGTACCAAAAAGATATAGACCAATGGAACAGAACAGAGCCCTCAGAAATAACACCACACATCTAAAACCATCTGATCTTCAACACACCTGTCAAAAACAAGAAATTGGGAAACGATTCCCTATTTAACAAATGGTGCTGGGAAGACTGGCTAGCCATATGTAGAAAGCTGAAACTGGATCCCTTCCTTACACCTTACACAAAAATTAATTCAAGATGGATTAAAGACTTAAATGTAGTCCTGAAACCATAAAAACCCCAGAATAAAAGCTAGGCAATACCATTCAGGACACAGACATGGGCAAGTATTTCATGACTGAAACACCAAAGCAATGGCAACAAAAGCCAAAATAGACAAATAGGATCTAATGAAACTAAAGAGCTTCTGCACAGCAAAAGAAACTACCATCAGAGCGAACAGGCAACCTACAGAATGGGAGAAATTTTTTGCAATCTACCCATCTGATAAAGGGCTAATATCCAGAATCTACAAAGAACTCAAACAGATTTACAAGAAAAAATCAAACAACCCTATCAAAAAGTGGGCAAAGGATATGAACTGACACTTCTCAAAAGAAGACATTTATGCAGCCAACAGACAAATGAAAAAATGCTCATCATCACTGGTCATCAGAGGAATGCAAATCAAACCACAATGAGATACCATCTCACACCAATTAGAATGGTGATCATTAAAAAGTTAGGAAACAACAGATGCTGGGGAGGATGTGGAGAAATAGGAACGCTTTTACACTGTTGGTGGAAGTGTAAATTAGTTCAACCATTATGGAAGACAGTGTGGTGATTCCTCAAGGATAGAAATAGAAATACCATTTGACCCAGCGATCCCATTACTGTGTATATACCCAAAGGATTATGAATCATGCGACTATAAAGAGACATACACACGTATGTTTATTGTGGCACTACTCACAATAGCAAAGATTTGGAGCCAACCCAAATGTCCATCAATGATAGACTGGATTAAGAAAATGTGGCAAGTATACACCATGGAATACTATGCAGCCATAAAATGATGAATTCGTGTCCTTTGCAGGGACATGGATGAAGCTGGAAACCATCATTCTGAGCAAACTATCACCAGGACAGAAAACAAAACACTGCATGTTCTCACTCATAGGTGGGAATTGAAAAAAGAGAACACTTGGACACAGGGAGGGGAACATCACACAATGGGGCTTGTCATGGCGTGGGGGTCTAGGGGAGAGATAGCATTAGGAGAAATACCCAATGTAAATGACGTGTTAATGGGAGCAGCAAACCAGCATGGCATATGCATACCTATGTAACAAACCTGCACGCTGTGCTCATGTACCCTAGAACTTAAAGTATAATAATAATTTAAAAAGTTCTGAAATTGAAGCAGTAATTAATAGACTACCAACCAAACAAAGCCCAGGAGCAGAAGAAATTTAAGCCAAATTCTACCAATAACAAGTACAAAATCTAAGCCATAATATAAAGTCTTCTACTAAAGAAAAGCTTGGGACATGATGGTTTCACAGCAGAATTCTACCAAACATTTAAAGAAGAGCTAAGAGCAATCAACTCGAATTATTCCAAAAAATAAACAAGAAAGGAATACTTTCAAACTTCTGTTAGGCCAGCATTTGCTTGATACACAAACCAGGTAAAGATACATCAAAAAAGAAAACTATAGGCCAATATCTCTGATGAATATTGATGCAAAAATTATCAACAAAATATTAGTGAACGGAATTCAACAATACATTAAAAAGATTATTCGTTGTGACCAAGTGGGATTTCTTCTTGGGATGCAAGAATGATTCAACACATGCAAATCAATCAATGTGATATATCATATCAGCAGAATAAAGTACAAAAAGCATATGATAGTTTCAACTGATGCAAAAATATCTTTTGATAAAATTCAACATCCTTTCATGATAAAATTTTTCAAAAAACTGGGTATAGAAGAAACGTACCTCAACATAATAAAAGCAAAGTTTGATGGACCCACAGATAGTATCATGTTGAATGGAAAAAGGCTGAAAGCCTTTCCTTTAAGATCTGGAATAAGACAAGGACGCCCAGTGTCAGCCCTGTTATTCAACATAGTACTGGAAGTCCTAGCTAGAGCAGTCAGACAAGAGAAATATAAATGGCATCCAAACTAGAAAGGAAGAAATCAAATTATAGTTGTTTGCAGATAATATAATCTTGTATTTGGTAAAACCTGAAGGCACCATCAAAAAATTCTTAGAACAGATAAACAAATTCTGTAAAGTTGCAGGATACAAAATCAACATACAAAAATTAGTAGCATTTCTATATGAAAACAATAAACAATCTGAAAAAGAAATTTATAAATTAGTCCCATTTACAATAGCCACATAAAATTAAATACCTAGGAATTAACCAAAGATGTGAAAGATCTCTAAAATAAAAACTATAAAACAGGCTGGGCACGGTGGCTCATGCCTGTAATCCCAGCACTTTGGGAGGCTGAAGCAGGTGGATCATGAGGTCAGGAGTTCAAGACCAGCCTGGCCAACATGATGAAACCTTGTCTCTACTAAAAATACAAAAATTAACTGGGCATGATGGCATGCACTTGTAATTCCAGCTACTTGGGAGGCTGAAGCAGGAGAATTGCTTGAACTGGGACCTGGAGGTTTCAGTGAGCTGAGATCATGCCACTGCACTCCAGCCTGGGCTACAGAGTGAGACTCTGCCTCAACAAACAAACAAACAAAAAAAAAACTTAAAACACTGATGAAAGAAATTGAAGAAGACACCAAAAAAATGGAAATATGTTTCATATTTATGGATTGGAAGAACTAATATTGTTAAAATGTCCATAATACCCAAAACAGTCTACAGATTCAATGCAATCCCTATCAAATTACCAATGACAGTCTCCATTGAAATAGAAAAAAACAATTCTAAAATTTATATATAACCTCAAAAGACCCAGAATAGCCAAAGCCATCCTAAGCAAAAAGAGCAAAACTGGAGAAATCACATTACCTGACTTATTTTTTCATCTCCAAAAAAGTTTATTAGCATGATTAAAAACATTTTTTGAATAATAACAGAAAGAATTTCTAAACATGAAAGAATATCAGCAGCTATACCTTAAAACCAGTATTCCGAATTGAATGGACAGCTTTATTGCCAGTCTTCAAAAAACAATCCATTGATTGGTCACTGCACAGCTGTAGCCACACAGACTAAGGGAACAGAATAGAGGACACTGATACAGACACAGACTAATGGAACAGAATACAAGACACAGAAAAAAATTCTCACATTTACACTGAACTCATTTTTGACAAAGGCTCAAATAATATACACTGGGAAAAAGACAATTTCTTCAATAAATTATGCTATAAAAACTAAATATGAATATGCAGAAGAATGAAACAAGGCCCCTATTTCTCACCATATACAAAAACCAAATCAAAATAAATTAAAGAGTTTAGGATCTTGAACTATAAAATTACTACAAGGAAACATCAGAAAAACTTTATAGGATATTGGTCTGGGCGAAAATTTCTTGATTAATACCTCACAAATACATGCAACTGAAGCAAAAATGGACAAGTGGGATCACATCAAGTTAAAAAGCTTCTGAACAAGAAAGGAAATTACCAACAAAATGAAGAGATACCCCACCAATTTGAAGAAAATATTTGCTAACTACCTATCTGACAAGGGATTAATAACCAGAATATAGAAAAGCTCAAATAACTCCACAGGAAAAAAATCTAGCAAGCCAATTAAAAAGTGGGCAAAAGATTCAAATAGACATTTCTCAAAAAATAACATGCAAATGGCAAAAAGGCATATTAAAATGGGCTCAACATCACTGATTAGAGATATGCAAATCAAAACTACAATGAGATATTATCCCACCTGACTTAAAAATGGCTTACATCTGGTGGCTTACAAGATGGCCACAAAAGAACAGCTGTGGTCTACAGCTCCCAGCGAAATTGATGCAGAAGATAGGTGATTTCTGCATTTCCAACTGAGGTGCCTGGTTCATCTCACTGGGACTCATTGGACAGTGGGTGCAGCCCATGGAGGGTGAGCTGAAGCAGGGCATGGCATTGCCTCACCCAGGAAGCACAAGGGGTCAAGGGATTTCCCTTTCCTAGCCAAAAGAAGCTGTGAGTGACTGTATCTGGAGGAGCAGTACACTCCTACCCAAATACTGTGCTTGTCCCATGGTCTTCACAACTGGCAGACCAGGAGATTCCCCTCCCATGCCTGGCTTGGCAGGTCCCACGCCCACAGAGGCTTGCTCACTGCTAGCACCATAATCTGAGATCTACCTGGGATGCAGGAGATTGGCGGGGGGAGAGATGTCCACCATTGCTGAGGCTTGAGTAGGCGGTTCTATGCTCACAGTGTAAACAAAGTGGTGGGAAGCACGAATGGGGGAAGCCCACTGCAGCTCAGCAAGGCCTACTGCCTCTCTAGAATCCACCTCTGGGCACAGGGCATATCTGAACAAAAGGCAGCAGACAGCTTCTCCAGACTTAAACGTCCCTGCCTGACAGCCCTGAAGAAAGCAGTGGTTCTCCCAGCATGATATTTGAGCTCTGATAACAGACACACTGCCTCCTCAAGTGGGTCCCGGACCCCCATGTAGCCTCACTGGGAGACAACTCCCAGTAGGGGCCAACAGAACCTCATACAGGAGGATGTCTCCCTGGGACGAAGCTTCCCGAGGAAGGATCAGGCAGCAATATTTGCTGTTCTGCAATATTTGCTGTACTGCAGCCTCGACTGGTGATACCCAGGCAAACAGCGTCTGGAGTGGGCCTCCAGCAAACTCCAACAGACCTGCAGCTGAGGGGACTGTTAGAAGCAAAACTAAGAAATAGAAAGGAATAGCATCAACATCAACAAAAAGGACATCTACACCAAAAGCCCATCAGTAGATCACAATCATCAAAGACCAAAGGTAGTTAAAACGACAAAGAAGGGAAGAAATGAGAGCAGAAAGGCTGAAAATTCCAAAAACCAGAATTCTTCTTCTCCAAAGGAACACAACTCCTCACCAGCAAGGGAACAAAACTGGATGGAGAATGAGTTTGATGAGTTGACAGAAGTAGGTTTCAGAAGGTTGGTTATAACAAACTTCTCTGAGCTAAAGGAGCATGTTTGAACCCAATGCAAGGAAGCTAAAAACCTTGAAAAAAGGTTAGATGGGTGGCTAACTAGAATAATCAGTGTAGAGAAGACCCTAAATGACCTGATGGAGCTGAAAACCACAGTACAAGAACTTCATGAAGCATACACAAGCTTCAATAGCGAATTCGATCAAGTGGAAGAAAAGATATCAGTGATTGAAGATCGAATTAATAAAATAAAGTGAGAAGACAAGATTAGAGAAAAAAGATAAAAAGAAACGAACAAAGCCTCCAAGAAATATGGTACTATGTGAAAAGACCAAATCTACATTTGAATGGTGTACCTGAAAATAATGGGGAGAATGAAACCAAGTTGGAAAACACTCTGCAGGATATTATCCAGGAGAACTTCCCCAACCTAGCAAGGCAGGCCAACATTCAAATTCAGGAAATACAGAGAACGCCACAAAGATACTCCTCGAGAAAAGCAACTCCAAGACACATAATTGTCAGATTCACCAAGGTTGAAATGAAGGAAAAAATATTAATGGCAGCCAGAGAGAAAGGTCGGGTTACCCACAAACGGAAGCCCATCAGACTAACAGCGGATCTCTCTGCAGAAATCCTACAAGCCAGAAGAGAGTGGGGGCCAATATTCAACATTCATAAAGAAAAGAATTTTCAACCCAGAATTTCATATCCAGCCAAACTATGCTTCATAAGTGAAGGAGAAATACAACCCTTACAGACAAGCAAATGCTGAGAGATTCTGTCACCACCATGACTGCGTTACAAGAGCTGCTGAAGGAAGCACTGAACATGGAAAGGAACAACCAGTACCAGCCACTGCAAAACCATGTCAAATTGTAAAGACCATTGACACTATGAAGAAATGGCAACAATTAGCAGATGAAAAGACCAGCTAGCATCATAATGACTGGATTAAATTTATACATAACAATATTAAACTTAAATATAAATGGGCTAAATGCCCCAATTAAAAGACATAGATTGGCAAATTGGATAAAGAGTCAAGACCAATCAGTGTGCTGTATTCAGGAGACCCATCTCACATGGAGACACACACATAGGCTCAAAATAAAGAGATGGAAGAAGATCTTCCAAGCAAATGGAAAAACAAACAAACAAACAAAAACAAACAGGATTTGCATTCCTGGTCTCTGATAAAACAGATTTTAAACCAACAAAGATCAAAAGAGACAAAGAAGGCCATCCATTACATAATGGTAAAGGGATCAATTCAACAAGAAAAGCTAACTATCCTAAACATATATGCACCCAATACAGGAGCACCCAGATTCATAAAGCAAGTCCTTAGAGACCTACAAAAAGACTTAGACTCCCACACAATAATAATGGGAGACTTTATACCCCACTATCAATATTAGACAGGTTGACAAGACAGAAAATTAACAAGGATATCCAGGACTTGAACTCAGCTCTGAACCAAGCCAACCTAATAGACATCTGCAGAACTCTCCACCCCAAATCAACAGAATATACATTCTTCTCAGCACCACATAGCACCTATTCCAAAAGTGACCACATAGTTGGAAGTAAAGCACTCCTCAGCAAATGTAAAAGAACAGCAATTATAACAAACTGTCTCTCAGACCACAGTGCAATCAAATTAAAACTCAGGATTAAGAAACTCACGCAAAACCACACAACTACATGGAAATTGAACAACCTGCTCCTGAATGACTACTGGGTAAATAACGAAATGAAGGCAGAAATAAAGAGGTTCTTTGCAACCAATGAAAAGAAAGACACAACGTACAAGAATCTATGGGACACATTTAAAGCAGTGTGTAGAGGGAAATTTATAGCACTAAATGCCCACAACAGAAAGCAGGAGATATCTAAAATCGACACCATAACACCACAGTTAAAAGAATTAGAGAAACAAGAGCAAACTAATTCAAAAGCTAACAGAAGACAAGACATAACTAAGATCAGAGCAGAACTGAAGGCGACAGAGACACAAAAAACCCTTCAAAAAATCAATGAATCCAGGATCTGGCTTTTTGAAATGATAAACAAAATAGATAGACCACTAGCCAGACTAATAAAGAAGAAAAGAGAGAAGAATCAAATAGAAGCAATAAAAAATGATAAAGGGGATATCATCACTGATCCACAGAAATACAAACTATCATCAGAGAATACTATAAACACCTCTATGAAAATATGCTAGAAAATCTAGAAGAAAAGTATAAATTCCTGGACACATACACCTTCCCAAGTCAAAATCAGGAAGAAGTTGAATGTCTCAATAGACCAATAACAGGTTCTAAAATTGAAGCAATAATTAATAGCCTACAAACCAAAAAAAGTCCAGGACCAGATGGATTCACTGCTAAATTCTACCAGAGGTACAAGGAGGGAGCTGGTACCATTCCTTCTGAAACTATTCCAATAAATAGAAAAAGAGGGAATCCTCCCTAACTCATTTCATGAGGCCAGCATCATCCTGATACCAAAGCCTGGCAGAGGCATAAGAAAAAAAGAGAATTTTAGTCCAATATCCATGATAAACATTAATGAGAAAATCCTCAATAAAATACTGGCAAACAGAATCCAGCAGCACATCAAAAAGCTTATCCACCACGATCAAGTCAGCTTCATCCCTGGATTGCAAGGCTGGTTCAACATATGCAAATCAATAAACATAATCCATCACATAAACATAACCAACGACAAAAACCACATGATTATCTCAACAGATGCAGAAAAGGCCTTTGACAAAATTCAACAGCCTTTCATGCTAAAAACTCTCAATAAACTGGGTATCGATAGAACGCATCTCAAAATAATAAGAGTTATTTATGACAAACCACAGCCAATATCATACTGAATGGGCAAAAACTGGAAGCATTCCTTTTGAAAACCAGCACAAGACAAGGATACGCTCTCTCAACACTCCTATTCAACATAGTATTGGAAATTCTGGCCAGGGCAGTTAGGCAGGAGAAGGAAGTAAAGGGTATTCAATTAGGAAAAGAGGAAGTCAAATTGTCTCTGTTTGCAGATGACATGATTGTGTATTTAGAAAACCCCATTATCTCAGCCCAAAATCTCCTTAAGCTGATAAGCAACTTCAGCAAAATCTCAGGATACAAAATCAATGCGCAAAAATCACAAGCATTCCTATACACCAATAACAGACAGAGAGCCAAATCATGAGTGAACTCCCATTCACAATTGCTTTAAAGAGAATAAAATACCTAGGAATCCAACTTACAAGGGATGTGAAGGACCTCTTCAAGGAGAACTACAAACCACTACTCAATGAAATAAAAGAGGACACAAACAAATGGAAAAAGAGTCCATGCTCATGGATAGGAAGAATCAATATGGTGAAAATGGCCTTACAGTCCAAAGTAATTCATAGATTCAATGCCATCCGCATCAAGCTACCAATGACTTTCTTCACAGAACTGGAGAAAACTACTTTAAAGTTCATATGGAACCAAAAAGGAGCCAGCATAGCCAAGACAATCCAGGGCAAGAAGAACAAAGCTGGAGGCATCATGGTATCTGACTTCAAACTTTACTACAAAGCTACAGTAAACAAAACAGCATGGTACTGGTACTAAAACAGATATGTAGACCAATGGAACAGAACAGAGGCCTCAGAAATAACACCACACATCTACCACCACCCAATCTTTGACAAACCTAACACACACAAGCAATGGGGAAAAGATTCCCTATTTAATAAATGGTGTTGGGAAAACTGGCTAGCCATATGCAGAAAACTGAAACTGGACCCCTTCCTTACACCTTATACTAAAATCAACACAAGATGGTTCAGAGACTTATACATAAGACCTAGAACCATAAAAATCCTAGACGAAAACCTAAGCAATACCATTAAGGACATTGGCATGGGCAAAAACTTCATGTCTAAAAGACCAAAAGCAATGGCAACAAAAGCCAAAATAGACAAATGAGATCTAATTAAACTAAAGAGCTTCTGCACAGCAAAATAAACTATCATCAGAGTGAACAGGAAACCTACAGAATGGGAGAAAATTTTACAATCTATCTTTCTGACAAAGGGCTAATAGCCAGAATCTACAAGGAACTTAAACAAATTTACAAGAAAAAAGCAAACAACCCCATAAAAAATGGGCAAAATATATGAACAGACACTTCTCAAAAGAAGACATTTATTCAGGCAACAGACATATGAAAAAATGCTCATCATCACTAGTCATTAGAGAAATGCAAATTAAAACCACAATGAGATACCATCTCACACCAGTTAGAATGGTGATCATTAAAAAGTCAGGAAACCACAGATGCTGGAGAGGTTGTGGAAAAATAGGAATGCTTTTACAGTGTTGGTGGGAGTGTAAATTAGTTCAACCATTGTTGAAGACCATGTGGTGATTCCTCAGCGATCTAGAGCTAGAAATACCATTTGACCCAGCAATTCCATTACTTGGCATATACCCAAAGGATTATAAATCATTCTATGATAAAAACACTTGTACACATATGTTTATTGTGGCACTATTTACAATAGCAAAGAGTTGGAACCAACCCAAATGCCCATTAATGATAGACTGGATAAAGAAATTTTGGCATATATACACTATGGAATACTATGCAGCCATAAGAAAGGATGAGTTCACGTCCTTTGCAGGGGCATGGATTAAGCTGGAAACCATCATTCTCAGCAAATTATCACAAGATCAGAAAACCAAACACTGCATGTTCTCACTCATAAGTGGGAGTTGAGCAGTAAGAACACACAGACACAAGGAGGGGAACATCACACACTGGGGCCTGTGGGGGGTGGGAGGCTAGGTGAGGGATGACTTTAGGAGATATACCTAATGTAGGTGATGGGATGATGGGTGCAGCAGACCACCATGGCACATGTATACCAGTATAACAAAACTGCACGTTCTGCACATGTAACCCAGAACCTAAAGTATATATAAAAAAGAAAATCAATAAATGTGATATATCACATTAACAGAAGCAAGGACAAAAATGATGACATCATTTCAAGATGCTGAAAAGCATTAAAGTTCAACATATCTTCATGATAAAAACCCTAAGAAACTAGGTATAGTAGAAACATACCTCAATACCATAAAGGCCATATATGACACACTTACAGCTAACACCATACTGAATGGGAAAAAATTGAAACTTTTTCTCTGAGATTTGGAACAAGAAAAGGATACCCATTTTCATCACTTGATTGAGCATAGTACTGTATGTTCTAGCCAGAGCATTTAGGTAAGAAGAGGAAATATAAGGCATTTAAATTAAAAAGGAAGAAGTCCAATAATTCCTATTTGTAGATAATATTATCATATACATAGAACACTGTAAAGACGCCACCAAAAAACTATTAGAATTAATCAGTGTATTTAGAAATTTGCAAGAGACAACATCAATGTACAAAAATTAGTACTGTGTCTACACTGGAATAGCAAACTGTCTGAAAAAGAAATCCAAACTTTGTCATGAAATCTTTGCCAGGTCCTTTATTGAGAATGACATTTCCCAGGTTTTCTTCTAGGATTTTCATAGTTTTAGGTTTCATATTTAAGTATTTAGTCCACCTTGAGTTGATTTTTGCATATGGTGTCAAGAAGGGTCCAGTTTCAATCTTCTGCATATGGCTAGCCAGTTATCCCAACATCATTTATTGAATAAGGAGTACTGTCCTCATTGCTTGTCATTGTCAGCTTTGTTGAAGATTAGATGGTTGTAGGTGTGTGACTTTATTTCTGGGCTCCATAACTTGTTCTATTGGCCCATGTGTCTGTTTTTGTACCAGTACCATGCTGTTTTGGTTACTGTATCCTTGTAGTATAGTTTGAATTGAGGTAGTGTGATGCCTCCAGCTTTGTTCTTTTTGCTTGGGATTGCTTTGGCTATTCCAACTCTGTTTTGGTTCCATAAGAATTTTAGAATACTTTGTTCTAATTCTGTAAAAAATGTAATTGGTAGTTTGATAGGATTGCATTGAATTTGTAAATTACTTTGGGTATTATGGCCATTTTAACAATACTGATACTCCTACCAATGAACACGGAATGTTCTTCCATTTGTTTATGTCATCTCTGATTTCCTTCAGCTGTGTTTTGTAATTTTTGTTTTAGAGATATTTCACCTCCCTGATTAGCTGTATTCCTATGATTTTTTGTGGCTATTGTGAATGGAATTGTATTTTGATTTGGCTTTCAGCTTGGACATTATTGGTGTATAGAAATGCTACTAATTTTTGTACACTGATTTTGTATCCTGAAACTTTATTAAATGATGAAGAGTCCAAAAGCAATTTCAACAAAAACACAAGTTGACAAGTGGAATCTAATTGCACTAAAGAGCTTCTGCACAATAAAAGAAATAATCAAGAGGCAGACAACCTAAAGAATGGGAGAAAATATTTGCAAACGATGCACCTGACAAAGGTGTACTATCCAGAATCTATAAGGAACTTAAATAAATTTACAAGTGAAAAACAAACAACCCTTTAAAACTGGGCAAAGGACGCGAATAGACACTTTTAAAAAGAAGACATTCATACAGCCAACAAATGAAAAAATGCACATCACTAATCATTCAGAGAAGTGCAAACGAAAATCACATTAAGATACCATCTCACACCAGTCAGAATGGCTATAATAAAAGTAAAAAAATAACAGATGCTGACCAGGTTGCAGAGAAAAGGGAATGCTTGCTTATACACTGCTGGTGGGAATGTAAATTAGTTCAGCCATTGTGGAAAGCAGCTTGGCAATTTCTCAAAGAAATCGGTTTTATTCTGGCACAAGACAAAGATACCCTCTCTCACCACTCCTATTCAACATAATGTTGGAAGTTCTGGCCAGGGCAATCAGGCAAGAGAAAGAAATAAAGGGTATTCAAATAAAAGGGGAGGAAGTCAAATTGTCTCTGTTTGCAGATGACATGATTGTATATTTAGAAAACCCTATGGTCTCAGCCCAAAATCTCCTTAAGCTGACAAGCAACTTCAGCAAAATCTCAGGATACAAAATCAATGTGGAAAAATTACAAACATTCCTATGCACTAACAATAGACAACCAGAGAGCCAAATAATGAGTGAACTCTCATTCCCAATGGCTACAAAGAGAATAAAATACCCAGGAATACAACTTACGTGGGATGTGAAGGACCTTTTCAAGGAGGACTACAAACCACTGCTCAAGGAAACAAGAAAGGATACAAACAAATGGAAAAACATTCCATGGTCATGGATAGGAAGAATCAATATGGTGAAAATGGCCATACTGCCCAAAGTAATTTATAGATTCAATGTTATCCCCATCAAGTTACCATTGACTTTCCTCACAGAATTAGAAAAAACTACTTTAAATTTCATATGGAACCAAAAAAACAGCCTGTATAGCCAAGACAATCCTAAGCAAAAAGAACAAATCTGGAGGCATCACACTATCTGACTTCAAACTATACCACAAGGCTACAGTAACCAAAACAGCATGGTACTGGTACCAAAAGAGCTATATAGACCAATGGAACAGAACAGAGGCCTCAGAAATAATGCCACACATCTACAACGATCTGATCTTTGACACACCTGACAAAAACAAGCCATGGGGATAGGATTCCCTATTTAATAAATGGTGTTGGGAAAACTGGCTAGCCATATGCAGAAAACTGAAACTGGATCCCTTCCTTACACCTTATACAAAAATTAACTCAAGATGGATTAAAGACTTAAATGTAAGACCTAAAACCATAAAAACCCTAGAATAAAACCTAGGCAATACCATTAAGGACATAGGCATGGGCAAAGACTTCATGACTAAAACACTAAAAGCAATGGCAACAAAAGCCAAAATTGACAAATGGGATCTAATTAAACTAAAGAGCTTCTGCACATCAAATGAAACCATCATCAGAGTGAACAGGCAACCTAGAGAATGGGAGAAAATTTTTGTAATCTATCCATCTGACAAAGGACTATTATCCAGAATCTACAAAGAACTTAAACAAATTTACAAGAAAAAGACAAACAACCCCATCAAAATGTGGGCAAAAGACATAAACAGACACTTCTCAAAAGAAGACATTTATGCAGCCAACAAACATATGAAAAAACGCTCGTGATCACTGGTCATTAGAGAAATGCAAATCAAAACCACAATGAGATACCATCTCATGCCAGTTAGAATGGCGATCATTAAAAAGTCAGGAAACAACAGATTCTGGAGAGGATGTGGAGAAATAGGAACGCTTTTATACTGTTGGAGGGAGTGTAAATTATTTCAACCATTGTGGAAGACAGTGTGGTGATTCCTCAAGGATCTAGAATCAGAAATGTCATTTGCGCCAGCAATCCCATTACTGGGTATATACTCAAAGGGTTATAAATCATTCTACCATAAAGACATATGCACACAGATGTTTATTGCGGCACTGTTCACAATAGCAAAGACTTGGAACCAACCCAAATGCCCATCAATGATAGACTGGATAAAGAAAATGGGGCACATATACACCATGGAATACTATGCAGCCACAAAAAAGATGAGTTCATGTCCTTTGCAGGGACATGGATGAAGGTGGAGACCATCATTCTCAGCAAACTAAGTCAGGAACAGCAAATCAATCACTGCATGTTCTCACTCATAAGTGGGAGTTGAACAAGGAGAACACATGGACACGGGGAGAGGAACATCAGACACTGGGACCTGTCGGGAGGTCGGGGGTTAGGGGAGGGATAGCATTAGGAGAAATACCTAATGTAGATGACGGGCTGATAGGTGCAGCAAACCACCATGGCATGTGTATACGTATGTAACAAAACTGCACGTTCTGCACATGTATCCCAGAACTTAAAATAAAATAATAATAAAAAACTGCATCTGTTGTTTTGTTTAATATTATACCAAAGCTATTTCCCATAATGACAGTGACAGGGATGTTGCTGCTAACATCCATGGTAGCAAACACATACAGAAAGCTTAATATGGACCAGATACTGCCTTTGTGCTTTCCTGGTATTGACTCATCACCCTGTATTATCAAACACAGTCAAGAGACCTCATGTTCAATCCACAAGCAGATAATGTCATATCATAAATGCTGCTGGACACTTTCACCTGTCTTGTGATCTGGAGGACCATTCCACACTGCAGCGCATTTTAGAGTGTCAGGGTCGGATTGCATGTGTCTGTACACCCCTCTCCAGCCTGGGTACCAATCTGACTCTGCCCTTGCTGGCGAGGTGACTTTGGGCAAGTTCCTTAGTCTCTTAACGTGTCTCTGTTTCCTATTCCATAACGAGAGATGATAACATTAGTAACACACACCTGACAGTGTTGCTGTGAGCACTAACTGACTGTTATTATATATACATATATATATAATTTTAAAATATAGTATATATATACACACATAAACGGAGAGAGAGAGAGAGAGAGAGAAAGAAAGTGAGCTAAAACATATGGCTTAGAGTAAGTATCCAGAAGTGTGAACTTCTATTATCAGATCTCTGAACTTCTGCTTTCTGCTCTTCCCCATTATTCCTCAACCCTGTCTGCCCCAGACCTCTCTCCCTGCCCCGCACACCTTCACCTCCCCTCCACACTCCACTCTCTTTCCCTATTGTCCATTTCCTCTGACTCTGGAACTGAATAAATTGATACCATCTTCTCATGACTTAGCTCAGAAAATATTCGTATCATTGGTCTTTTACTAGGTTACCAATGAATTTATTTTTTTGAGACAAAGTCTTGCTGCCTCACCCAGATTGGAGTGTAGTGGCATTATAACAGCTCACTGCAGCCTCTACCTTCTGTGGTCCAGTGATCCTCCTGCCTCAGCCTCCCCAGTAGCTGGGACTACATATGCATGCCACCATTTGCTAAACTAATTTTTAAAATTTTGTAGATGTGAGGTCTCGCTATGTTGTCCACGCTGGTCTCAAACTCCTGGCTTCAAGTGATTGTCCTGCTTCAGACTCCCAAAGTGCTGGGATTACAGGTGTGAGCCACTGCACCTGGCCTGTTTGCCCCCTCCCCTTTTTTCCTTTATCTAAGTCCTTGCTCCAGCCCAGAAAACTGATTTTTTCTCTTCCACTTGGAGGAAAGAGGAATCAAACTTTCAGGATTTTTGCCTACTCAAAATTCAGCTTTGGCAACATTCTAGTACTTTCTCCTTCTGCCTGAAGGAGAAAACAAAAGCCAAAGGCAGCACCTGGCTGCACCTCCCCCACCCCCTCCTCGCCACTGCATTATTCAGCATAGAACAGCGGTGCAGGGATCCAGTGGGCCAACTCTCTTGCCATTGGAGGGATTACTGTGAAATGCTGTGAGTACATGTATTTTTCACAACAGACAAAAGAGCTCGGCTGCTGCTTCCTATTATGGGCAAATCCACAGTCTCCCAGGTGTTACAGCTTCGTCATGTCTGCTTCTTCATTCTTTATTCAAAGAAGTCTTTCAACATATTTTAGTGAGTCAGGGTCTTGCTGGTGAATCACACTGTTGCTGCCAGTGTGTCAGGGATCCCCAAGACCACCCTCACTTCCAGTGATTGTCTATGAGGACCCAATGTATAGGTGTGCTCATGACTAAGACTTATTACAGCAAAAGAATACTGAGCTAAATCAGTAATGGGGAAAGGCCACTGGGCAAAGTCTGGTGGGAACCAGCAAAAGCTGCCAAGAGTCCCTTCCCAATGGAGTCACACAATTTGTCTCTCCAGCAATGAATCATGACAACATGCGTAAAATGTTATCTACCAGGGAAGCTCATTAGAAACTCAGTGCCCCAGGTTTTTACTAGGGACTTGTCACAAAGGCACTCTCTGCCTAACAGGCAACAACATTTCAGATACTCAGAAGGGAATCTGGTGTTCAGCATAAAACATACTTCTTGAACAAACAGTTTCGGATGAGTAAACCACTCTTATCAGATGGATAATGGTGGGAAACATCCCAAAATCAAGTTCACAGATGCCAGGCAAGGGCCAGTCTTGCAAGCTAGCCTTTCTAAGGATAGTAGTTTCAGACCTGCTATATTACCTCTTTTTTGCACAGAACTCAACTACAAAGCTTTAAAATACATAATCAAATCAGACAGAACCAATGGAAAAAAGTCAGCAACATATAGATGAACTGAATGGTACCATGGACTATTTGGATCTAAGTGAC
Source organism: Homo sapiens (assembly GCF_000001405.40). Classification (NCBI taxonomy): domain Eukaryota; kingdom Metazoa; phylum Chordata; class Mammalia; order Primates; family Hominidae; genus Homo; species Homo sapiens. Next base: position 55,662,122 of record NC_000023.11, on the reverse strand, counting down.
ACGTAAAGAAAACTCCTCATAACGACAGCAGACCGTGTATTCCCTCATGGGTGGTTTTGAGGGGTTCATGGCTCCAGTGGATGAAGTACCTGCCGACATGGTGGAAACAGCAAGAGAACAAGGGTGGAGCGTGAAGAGGTGATTCAACTGCTGCCATCTCATGATAAAACTTTAACCTGTGAGGAGTTGCTTCTTATGGATGAATGAAGAGAATAGTTTCTTGCGATGAAATCTACTCCCAGTGAAGATGCTGTGAACACCGTGGAAATGACAGCAAAGGATGAGTTGATTAGGTAATGGCAGGATTTGAGAGATCTGACTCCAATTTATAAAGGAGTTCTACTTTAGGTAAAATGCTATCAAGCAGCATTGTCTGTTATGGAGAAATCTTTCGTGAAAGGAAGAGTCCATCAATGGAGGAAATTTCATTGTTGTCTTATTTTAAGAAATTGCCACAGCCTTCCATGTAGTATTAGCTTGTTAAAAAGTAAATAAAAAAGAAAATAAATTGACACAGCCACCCAACTTTCAACAACCAGCACCCTAGTCAGTCAGCAGCCATGTACATCCAGGCAAGACCCTCTACCAGCCCAAAAGTTACAACTCAGGCTTCAGGCTCAGATGGTCTTTAGCATGTTTTAGCAATACAGTATTTTCCGATTAAGGTAGCAAACATATACAGAAAGCTTGATACATTGTACTTTTTTTGACATAGTACTATTGCACAGTTAACAGACTATAGGGTAGTGTAAACTTCACTTTTATTTTATTTTTTTATTATTTTAAAAATATTTTATTTCAATAGGTTTTTGGGGAACAGGTGTTATTTGGTTATATGAGTAAGATCTCTAGTGGTGATTTGTGAGATTTTGGTGCAGCCATCACCCGAGCAGTATACACTGAACCCAATTTGTAGTCCTTTATCCTTCACCCCCCATCCCACCCTTTCCCCTGAGTCCTCAAAGTCCATTGTATCATTCTTATGCCTTTGCATCCACATAGCTTAGTTCCCACTTATGAGTGAGAACATACTATAAACATCACGTTTATATGCACTAGGAAACCAAAAAATGTGTGTGACTTGTTTATTGTGGTCTGGAACAGTACAGTATCTATGTTTTATGCAAGAATAAATTTCTGAAGGGGATATAATTTAACATGTAAAAATCCATGATCTGGCACCTCAAAATTCATGTCCTTTCACATCTAAAATGCATTCACTTCATCTCAACATCCTCGAAATTCTTTCTAGCATCAACTCTAAATCTCAAATCTCATTCAAATATCATCAAAATCAGGAAACGGTGAGATTCAGAGTATGTTGTATCCTAGGACAAAATTTTTTCCATCTGTGAACTTGTGAAACCAGACAAGACATTATCTGCTTCCAAACAGCATGAAGGTGCAGGCATAGGAGAAACATTCCCATTCCAAAATGGAGAAGATGGAAGAAGAAAAGGAGTCGTGGGGAACAAGCAAGTCTGAAACCTAGCAGGGCAAATTCCATGAGATTTTTAAGGCTTCAGAATGGTCCTCTTTGGCTTGATGCTGTGTCCTCTGGGCCTAGTGTGGTGGCATCTCTGCCTTCTTGGACCTGAGTGTTAGCCCTGCTCCCTCGACCCTGGGCAGAAGCCCTGTTCCCTGAAATCGAGGAGGTGGCTCTGCCATCTGGAGCTCAGGAGGAAGTGTCTGTATTCCTGTTCCCCAGGTCGCTGCTCTCTGGGCCTACAGAGGCAGTGGCAGCTTGCCAGCCTCTGCATCTGTAGCTCTCCTCTCAAAGTCACTCTTCCTTTATTTTGTCCCATTTCTGTTTCTTTTATTCCAGGCTGGCTGTGCTTCTTTTGGTATAAAATCCTCAAAACATGTTGGCCTCTGATGTAATTCGTGGCATCCATGCCAACAGACCCTGAGTCCTCCACAGATCTTCCCTGGATAAATGCATCTCCTTCTCTGCATTCTGCTGAGATGGTTGACTGGATCCATGACTCACATACCTCATCTCTTTAGCAATCAGTTGTCCCACTACACCCTTGGCCCTATTTCCAGAGCTTGCTATCTGGATAGGCTGAGAATCTTCTAAATAATCAAGGGCTGATTCCTTTTTGCTCAGCAGTTCTGTCGTTGATTTATTTCTCCTCCCTTGCATTTTGCAACCAGCAGCAAGGAGAAACCAGGCCACAACTTCAATACTTTGCTTAGAAATGTTCTTAGCTACATATACAATTTCATCACTTACAAGTTCTAATTTGCATCTAAGAGAATGCATTCTAGCCAAATTCTCTGCTACTTTCTTACAAGGACTATGTGTCCACATGTTTCCAATAACGTGTTCCCCATTCCTGTCTGAGTGCTCACCAGAAGCACCTTCAACATTCATATTTCTAGGAATATTCTGTTCATGATGATGGATGTATTCTCTGAGATGACAGAAACTTTCTCTATAGTTATATAAACACCCACACAATGCTACAAACTCTCCTTCATTTGAATGACCTCCTATAATGATTCATTCAGAGGAGAGAAGCGATCTGCTGGGAACTCTTAGAGCTTCCCAAACCCAGTTTGCCCATGCTTGCCCTGGCATTCTCCACCGCCTTTCTGCATACAAATGCTCCTAACTGATGCCAGCCCCTCACCTCAGCTCAGGATCCCATGCCTCTCACCTTCTCAGGGGCTTTGTTCCTACAATGATCATTCCTCTCTCCTGAACCACCAACTGCTCCCTCTAAATGGGATAATTCCCCAAGCTAAGGGGGAACTCACCTTCTTCCCCCATGTCCTCCTGTAGCCACTAACACATTTATCTGCTGCCCTTCAAAGGGAAACTGCATGAATTTATACAACCCACTTCATTGGAGTCATTTTTCAAAATTACATAGAAAGGAAAAGGAACCAGAACAGCCAAAACGATTCTGAACTATAACTTTGGGGAACTCACACTACCTAATATCAAGAGTCATGCTAATTCTATAGTAATCCAGAGAATGTGGTACTGGGGAAAAATCAACAGATCAGAATGGAGTCCAGCAATAGGTTCACAGACATGATAAACTCATTTTCAAAAAAGGTGCAAAGGCAATGGAGAAATATTATCTTCTTGAGAAATTGTGTTGTTTCGCCCTGCTTCTTGGCCACTACATTCATTGTTCTTTACTCCCCTGGGTCTGTTCCCCATGTTTCTCCTTTGCAGTTCAACTGCTCTTCAGTTTAACTGTCTGTCTTCCCCACCACAGTGTGGTAGCCTCCATGGAACATACCACGTGTGGTTCCTTGGTCTTCACATTTCCAGCATCCCAGATATTTCCTGCAACATGGCAGGCACCCATGCATATATAAATGAGAAAAAAGAATGTATAAATAGAGATATTAAAGTAATTTATTTCTGTCACAAAAGGTCTTTCTGAGCCACATCCTCCACTAATGGTGACATGGGACTGTCTGTTCCCAGTGTTTCTGGATGCATGAGAATGGTAGGGCAAGAGAGAGAACAAAGCCTCTTAGTCCCTTTCCTTCTACTACAAACACCTTAGGGATGCGAGCCTGGGGAGAGAGGGAAAACCCCGGGTGGCCTTGCATGTGCCTGACTCAGTGTGCACATCCCTTGCTGCCCAAGTCCCTTGTCCATGTGCCTTGCTGTCTGCCTTCTGTCCCTGCAGAGCTGTGCAAGGAGACATCATGACTTCCTTCTGTGCTGCTGACTAGGAGTCAGCCAGTAAGTCCGAAGATCAGTCTTCCCAGAGTTGAAGTGGGAGAGACTGTGAGGAGGAGCCCGCGGCGCGGTCTATGGCCTCCGACGGGGAGGTCCTTGAGGTTCCTGTCCTTCTCCTAACAGGTGGTGACACAGCCTTGGCCTTGCTGTCGTGGGGGTCCCAGACAGGGGAGGAAGGAGGGCCATAGAGGGGAGGAGGACCTAGTGAACATGGAGTGAGTTTTGAAGGGGGAAACTATTTGTGGTATTTGAGTCCCGGAGGCATATGAAACCGCCCACAGAAGACACATTCCATACTCTTCAGCGGAAACCTGGGAGAAGGCAGAGGACTGCGCGGTGCGGGATGGGGTGGGGCGAGGAGGGGTGCCACAGCCCACCAGGCAGGCACCGACCTCACTGCGCATGTCCACTGGGCGTCTTCCCCTCGGCCCCTTTGCCCATGTGGTGAACGCCAGGGAGCTGTGAAGGCTTGAGGATCGCGTTCCTGCTGTCGGGACTTTTTCTGTCCTGCTGAGACGCAGCCGGTAGGTCCACAGGCCAGTCCTCCCAGGGCTTGAAGTGTGAGTGAGTGTGAGGAGGAGCCAGCGGCCGTCCTGAGTGTGGGGCAGGGTGGTACGTGGCCTCAGAGGCCGAAGGGTCTCAAAGTGCTCGTCCTTCTTCTCGTGAGGTGGCACCGCTGTGGGCCTTGTTGTGGTAGGGTCAGAACGAGGGAAGAAGGTGGACCGAGTAGTTGAGAGGGGTCAGATGAAGATGGGGTGAGTGCTGGGGGTGCTGGGGCAGGTATCTGAGTCCCTGAAACCCTCGACAGAGGACAGATTCCAGACTCCTCCGTGGCGACCCAGGAAGGAGCGGGGTGGGCATTAAGGAAGGGAACTGGGAACACTGCGGGTTGGTGACCATGGCCCTGAGGTCTGTAGAACGCCTGGCAGAGGTGTACAGTGAGGAGGGCCCAGTGCTGTGTGGCAACTTCTCAACTCCACTGTGGAGATTTGAATGGGTGGGGCTCTGCGTTCCAACAAAACTTGATTTTAGGGGGGAAACGGGCCTAGCAAATGGGTGGGTGACAAAAGTCGTGGTCACTGCAGTTTTAATTCTCTGGCTGTATTTTCCTAAATGCCTCCACGGAGGAGAGTTCAGTTGTGAAACCAAACCTCATCGGAAATATCCTATGTCTTTTGCCAGGAGCTATGAGACATTGCTCAGCTAGCTTGACCAACTTAAGTGACTTTGCGAGCATTTGGAAGGCACACATACTTACACTTACCCTGAGACTTAGTTCGAAAGTATTTACAAACTTTTAAAAAATGACAAGTTAACATTTGGTCATGGAAGTGGTCAAATACAGCTGTCCTTTCAAGTGCATTTACCAATTCACAGTATTCTGTTTGCAGTGTGAAATATGATTTGGAGAGTAAGATCAACATATAGGCCTAGACCAAGGAGAAGCGTACCACCTCCTGAGCTGATTGGGCCTATGCTGGTGAGTGTCTTAACCTTTGATGTTTTCTATTAGCAGAAAGTTATTTTTGTAACTTGTTGTTACAAAACTATGTTTTGTAATTGTTGTTGAACCAGTATGGATTCACCAATAAAGGTCTTCCATGCTGATAAAAATGATCATGGCATCTCATGAAGGAAAGACTAATCCAAGAGGATTAAGTTCTTCTGTTGTCTGGATGGATGATCTTGTGTTCCCCAGATTTTGCCCACGATTTCCTTCTCATGCTTATTTGCAAAAGATTACACACATTCATCCCAACATAGATTAAAACAGCTTCCAGAGCCCTTGAGGGCAACTGTCTTAGAGTAACCTCTCTGTGGGAAGAGTAACTTTATGAAGTATAAGTATGTGGAAGAGTGCTGGAGAAATGTCTTTAGACTTATGATCAGAAATATCTATGTATTCTGTATATTTATATTATTGAAATGTATTGATAACAAATTATCTGCACACACACACCCCTGGTTCCAGGAGCCCAGTGATGAGGAACCTCAGCAAGAGGAACCACCAACTGAAAGTCGGGATCCTACACCTGGTGAGGAGAGAGAAGATCAGGGGTGCAGCTGAGATTCAAGGTGCTGGGAAGAGAAAGAAAGAATATCTATGGTTGGGGGGTGGGCAGGAGAGGCCTATATGTGCATCATGCATTATGCCATAAACAGTAACAGGAGGAAAGAAAACATTAGGAAAGGATCTCAAACACTTGCTCAAAGTTGGCTGGAAAAGTGAAGAGTATAGTTTGCAGCTTCATGCCGTCCCTGGATACGATGAATCTTCTCTTTTTCTTCGACGTTTATTTTGCATGCTTGAAAATACAGTCCTTGCTAAATCAGATGAAACTCTTTAATGTGGTGTACAAAATTTCACTAGTTTTATCTTCTTAGAATGTTGTCTGATCTTCTCAGCTGTGGTGTCCACAGTATTGTATGCACCCTTTAATAGCATGTAGAAAGCCAAGTCACCCTACCTTATAACATCCTGAATAAAGCCCATTTGCATAGGGATATTAGCCCCATTTTATAAGTAAGAAAACTGAGGCTCTGAAATGGAGGCTTACCAAGAACACTTGACTCATGGAGAAGGAATTCATATTTCATTCCAAGGTTTGTGTTCTTCCTACCAACTGTGTTAGAAAATGTGAATTATTTTGCTTAAAATGTTCATACTCGAATGTGTCTCTACTGTAAGGTACTTCAGTGAAGCAGGATAGTAACTCCAGAAAAGAGCTCAATGAATGACAGCCACTGTTTCCTTTGCTCTGTATTTTTGACAGTATGTTTGGTAAAAGTTGGATAATTTAGGACATTGGCATACAGGTAGCTATATTAGTATGATTTTAAGGGACTTTTTAACGGTTTAAATACTTTTATAATTAGAAAACTCAAAGTATGATAAGATTATCATGAAACAGAAATTATTTCCTCAACAGATAGCATTTTGAAGTTAAACATTGACAGAATTTGGGTCATGGATTATTTTAGCAATTCACTGTTAAGGGGTTTCCAGAATATGACTGTCAACAATACCCATTAATTTTTTTTCACTCAAGTTCCTGTACTCTCATGGAAGACAGTGATTTTGCTGTTGTATTTGGTATTTTTTTCTGAATGAGATTCATTTATGGAAAGTTACATATAGGGCCTTTGGACCTAAGTTTGTTTAATTTTAACCAAAAAGTTTTCAAGTTACCTCAACAGGTGATGAGTGTCAGGACTGTAAGATTTGTCATAGGCTTACCAATACACTCATCTAATCTTTCAGAAAATTACATTTAAGTTATGATTAAAATGCTATCCATTGAGCAGTCTTTAGATTTCCTAGACAGCTGATACTCACTGTTTATAATACACAATGGTAAAGTATAGGAAATGTAAGTGTGGTCTGATTTTTCCTCAGATTGTCATTTAAGATAAGATTTTATAATACAGGAAAACAAAGGTGGGACATCTTTGCATCACATTTATTACCACAGTAGCCTACAGCCTTTTATTTCATAACGCTGAGGAAAAGAATATTATCATTTCCTTATTTATCTTTCTTGTTTGCCTGCTTCAGTCGATAACCTTTGTATTTTTAAGTACCTGACCTGGAAACTGATCTCCAGGAGCTGTCTCAGTCAAAGACTGGGGATGAATGCAGAGATGGTCCCGATGACAAGGGGAAGATTCTGCCAAAATCAGAGCAATTTAAAATGCCAGAAGGAGGTATGCTATCCATTTAGATGCAAAATTATATGCTTTCTGTTTTCCACAATATTATACTTTTGATAGTAAGAGAGAACATTACTACCCCTTTAAAATCAGAGTTCAAATGCAGACTTTCTTTGAAAGGTTGTTCAGACTCCAGTTGCCTGACCGCAAGACTTAAACACTGTCAGATACAGACACAAATTGGGTCAAAGCCATATTGAATCATAAATATGAGAGCATATTCTTACTTCTGATTATACCCAACAACTAACAATTTTCAGATTATTTTCTCATTTCTGCTTTTAACAAATACATAATGCATTTCTAATACCAGTTTGTGTGAAATATCCTGAGCACCCTAAGCAGATTCTAGTACCAGCTCTGACATTATTCGTGAGATTCTGGATGAATTCCATAAATTCTACACCCATCTTTTGCTGTTATTGAAAATAGTAAATGCAAATCAGATATTTAAAATCTGTTTCAAAGTTGATTTCTGTATCCTCATGTTCTGTTGGATAGAATACAAAGATATGACTTGTTTTTCATAACAATCAGTTTCACTCCAGTTATAATATCTGAGTTGAAATTTCATGGTTCCTAAGAAAATGAGTGGGCAGGCCGGGCGCAGTGGCTCACGCCTGTAATCCCAGCACTTTGGGAGACTGAGGAGGGCAGATCAGAAGGTCAAGAGATCGAGACCATCCTGGCCAACATGGTGAAACCCCGTCTCTACTAAAAATACAAAAATTAGCTGGGCGTGGTGGCGCATGCCTGTAGTCCCAGCTACTAGGGAGGCTGAGGCAGGAGTATCGCTTGAACCTGGGAGGCAGAGGTTGCAGTGAGCCGAAATCGCACTATTGCACTACAGTCTGGCGACAGAGCAAGACTCTGTCAAAAAAAAAAAAAAAAAAAAAAGGAAAGAAAGAGAAAACGAGTGGGCAACTTGCTTGATGAAAGTATCTTTTCCACACATTTTTCAACTTGGCGACTGTTAATCAGAAGAGCTTCTGAATTTATAGGAAGTATTCCATGTTTATGGAAGAAATTACCTAAATGATTTTACTCTACACTGCTGAACCATTCCATTAGACTATTTACATTGAAAGATAGTTTTCAGTTATTTCCAGGAGCCCGTTGAACAAGCCTCAATTTCATTCTTAGGAAGCTTATAGTCTTAAACGATTATCTTGTTAAAATAGTTAGCAAATTACATGAGAAAGGAAAATAATAAAAAATGAAAATAATAAAGAGCAATAGAATAAATCTAAGGGAAAAGAGGTACTTACTAAAAGACAGCTATGAATCATTAGTAAAAGGAAATGTAATCCAAAAGTAATAAATTTAAAAGATTGTTCTTTTGAAAAATACCTGTGAATAGCATAATAGTTTACATACTCTTGAAGAAAATGGAAAAAGCTCAACATGGAATATGAACAAGACCCTAACAGATACTGAATATATGGTATAATCAAAAGTGAATACATTCTTGAACTCTAATATTTTCAAAATATGAATGAAATGATTGATATGCTAGGGACACATACATTAGTTAATCTATTCCAGTAATACCTGAATATCTAAACATCACAAAAACTGTGGAAGAACTTCTGAAACTTACCACTTATCCCTCAAAAACACTTAACTTTTAGAAACAAATATTTGTCTTTTCCAGATATTTTACTCTCCTCTTCTATTTTCCTCTCCCTCCATTTCTTTTTTTTTCTTTTGCCCCACTGTTCATGATATATACCTCTTTCCCATTTTGATGTTAAAAATAATAGTGATAGATGAAACCGAATCTGACCATGTAAGATTTTATTTTACCAACGGGAATACTTTCAAGTGTAAAAAGAGAGACTCTTCATATTGATATCAGGATGATAGGTGAAAATCTTGGACAAATGGTTACCATACCTGAAAGAACACAGAAGGTAAACTAGCCCCAAGCAACATTTTTGCACTTGTGTGCAACAGAGAAAAAACAAATGCAGTACTGGGCTTTCCATTCACTGCACTTATGCAATTCGTAATGTGACATTAACTGTTTCCCAGGAGCTTGTTGAACATCCAGGCTATTATTTCAAGCCAAAACATTACATTACATTATACATTGCTTGTAAATTCCTTTTATTTCTTAGGTTTGTTGTGTGTTGGTTATATTTTTTATTAAAACTATACACAGTGTTTGCTTTTCACTTTATAATGCTGCAGACCTTGCTGGACTGAACAAAGGAGGATGAACACGGGCATAAAGACAAAGACAAAAGAGTATGTTTGGAAGAAGGGGTCAGGGGCTCCTTGCTTTTAGTGAACAAGGGCCCTGAGCTTCTAAACCCTTCGTATTTATTGAGTAAAGGAGATAGGGAGAAGTGGGTGGTTGTCAGTCAGCTGCTTGACTTAGTGCAGGCCTCCATGTCTGCATTCTTTGAACAGTAGGCTCCAGATGTTCCAGTAGATAACTTCAAGGAGCACGGCACCAGGGAGTGACTTCCCTCAGCATACCTTCTGGTGGCAGGTGCAGTTTGCTGTTTGATCATATAGCCTCCAGTGGAATGTTGAGTTGGTCACTACTCTCAGACTTTTGGCTCCCAACATTATAAGGTGGCTGTCTTTCCTCCAGTGATGCCTCTAATGATGCTGTCACTCTGAAAACTACCTGCTCCTTTTTCTGTACTGACATTAACCTCTGTACAAAAAAAGTTAAAAGTTGCCATTCTATTAATTTGCCTACATAAATTTTTTAAGAGATGGGTTCTCGCTGTGTTCCCCAGGCTCATCTTGAACTCGTGGGCTCAAGTGATCCTCCCTCCTTGGCCTCCAAACATCCTGGGATAACAGGTGGGAGCCACTGTGCTGGGCCTGCCTACATGATTTTGATCTGTGGTATGTGGTTGTGAATGGGTTGAATAACCAAAGGTGTGTATATTTATGACAATAGCTCCATTTATTGAGTTCTTTAAGAAAAACAGGAATAATAATAAGTCACATTTATATAGTATGTGTTATCCATTAGCCACTTCTCTGAGCTATGTTTCATTGTTTCTGACCTCATTTAATCCTTTAAAAAGGTGAGTCAGAGTTTTCATAAAATTTACAATAAATAACTCTAGTAAGAAGCAGATATGGGGATTCAAGTTCTAAGTTCACAGTCTGCGCTTTCTCGAAGCAAATGCTTCTGACAGCATTGAATGTAGAACTGGTGTTGTATATGTTGACTTTAGTGGTAATCTCATTTTTTATATAAATCTGTGGTAATATATAAGATGTATATTTTTTCATTGTTAAAGGTGAAAGGCTTTGTTCTTTTATTGAAGGAGGGGTTTTCCAAAATATGGCACATAGAGCTAACAAGCATTCCGAGATGAAACCATTGGTACAAAAACATTTTAAAAAGTAATGATAACATACCTATTTTACTGTGCTACAGAACAATATAACTTGAATACTAAAGTCATTTGGAATAGTTTGTGGGAGCATGGAGAGAAGAACTGATGCCTTATTCCCTATGGAAAATGCCACAACGTCTCCTGCAAACACATCTGACCTTTCTTTAAAAGTTATTAAGAGCCAGGGAAGGAGAAGCACCAAACCTCATTTTTTTTTTTAGAATAGTACACACATTTATTTAATATAAGTTTTACATCGGGAAAGGAAAACACAAAGAAGCAGGAAAACTTGTGTATATTTATTCTAGATTTGATGGAGAAGTGCATAGTGATGGAGAAGTATGATTGGATAAAAACGCATGATCTAATGATAGTTAACTGGGGAGAACTCAGCTATGCCTGTTTGTTTAGACTGCTGTCAGTGACCTTGTGTTTTTGGAGATATACAGATGTTCATTTCCTCTGGGTATAGAGACAGCACCTGTCAAATGAGGATTTTATGACCTGCTTCAGGGAAGAAGAGTTGGGGGAAGGTGAGAGCTACCTTCCTGTTTCTGCTGTTTTCTAAATACCCCCATATTCTGGGGTAGTGTATCCTGAACCCCATCACTCAAAACTTAGCACTGATTTTATATTTCTGTATGATATATTCCAAGTTTTCAACACGACATACAAAATTTCCCCTTTTCCACCCTCCTATGATCTTTCTAGTTTCAATCACCACCACTTTCCACCTTTCATTTTGCATTCTATTGTTAAGGACTGCTCATACTTCTCATCCACATACAATGTTGTTTTATTCCTCCCTGTCTGTATATATATATATATATTGTCTTCTCTGCTCGGAATGTGCTTACCCCTCTTTCTTTACTTGAGTAACTCCCATTTATGCTCCCTTATTCTGCTCAGGTGTTACCTTCTCTATGAAGCCTTCTTTAATGTAGTTAGGCTGCTGAGCTTCCTCTTCTGTATTTCTAAAAGAAATTTTGCTTCCTCTTTAAGTAACTTTTCGTTTTTTTTTTTTAAATTTTACTTTAAGTTCCAGGATACATGTGCAGAATGTGCAGATTTGTCACACAGGTATACATGTGCCATGTGTTTTGCTGCACCTATCAACCCGTCATCTAGGTTTTAAGCCCTGCACGCATTAGATATTTGTCCTAATGCTCTCGCTCCCCTTGCCCCTGACCCCCCAACAGGCCCCAGTGTGTGTTGTTCCCCTCCCTGTGTCCATGTGTTCTCATTGTTCAACTCCCACTTATGAGTGAGAACATGCGGTGTTTTGTTCTCTGTTCCTGTATTAGTTTGCTGAGGATGATGACTTCCAGCTTCATCCATGTCCCTGCAAAGGACTTGATCTCATTCTTTTTTATGGCTGCATAGTATTACATGCAAACCTTATTTTTCATCTACATAAAACTCCATCAGTCTGACAGTCACCACATCTCATTCAGAAGCCCCTGAAGCTTCCTAGATCCAGCCTGATACCCCTCTTACTATACGTAATACAGGAATTTCAACTCTGAGCTCCATTTGTATCTTCATATCCACAAAGAGAATTCTGCAACAAAGGACCCTACTCAGAATCCATACTGCTTAAGGAGGGGAAGGAAATTATAATAAGCAATTATTTCTCCCTATTACAGAGATTGTAAAATTTTTTTTATCCAAAAGGACTGAAAAGCTAGGATTCAAATAAAAAGTGAGATTAAATGTAGGGGATCCCATTTGCCACAAAGTTTGTGAGAAGTTCCTAGGCTGCAGAGCTGGATGAAAGAATTAGGGCCTAGGTAGTAGACAGGGGAAAGTAACCAGGGCAACTTGCTGATGAGAGATGACTTGGGTCCTAGCAATATTGTCTCTTTAGAGGCTATGGCATGAAATAGCCATGGGTTTCTATCCTGCCTCTCACGCACTGGCCTTGAGAGGGTGGGCAAGATACTTATATCCTGTGGGACAGTTTCCCCATTTCTAAAGTAGAAATTAGAATATTTACACTAAATACTTGCTATGAAGAATAAATGAAATAATATAGGAAGTAAGCATTACATTGCAGACAAATTTGGTTTACTAGTTACATTTCTGCTTTTTGTTCAAAATCTATTTTTTCATTCAATTTACATTTACAACTACATCTATAATAAAGTAATAACCGTTTTTGGAATGCAAGTAAAAATACCAAGCTACCTTTTAAAATGCATTTGGCTTCCAAAACTTATTTGATTTAAATAAATATGTTAATTAATTGTATCAGATGTAAAATGAATTCTAAAGTCTGTTTGTGAATACCCAACTGAAAAGGCCAAACCTAAGTCAATGGTATGTGCTGAAAACTGCTTCTTGCTCCGTGTGATGCCAGGAGGAATTAGTCAATGTTCTGGCCAGGCAACACTACACACAATTCAGTACAATAGTGTGTCAATTGCTCAAGCATTTCCTAAACAGCCCTGTTGTGGCTAACATGGCTACAAGGTTCACCAGTGCTGTTGTTAGTTTGCCTTGTCGCATATCCATAGATTGGCCGGTAAGAAGAAAATGAGTCCAAATTGATCCAAGTGGTTGATTGCTTGCATACACAGCAAAAGTAAGATCGGCATTGTGTCAGCACTGTGTCCTAGTCTCACAGTATGACACTGAATCGGAGGTACTCAGTGACAGCACAGATGGTGGGTCTCTCTGCCTGTGAGGAGACCACAGTCATACCCTGTGGTCAAGGTTGAAATCACACTGAATACTAAACCCAAGATCACACCTAACACAGCTGCAACTATGGGACAGCAGGGGCAACCCAGCTCCTGATCATCCCAGGCACAACACCTGGGGATGTCATCCACGCTTTTGAAGTGGAGGAACTTGTGTCAATGACTACCCTGAACTGACTGCCTTCTGACAGTTCCCCTAAACCAAAGATGCAAATGAATTGTTTGGACTGGATAAGAAACCCCAGAGGGAAAGGTCACGCAGTGGGAGGCCACATTGGGAGCCTTGGCCAGCTCCTGCCTAACTAATGTACATCCTGCTGGGGGTACCCTAACAAGGGTAAACTCTTAGAGTCCAGGGGTATCAATTGTGCCCTCTGGGATTGTACTTGCATGTGCGCCCTGACTATCCTGACCCTGCCTGAACCCTGGAAGGCATTTACATCAGCCTCAGCTTCCTGGTCAGAATTGTACCGGGCCTGAAATAGAGGCTTGGGCTGGACAAAAAAGGATAATATAGAATCTTAGTTAGGAAGTCACCTGCCTTTGTCAGATAGACCTTCACAATTAATAGGATTTGTATAAGATGGCTATGATGGGAAATCTGGTTTGTCAACTTGGCTCAGTCACGATCGAGACAAAATTGTTCACTTTGTCCAGGGTAGGTGTCTCTCTGAGGGTGTTTTTCAGCTGAGACTACAGTTAAATAAACAGACACTGGGTAAACTTAATTGCCCTCTACAATATGGGTGGGCCTCATCCAGTCACTTGAAGGCTTTCAGAAAAGAAGACCGAAGTTCTCCTCAAGATGAAGAAATTCTGCCTCTACACTGCCCTTAAATTTGAGTGATCGCATCACCTCTGCCATGGGACTCCAGCCTGACATCCTGCTCTGCAAGGTTTGTACTTTCCAGCCCCCATATTTGCATGATCCACTTCCTCAAAATCAAGTTCTCTCTCTCTCTTTCTCTGCATGCACGCGCGTGCGCGCGCACACACACACACACACACACACACACACACAGGGAGCCTTAACTAATAGGCTGCTTACATCTGGGACCCTTAAAGGGCATAACTGAGATCAGTACTGCAGGTTGGTCTCACTCTGCTGCATGGCTCCTAAGACAGAGGCCTGTGGCATTCTCCTCCCACCCTGTACAGACTGACATCCATGTGGCTCATCACTGTGACTCAGGGTTTGGTCTTCCAACCATGTAGAGATCACTACAATTCCACAAGTGTTCCCTGACTCCCTTATGCCTGTGAGGTCAACTATCTCATCCTGAAGACACAGGGATCTACTGAGTATGTTTCCAGCCTTCCAGAAGAGACCAGAGAGCCTGGTGAGGGAGATACACCTGCAAAGAGAACTTCAGTGCAGTAACAGCAACAGGCATAGCTGGTGTGTTCACTAAACTCATGAGAGATCACACTACCAACATCTCCCGCTTGATTTTCCCCATCAACTAACAGCTCATCCTGGAAACAATCCCTTTAGTAGGTAAGTTGGATTCCCCTCATTGTTTACCCCAGGCATGCAAAGCTACAAAACAAATTGATACTGGTATGTTGTGTCAGAGTGCAATCTAAGAATGGAATGCTCTGCAGTGATGTGATTGCCAAAGCAGTCAATAAGTCTTTGTGAGTTCCCAGATGAAGCAACATTTACAAGCTTTTCTCAGTTTACAGGGAGTGACATATATGGAAAATCCAGTTTATTTAAGACTCTGGAAAAAGTCATTTGCCTCCCTGTAACACTCAGTCCCCAAATGACAGTAGCCTCTGCCAATCATTCCAACAACCAAAGCTGCCCTCAAAAATTTCCTAAATGTCCCAAAATAGGCAATGATATTCTAGTTATAAATTACATATTTAGGACTGAAAGGAAGTACCCTCAATCTTCTTATTTACATCAAAAGAATAGGAATGTTGTGGTCAATACAGAGTAAATAGCTCTCTACCATGGAAAAGAACACAATGTTCCCCAGGAGGGGTTGCAGGCACCTTCCTCCTCTGTCTTACTTTCTGTGATAAGAAAGTTTTTCAGGACCAAGAGAGGTGGCTCAGCCCTCTAATCCCAGCACATTGGGAGGTCGAGGTGCGAGGACTGCTTGAGCCCAGGAGTTCGCAATCAGCCTGCAAAACATAGGGAGATCCCATCTACTTGGGAGGCCGAGATGGGAGGCTGTCGTGATCTATGATTTCTCCACTGCACTCCAAGCTGAGCGACAATGAGACCTTGTCTCAAATAAGACAAAAAGAAAAGGAAGTATTTCAGGGCCAGCTGGGGTGTGTGGTGGAGCTTCATTTCACAGGTCAACCACTGCCATGGGACATTGATGCTCAGGATGGTTCTGTAGTAGTCATGGCTCTGGGATCCTGGGACTGGTGTCCTTCCCCTCGGCGAGGACAGCCCTCTCCAGGCTGGGACACAGGAGGAAGGGGCCAGGCTAGGTCGTCAGGCTGCTAAGGACAGCTATCTGCTGTGGGTTCGCAGATGAGACCAGGAGAAGGACAGCTGAAGGGAGGAGAGGGGAGACGAACTCCTCAGGTGAAGGGCTGGAGTCTGTTAGTGAAGGGAAGACATTGGCCTTAAGTCCTGACATTGCTCCAGGTTCCCATGGAAGGACATGAAGAATGAAACCAAGGCTGGTGGGAGGGGGACAATAGCTTTCATCACCTCCCATCCAATGTGTTCAATGGTCCTTGAGAATAGCCTATGCCCTTTTGTGATCTAAAAGGTCATTTCCTGACACCCCTCCATCCACTACCCATGAGGAGAAGGGATTTGAGATAAACTGAGTCCTTCAGGGAGAAAGGCCAGTAGGAGTTGCAAGGTCTTCTCATAAGATGCACTGCCTTACCGTTATGGTGACTCACACTGTGTTCATTTATCCTGAGTTCCTGTGTGCTCTGAGGTCGCTCTTCTAAACCTCCTGTCTGCCCTGGGAAGAGTGGGTAGCAAGAGTGCAGACAGTCTTGCTACCTAAGGGATTTAATAAGGTTTCTGAAAGTTCCCTAGGCTGGGTGGTAAATTCCCAGATCCTAGGGCACCATTATGGCCACACTACATGAGATTCATTGGGTGTGAATCCTGGAGCCTGCATTTTTAAAAGATTCTGGGTTCCAACTTTCATAGAAACTTGTTTGAGAACTACTAGAGGAGGGGAATAGTCTCCTTTCCCAGCCACACAGCTTCTTTCTCCTTTGTGAAGGTACAGAAGGGACAGGTTTGGAGTGTTCTCTGATGTATAAACTCAGGATCTTCAGGTGAGGAGACCCACACTCACATGCTGCCTGTTACTCTAATGATGCTCTCAGGACACCATCTCCAAATGATACCCAGACTAGTCCTTTCAAGCCTCCATCTCTAAATGATTTCTGAAGAAATCAAATTTCCATTCACTGTACAGTTCCTTGCTGTAAAATTGTAAATATTTTGCAGTTGCCTTTGGGTCTTGTCCTTGATTGCATAAATATGTAAGCATAGTAGATGTTTTCATGATGCCTCTGACCCACGCGGCTCCAGCACTCACTGCTGGGTGACACTGAGAAAACTACTTAACATCTCTTGCCTCCTTTCTCCATTAGTTCTTTGGAAATAGTACTAGTAAAGTCATCTACTTCTTGCAGGCAGTTTAGAGCACTGACTATGTGAAGACAAGTACAGTCGTCAGAACAGTTCCTGGCATATAGTAAGTTTCCAATCAATTCTAGCTGTTATTTTTTTGCTGTTAATATTGTTGCTGTTCCCACATTTTCCTGGAGCGTGTTCCAGAGATACAACGTCAAGACTACCTTTGACCCCTTGGCTGATCTTTGGATTATCTCTTCAGCTCTTCAGGGACTCAAGGAACCTAAATGCTATGGTGGGGTTTAGTCATCATGATCTTGTGGGAAAAATCTGCATGGAAATTTCTCTAGGCAATTAGACCTCTAGTGACCTCTTCATTTGATTTGTATAATGCTTTGAGAAGTAAGTAGTCACTGGGTAATGATAGGACATAGGTATATAAATTTAAAAACAGTATGAATTTTTTATTTCATAGTTTGTGCTTTTTGTATCCTATCTATCTTTGTCTAACATGATGCCACAGATCCTCATAAATTTTCTTCTAGAAGTGTTGTAACATTAGCTTTTACATTTAGTTCTATGATGCATTTTTTAAAAAAAAAATTAGAGATAGGGTCTCCTTGTGTTGACCAGGCTGGTCTTGACCTCCTGGCCTCAAGCAATCCTCTTATCTCAGCCTCCCAAAGTGCTGGGATTACAGGTGTGAGCCACCGCGCCTGACCGCACCTGGCCAATTTAAGACTTTTCTTCCTTTCTGATGTGAGTATTGAATGGTATACATCTCCCCCCTATGCTTTAGTTTCATCTTGCAAAGTTTGATATGTTTCGTTTTCATTTTAAAATTTTCCCTACAATTTCTTCTTTTATCCCTGCATTACTTAAAAGTGTTGTTTAATTTCCAATATTTCATGGATTCCAGGTATCTACAACTAGTTTCTATTTCAATCCTTTTGTGGTCACAAAACATGTTTTATAAGATTTCACTCCTGTTGAATTTGCTGAAATTTGTTTTTTGGCCCATAATATGGTTTATCTTGGTGAACATTCCATGAGCACTTGAGAAGAACGTGCATTCTGCTATTGTTCTATGAATATCAATTAGTCCAAGTTGTTGATAATGTTGTTTAAGCCTTTTGCATTTATATATCCTGGGGTTTTTTTTTGGTACACGTTTCCTACCAATTGCTGGGAGGAATGTTGAAGTCTTCTACTATAAATGGATATGTGTCTATTTCTTCTTTCTGATGTATTGGTTTTTTCCCTCATGTATTTCAAAGGTGCATACATACTCATGGTGTTTCTGTCTTCTGAATCAATGCACCTCTCTATGATTATTATGTAATGTCCCACTTTGTCTCTTGTAATAATCTCCACTATAAAATGTGCTTTGTGAGTTATTAATTTAATACCTCCAGTTTTTATTTGATTCATATTTGTGGGGTTATATCTTCTTCTATCCTTTACTTATAACTTATTTATTTTTAAAGTGGGGTTTTTTCAAGATGCAGATTACTGATAAATATATTGTAAAAATCAAGATCTTCTTGCAGCTGTGCCACAACAATTATAATACCAAAAAATTAGATGCAGAAGTTAATATAGAACTGAAGTGTTATGCAGAAATCCACAGAATAATTTGTTAGGTTCTGCAAAAGAACCTCAATCAAACTCTTTGACAGCCTTTATAGAAAGATAACTTGAAACTAAAGCGATATATTTGTATAAAAATATCATTTTATCCCCCCATTTTCTGCAGTAGGGTTTTGGATAAAATTTCATTTTACAAAAGTGTTCTCTGGCTAAAAGTTCTTTGAAAAATGACAATATTGGTTGGTCTCTCAGAGCTCTCTTAGCTTTGACATTTTGGTGTTCAAATATCCTTCTGTAGATTGAGTGGGAAACGTAAAAAGGAGAACAATATCATGGGAGAGGGGAATATGTTGGTCTTCTGTATTTTCCTTTTCCTTTTTTTCCTAAACTAACCAGTCTCTGTTGGTCCTCAGCTGGGCTGTTAATCCAGGGAAGAGGTACCCTTCAGGACAATACATGGTTTCAATGGAACCCAAGGCAGGATTGAATCGCTCAGAAAAACCAGCCAGAATAACTTTTGAAAGGCTGTTTGTGATCCTCTGATTTATGTTACTTCTCACTCAAGTTGCTCAAAGTGCCTTCTTATCAGGTAGACACAGACACATTTGTTCAGCCCTGTTTTTCTTTTCTGTTTTCTTCTCCTTCTCTCCTCCCTCCCTCCTTCCTTCCCTCCTTTCTTTCCTTCCTTCCTTCCTTAATAAAAAGAAATGAACTGATTTTTTTCTCAATAGAAAGATCAGAATATTTCACAATTTTTTGTGATTTTTTTTGAAACTTTTATTTTGCGTTGAGAGGTGCATGTGCAGGTTTGTTACCTAGGTAAACTTGTGTCACAGGGGTTTGCTGTACAGATTATTTCATCACTCAGGTATTAAGCCCAGTACTCATTAAATATTTTTCTGATCTTCTTCTTCCGCCCACCCTCTACCCTCCAATAGGCCCCAGTGTGTGTTTTTCCCCTCTATGTGTCTGTGTGTTCTCATCATTTAGTTCCCACTTATAAGTGAGACTATGTGGTATTTAGTTTTCATTTCTTGCATTAGTTTGCTAACAATAATGCCCTCCAGCTCCATTCATGTTCCTGCAAAGGATATGATCTCGCTTTTTTAAATGGCTGCATAGTATTCCATGGTGTATATGTACCACATTTTCTTTATCCAGTCTACTACTGATGGGCATTTAGGTTAATCCCATGTCTTTGTTATTGTGAATAGTACTGCAATGACCATACATGTGCATATGTCTTTATAATAGAAAGATTTTTATTCCTTTGGGTAGAGTCCCAGCAATGGGATTGCTGCATCAAAATGGTATTTCTATTCTTAGGTCTTTGAGTAATCACCACACTCCTTTCCACAACGGTTGAACTAATTTATACTCCAACCCGCAGGGTGCCAAGTGTTGCTTTTTCTACACAAACTCACCAGCATCTGTTATTTTCGTTCTTGCTTTTTTATCCAGTCTTATAAACTCAGACAATTTTTTCTGAGACAGGATCTCACTCTGCCTGTGGATGTGAATTCCACTTGTCTCTGAGACTTCCAGGGATTCCAGCTCTCTCAATTGCATATGTTTGGCCTTTATGAATCTGTTACATTTTCAGTTGTTTCCTTCTTACCCACTTTTATGATTGCCACTTCTTCCACACATTTTCTGCCAGAGGTGACACAGTTTGTGTGCCTCATCTCTCCTTAGAGGGACTAGTCACCCTTTTGTATCAGTTCCCATGGCTGCCTTGTTACCTTGATGGTCTTTTTTAGATCATGATCTAAAAAATCCCCTGTATTCTTTCAGATTATTAGGCTTTTTCTCATTTTCAGGGCTAGAGTGACTTTCTCTTGAGGCTTTCAAAATCTTACTTGGGGTATAACTCTCCTTTGTTAATATTTTGACTACTGGTACAAAAATACAGTATTCAAATATTTGAATTAAAGATAATCCAGTGGCTAGCTGTCTGTGGCTTGAAAGCTAATTCCAGCCTGTGGCTTATTTTTGCATAGCTTTTGAGATAAGCATTTTTTTCTTTTTACATTTTAAAGTATTATTTCTAAAAAACACAACAATATGACACAGAAACTACATGGCCTACAAAGACTGAAATATTTATTATTGGGTCTGATAAAGAAAAATTTGCTGCAACTTCATATTAATTTAATATGTATTATTCTGCTTTGCATTATTGTATACATTTTTTCATCCATTATTTAATTTATTTACTCACAGATTGAAAAGTATGGATTACTTTCTTATCTTACTATATCCCCTCAAGAAATCATCCAGCTTTATGATACCATAGTTTCAGTCGGGGGAACTTGGCCCAAGGCTCATGTGAATACACAAACGTGTACCGTGAGGTAGGAGACCAGCAGGACTTGTTTTCTGGTCATAACCCTACTGACTAAAACAGGATCTGATCCAAACAGGATCTGATAGTGAAACTGGCAGAAACCAGCAGGTGGCTGTGAGGGTGATTTCTGGCTGCCCTCATTGCTTATTAGCATGGGACATTCCCACTAGCGCTATGATAGTTTATAAATGCCATGGCAATGAACCAGAAGTTCACCATAATAAAGTAAATAGCATATTGCTATTTATTTTATCAAAGATTTGTGACTGTATATTCTCTCTAAAGGAATTTAATATTAATTTTCTTGATGTAAAATATTTCTTTTCTGATTAAAAAGTAGTAGATGCTTTTTATAGAAAATTATAAAATGTGGACTAGCAGAATAAAAACTAACAGCCACGATTTCACAATGTGAGGTAAATAATTTGTTGCACATCTATCCAGTCCCTTTTATAACTCACCCATATCTTAAATTGTATACATATATCAAATTATCACACTGTTCCCCATGAATATGTGTAATTATTAGTTGTTAAGTAAACATTTTTAAAGAAGAAAAAATAATGAAAGGCATCAACAATTTTGAAACAATATATCAACAGAAAAATTATTCTTTATATAACGTGACAGAGTTAATATTCTTGGTACACACAAAAACTTTTGAGATGAAAAAATTTAAAACAGTATGGATATAACATGATAAATAAATATAAGAATAAAATGAAAAATTAGCACCAAAACAGTTCAAACTATAAAGATATAGAAACACTTATGCACTTTCTAGTAATTTCAGAATGAAAAATAAAGCAACATTTGAATTGAAACTTTCTCCATCAAGTTAGAAAACACTTATTTTTGAATAAACAAGGAATACCCATGGATATTCTTAATAATGCTGCAGTTAAATGGGCACTTTTATAAATCTCCCATTGCTGAGATTTTTGTTTATGATTTTCTGTGTTTTGTAATTTTTCAACAAGCAACATTAAAAACATGATATAAATGAATGTTTTTCACTATGTTTACCAAGAATTTGTATCAATGTAAATACATATTTATGTTATAATGCATACATTTATATAAACATGGGTCTAATCAAGAAGAATATAACATTCTTCCAGATATTTTCTAACTTACGTATGCTCTCTTTTTATTGAACTCTCAATCTATTTCCTAACTACTCATCTGAAAGACTATTCTTTGTTTCTACACATAATATTAGGAGTTTTTACAATTATCATTAATTATGGCAGATTATTACTCTATCAATGATTAATATACATTTGTACCTTCACTGACTAGCAGGATATCAATATATTAATCATAAAAATAGATTTTTATTCAAAGTTACATCTAAAAATATTACCTATTATTGAAGGAGAAAGTTCACATGATAACCATGACTCCAAATGTTATGGCTTGTTTATAGTACTGATGATGTGTTATTGGTTAGATATGATGGTCACATAAGAATTAGCAGGATCACAAAGTAGTATAGGGATGCCAGAAATCTTGTTGGCATAGAATTTGGCTACTTGGTCTTCCTAAACATCCTAAGCTGAAACTGAAGCTGAATAGAAGATTTAGGCTAAGCATTTGTGAAAAAGCAAACTTTGAATGGCTGCATGCAATAAAAAATATGCTTGGAATGATTAAAGGGATACCTGATTTTAATGAGAAAGAAAATCCTGCATTCTCTTGTAGTTTTGAAGTAGAAGACACACAGGATTTAATTCCAGGTCCTGACAGGACTTAAATCATGGTCCCCACAGGAGAGGGTGAAGGAACCCACATGAACCCACAGATAGAGATGATCACAATCTTTAGCTGCCCTCATTGCTCACTAGCACATGATACTCCCACCAGCGCCATGACAGTTTACAACTGCCATGGCAATGAACCAGAAATTCACCCTCCTCTGCCTCCCTGCATTACTAGACAGTTCTAAATAACTCACCCTTCAATTTGCATTAACCCACCCCTTTACATGGAACTGAAAGTGAGTGTAAATGAATATAAATACAGTTGTCAAGAGCCCATAGGTTGCTGCCTGCTGGCTCACTGCCTGTGGGTTAGCCCTGTTCAGAAAGGAGCCATATTGTTCAGTAAAAGTATTGCTGTCTAACACCACCAGCTCATGCTTAAATTCTCTCCAAGGCAAAGCCAAGAACTCTCCTGGAATAAGCTCCAACTTTGGGGCTCACCTATCCTGCATGAGCTTCAAGGGGAGAATTTTCCTGATATTCCATGATTGTATATTTCTCAAGTTGATTTGTTAAAAATATCAAAATCTCAGAATCTTTCATTTTATGTCTTGGTCAATGTGTCATTTGAGCATAATGGTGACATAAAATCTGACGTGTAATAATTGTTAGTCTGATGTACCTTAAAACTTAAAGTATAATAATAATAATAATAAATAAAATGCAGTAGGACTATTGTCCTGTAAGATCTTTTATTGTTACATTACTGGAAGCATGGCAGAAAACTCAGAACCACAGAAAAAAGTCATTAATCAAACCATGTATAAAAATTGGCCAAGGTGGGAGGATCGCTTGAGCCCAGGAATTTGAGACTGGCATTGACAACATAGTGAGACCACTCTCTAAAAATAAATGAATCAATTGCCCAGGTGTGTCCACACCTGTAGTACCACCCACTTGGGAGACTGCAGCATGAGGATTGTTTGAGCCCAGGAGTTGGAGGCTGCATAGAAAGGTATGGTCATACTACTGCCCTCCAGCCTTGGCAACAGAGCAATATCCTTAGAAAAAAGCACGTGTACAGACATAAAATTCCTTATTTCTGTCACAAAAGAAATATATCCTCCACTAAGGATGACGTGGGACTGCGTGTTTCCAGTGTTTCTCAATGCAGGAGATTGGGCAAATAAACAAAAGCTCTCTTAAGTCCCCCCCTTTTTTTTTTTTTACTAAAAAATGCCCTGTGGATGTGGGTACGGGTTATATGGGATCTTTGGGCAGTCAATTTTCTGGCTGGAAACCTCTGTGTCTGGTGGCACCTTTGTTCAAGTTCTTGTTAATGCATCTGGGAAGAATAAGGTATGCAAACAAGTGGAGCTTTATTGAGTGTTAGAACAGCTCAGAGGAGATCCACAGTCAGTAGCTCCTCTTTAGGCAGGTCGTCAGGTCAAGTGTTCAGCTCTCAGCAGAGAGGAGGCCCTGAAGAGTGTGTCTCCTCTCTGCAGGCAGGTCTTTCCAACATCTGCAGCTCTCAGCAGAGAGGAGGCCCTGGAGAGGGTAGCTCCTCTCTGCAGCTGGTTGTCCCATTGTCTCCCATCCTCTGCCCTGCTCTGGCTGAGTCCCAGGCATTTACGGACCTCAGAGGGGAGAAAGTGCATGTACATTAGTCCATGGGTGGGCCTAGAAAAGGCACCACAAGTCCATACTCTGGTCTCTGGGATTGGCAGCCTGGCCCATCCCTGGCCTGAAGGTGGGACCTTACCTAGGACCACCCCCTTCTGCTCTGGACCCTGTCTGCCTCCCACTGCAGTCCATGGTGCCCAGGCTGCTCGGACCTGCAGAGCACTACCCAGCTGCCCTCAGCACCCCCTTGGCTTCCCCTCTCATGTTTCTTGGCACCCAAATTCTGGAGGGGTCTGAGGTGGCAGGGGGCTGGCATTCCAGGGCTGACCTGCCCATGTGCAAGCCCATCTGAGCTGTGAGAGTGCAGGGGCTCAGCCCACAACCTGCTCTGAAATCATAGTGGGTGCTGGGAGCAGGGAGAGACCAGGTAGTGGGAGCAGACACCTCTGAGCCTGCTCCCCAGGGACAGTGTCCCCTGTTCCCTGCTCCCCAGGGACAGTGGGGGCCTTCCCAGGCTTCAGAGATTGCAGGCTACAGACACACCTGGGTCCTGCACCTTGGAGGGAAGTTGCAGCTGCACCCAAGGAGCTCCTGACCCGCCAACTCTGAAGGGTTGGGGCTCCCACTTGTCCCCAGCTCCTGGGTCTGCAGCCATGGATCCAGTGGCTACAGCTGCACCCAGGAGGGCAGGGATCCTGCCTGCTCCATAGAGCCAGAAGTCTGGGTCTTCAACTGCAGTTTGGGTGGCTGCAGGGGCACCCAGGGGCTCCCTCCCCAACTTGTAAAAGGTGGGGATCCCACTTGTCCCTGGCTTTTGCTGGCTCCACAGAGCATGCAGCTCTGGCTGGGCTTCCCTGCTGCAGCCAGTATGATGGCAGTGGCTGCTGCTATCATGGTGACAGAGGGAAAACTCTGGCATTCCCTGAAAGTCCCTGGCTCAATGTGCATGTCCCTTCCTATGCAAATTCCTGTTCCCTGTGGGCCATGCTCTCTGCCTTCTGTCCCTGCAGAGCTGTGGGAGGAAATGTTGTGACTTCTTTCTTGCTAACTATAACACATCAGATAGGTCCATAGATCAGTCCTCCCAGAAGTTGAGTGTGAGTGAACATGAGGGAAAGTGAGCAGACTTCGATGGGTTGGGCCACTTGGTCCACGGCCTGATAGAGATCCTCATCCTTCTACTAGAAGTCAGCAACACCACCATGCACTTGCTCCCTTGAGGGGCCCAGACAAGGGAGGAACAAGGGCCATAGAGGGCAGGAGGGTCAGGTGAACACAGAGTGAGTTTTGAACGGTGATATTGAGATATTTGAGTCTCAGAGGCATAAAAAAAACACACAAGGGAGGATGGATTCCAAAGTCCTTAGTGGGGTCCTAGGAAGGGATGGAGGAAAGAGCAGGGGTAGGGGGAACAAGGAGGGACACCACAGCCCCTAAGGCAAGCACACATCTCACTGCGCATGCTCTTTGGGCGCCCACCTCAGTGCGCATGTTCACTGAGCATCTTCTACTCTACCCGTTCGCCCACGTGGTGAATTCCCTGGAGCTGTGAGGTCAAGTTCCTGAGGTCTGGATTCTTTCTCTCCTACTGAGACGCAGCAGGTAGGTCCACAGGCCAATCCAACTGGGAGTTGAAGTGTGAGTGAGGGTGAGGAGGAGCCAGCAGGCTTCCAGAGGGTCATCAGGGGGAGGGAGACTCAGAGGGAGAAGGGCCTGGAGGTCTTCATCCTTTTCACATGGCGCCACAGCCAGGGGCCTTCTTTTTTGTCAGGGCCACAACTAGGAAGGAAGGAGGGCCTTGGCGCAAAGGGGATCGGGTTAAAATGGGGCACGTGTTGTGGGTGCTGTTGGAGGTATCTGAGTCCCAGAAATGCCTCAAACCACATCAGAGATATCCAGTGACTCTTGCCAGGAGCCTTAAGGCATTATTTGGCTAGCTTCACCACCTTAAGTGACTGTGCAAGCATTCTATTCAGAAGGCACACAAAGTTATACTTGCCCTGGGACTTACCTTCAAAGTATTTCCAAACTTTAAAAAAATGACAAGTTAACATTTGGCCATGGAAGTGCTCAAATATAGCTATCCTCTCAAGTCTATTTTCCCAATCACAGTATTTTTGTATTCTCTTTGCAGAGTGAAATATAATCTGGTGAGGAAGATCAACACGTAGGCCTAGACCAAGATGAAGTTTACAAACTCCTGAGCTGATTAGGCCTATGCTTGTGAATGCTTTAACATTCGTTGTTTTCTATTAGCAGAAATTTCTTTTTGTGATAGTGTTGTTGAACTAGTATATATACACTGTTAAAGGTCTTCCAAGCTGATAAACAATGATCATGGCATCTCATGAAGGAAAGACCAATCCAAGAGGATTATGTTCTGTTTTTTGTTTTGTTTTTTTGGTTGTTTTTGTTTGTTTGTTTGTTTGGAGACGAAGTCTTGCTTTGTCGCCCAGGCTTGGCGACTGCAGCTTCTGCCTCCCGGGTTCAAGCAATTCTCCTGCCTCAGCCTCCCGAGTAGCTGGGACTACAGGCGCATGCCGCCATGTCCAGCTAATTTCATTTTGTATTTTACTAGAGACCCCGTGTTGCCCAGGCTGGTCTCAAACTCCTCAGCTCAGGGAATGCACCTGCCTCGGCCTCCCAAAGTGCTGGGATTACAGGCCAGAGCCACTGTACCTGGCGTACATTCTGGTTTTGCCTGGATGGATAACCCTGTGTTCCCCAGATTTTGCCCATGACTTCCTCCGTATGCTTATTCATAACAGATTGCACACATCCATCCCAACATAGATTAAATCACCTTCCAAAGCCCTTGAGGGTAATTCTGTCTTAGAGTAACCTCTCTGTGGGAAGAATAACTTTATGAATAATAAGTACATGGAATAGTGTTGGAGAAATGTCTTTAGACTTACTTATGATCAGAAATATCTATGTATTCTGTATATTTACATTATTGACATGTATTGATAACAAAACTTTTTATTTGTACACATGCAGCCATGGTCCCAGGAGCCCAGTGATGAGGAGCCTCAACAACAAGAACCACCAACTGAAAGTTGGGATCCTACACCTGGTCAGGAGAGAGATCAGGGTGCAGCTGAGATTCAAGGTGCTGGGAAGGGAAAGAAAGAATGTCTATGGTGGGGAGGAGGCCTATGTGTGCATCATGCCTTACGTCATGACCAGTAACAGGAGGAAAGAAAACATTAGGAAAGGATCTCAAACACTTGCTGAAAGTTCGCTGGAAAAGCGAAGGGTATAGTTTGCAGCTTCATGCAGTCCCTGGATGTAACGAATATTTTCTTTTTCTTCAGGATGTATTTTGTATGCTTGAAAATATAGTCCTTGCTAAATCAGATGAAGCAGTTTAATTTTATGTATAAAAATATGCAGTATTTCACTTGTTTAATGTGTTCTTCTTAGAATGTTGCTTTATGATCTTCTAAGCCATTGCATCAACAGTGCTATAAACACCCTTTAATAGCATGTAGAGTGCCAAGTCATCCTACCTTGTAACACCCTGAATAAAGCCCATTTGCATAGGGATGTTAGCCCCATTTTATAAATAGGAAAATTGAGGCTCAGGGATTGAGGTTTACCAAGAACCCTTGACTCATGGAGACAAAATTCATATTTTGTCCCAAGGTTTGTGTTATCCATGTTGTAATAAGAAAGGTCAGTGGTTTTGCTTAAGATACTTTTTGAATGTGTGTGTACTGTAAGGTACTTCAGTATTGGCTCAGGACAAAACACAGTCCAATGAAGCAGAATAGCAACTCCAGAAAAGAGCTCAATAAATGACAGCCACTCTTAGAGTGGTATCCTTTGATTGGTATTTTTTCAGGATGTTTGGTAAAAGGTGGATAATTCAGGACACTGGCATACAGGTCGCTATATTAGTATGATTTTGAAGGGGCTTTTAAAAGTTTCCGAAGCATTTTCATAATTAGAAAACTCAAAGTACCATAAGCTGAATCAGAAGTTGTTTACTCAGTGGATACCATTTTCACACTAAACATTGGCAGAATTTGGGAAGTGGATTATTTTAGCAATTCATTGTTAAGAGGTTTCCAGAATATAACTGTCAACGATGACCACTAATTTCTTTGCACTCAATTTCCTGTGCCCTCACTGGAAGACAGTTAGTTTCCTGTTATTTTGGTACATTATTCTAAATGTGATTCATTTATATAAACTTACATATAGGGCCCTTGAACCTAAGCATAACGTTAACTAACTTTATCCAAATAATTTTCAAGTTACCTCAACAAGGGATGGGAGTTCAATTGTAAGATTTCTCATAAGCAGCCAAATACATTGATCTAATCCTTTAGAAAATTGCATTTCATTTATGATTAAAATTTATCCAGACTTCAGATTTCTTAGTCGATATTCACTGTTCATAATACACAATGGTAAAGTATGCGAAATGTAGGTGTGGTGTGATTTATCCTCAGACTGTCATTTAAGATAAGATCTTATAATACAGGAAAACAAAAGTGTGACATCTTTACATGACATTTATTAGCACAGTAGTCCACGGGCTTTTATTTCATAACGCTGAGGAAAAGAATACTATCATTTCCTTATTTGCCTTTCTTGTTTGCCTGCTTCAATCAAGAACCTTTGTATTTTTTAGTGCCTGACCTGGAAACTGATCTCCAGGAGCTGTCTGAGTCAAAGACTGGGGATGAATGCAGAGATGGTCCTGATGTCCAGGAGAAAATTCTGCTAAATTTAGAGCAATTTAAAATGCCAGAAGGAGGTATGCTATCCATTAAGAGGCAAAATTACATGCTTTCTGTTTTTCACAATACTATACTTTTGATAATAAAAAGAGAGAATATTACTGCCCCTTTAAAAACACAATTCAAATGCAGGCTTTCTTTGAAAAGTTGTTCCGACCCCAAATGCCTGACTGGAAGACTTAAACACTATCAGATACAGAAACAAATGGGGTCAAAGCCATATTGAATCATCAAATATGAAAGCATTTTCTTACTTGTGACTATAACCAACAACTAACAATTTTCAGATTATTTTCAATTTCTGCTTTTAATAAATACATAATACATTTGTAATACCACTTTGTGTGAAATATGCTGAGTACTGAAGGAGGTTCTAGTACCAGATCTAACACAATTTGTGAGATTTTGGGTGAATTCCATAAATTCTACACCCATCTTCTTCTGTTATTGAAAATAGTAAACGCAAATCAGGTATATTAAAATCTGTTTCAAGGTTGATTTCCGTATTTTCATGTTCTGTTGGATAGAATACAAAGTTATGATTTTTCCTAACAATCAATTTCACTCCAGTTATAATATCTGAGTTGAGATTTCATGGTTCCTAAGTGAGCAACCTGCTTGATGTTTTCTTTCCTGTATGAAGACCCAAATGACTGTTCTTGGATTTTGTTAAATTTTAAATTCTCTGACTCTTAAAGAATAATTGCATTTTAAATCCTTTCTGCAGTGAACCCTTGAGTGACTGAATAATAAAATGGCAAGAGACAGTCAGGTTTCTGTGGCTGATGTAGTAGGGAGCATGCATGTAGGTCAGTGATGTTCAAGGTGGGTATAAGATGCCTGTGCTAAGCATGCTCCCTGTCTTCCTGTCAGTCTTCATGAGCTACTGTGTGTAATTAGATTGAAGGCACATATGATAGAATCATCTCTAACCCTACCATAGGTTACATATTACAGGTTTCTGCCTTGAGACATCAGATGATACAATTTAAAGTTCAAAGACCATAACGTCCTAATTCATGAGTAGTCGACAAAAGTATCTTTTACACATATTTTCCAAATTGCTGACTGTTAATTAGAGGAGCTTCGGAATTTCAAGGAAGCATTCCATATTTAGGGAAGAAATTACCTAAATGCTTTCACTCTACACTGCTGAACCATTCCATTAGACCATTTACATTGAAAGATAGCTTTCACTCTATTTCCAGGAGCCTGTTGAAGCAGCCTCAACCGTATTCTTAGGAAGGTTATAGTCTTTCCTTTGTCTAGAATTAATTTCTTTTTTTTATTATTGTACTATAAGTTCTAGGGTACACGTGCACAATGTGAAGGTTTGATACATAGGTATACATGTGCCATGTTGGTTTGTTGCACCCATCAATTCATCATTTACATTAGATATTTCTCCTAATGCTATCCCTCCCCCAGCCCCACACCCCCCGACAGGCCCCAGTGTGTGATGTTCCCCTTCCTGTGTCTATGTGTTCTCATTGTTCAATTCCTACCTATGAGTGAGAACATGCAGTGTTTGGTTTTTTGTCCTTGTGATAGTTTCCTGAGAATGATGGTTTCCAGCTGCATCCATGTCCCTGCGAAGGACATGAACTCATCCTTTTTTATGGCTGCATAGTATTCCATGGTGTATATGTGCCACATTTTCTTAATCCAGTTTATCACTGATGGACATATGGGTTGGTTCCAAGTCTTTGCTATTGTGAGGAGTGCCGCAATAAACATACATGTGCATGTGTCTTTATGGTAGCATGATTCATAATCCTTTGGGTATATACACAGTAATGGGATCACTGGATCAAATGGTATTTCTAGTTCTAGATCCTTGAGGAATCGCCACACTATCTACCACAATGGTTGAAATAATTTACACGCCCGCCAATAGTGTAAAAGCATTCCTATTTCTCCACAACTTCTCCAGCATCTGTTGTCTCCTGACTTTTTAATGATTGCCATTCTAACTGGTGTGAGATGGTATCACATTGTGGTTCTGATTTGCATTACTCTGATGACCAGTGATGATGAGGCTGCATAAATGTATTCTTTTGAGAACTGTCTATTCATGTCCTTTGCCCACTTTTTGATGCGGTTGTTTTTTTCTTGTAAATTTGTTTAAATTCTTTGTAGATTCTGGATCTGGATATTAGCCCTATGTCAGATGGGTAGATTGCAAAAATTTTCTCCCATTCTGTAGGTTGCCTGTTCAATCTGATGGTAGTTTCTTTTGCTGTGCAGAAACTCTTTAGTTTAATTAGATCCCATTTGTCTATTTTGGCTTTTGTTGCCATTTCTTTTGGTGTTTTAGTCATGAAGTCTTTGCTCTTGCCTATGTCCTGAATGGTATTGCCCAGGTTTTCTTCTAGGGTTTTCATGGCTTTAGGTCTAATGTTTAATTAATTTTTGTATAAGGTGTAAGGAAGGGATCGAGTTTCAGCTTTCTACATATGACTAGCCAGTTTTCCCAGCACCATTTATTAAATAGGGAATCATTTCCCCATTTCTTTTTATGGACAGGTTTGTCAAAGACAGGTGGTTGTATATGTGAGTTGTTATTTCTGAGGCCTCTGTTCTGTTCCATTGGCCTATATCTCTGTTTTGGTACCAGTACCATGATGTTTTGGTTACTGTAGCCTTGTAGTATAGATTGAAGTCAGGTAGCGTGATGCCTCCAGCTTTGTTCTTTCGGCTTAGGATTGTCTTGGCAATGCAGGCTCTTTTTTGGTTCCATATGAACTTTAAAGTAGTTTTTTTCCAATTCTGTGAAGAAAGTCATTCGTAGTTTGATGGCGATGGCATTGAATCTATAAATTGCCTTGGGCATTATGGCCACTTTCAAGATATTGATTCTTCCTATCCATGAGCATGGAATGTTCTTCCATTGTTTTTGTCCTCTTTTATTTTGTTGAGAAGTGGTTTGTAGTTCTCCTTGAAGAGGTCCTTCACGTCCCTTGTAAGTTACATTCCTAGGTATTTTATTCTCTTTGAAGCAATTGTGAATGGGAGTTCACTCATGATTTGGCTCTCTGTCTGTTACTGGTGTATAGGAATGCTTATGATTTTTGCACATTGATTTTGTATCCTGAGACTTTGCTGAAGTTGCTTATCAGCTTAAGGAGATTTTGGGCTGAGAAGATGGGGTTTTCTAAATATACAATCATGTCATCTGCAAACAGGGACAATTTGACTTCCTCTTTTCCTAATTGAATACCCTTTATTTCTTTCTCCTGCCTGATTGCCCTGGACAGAACTTCCAACACTATGTTGAATAGGAGTGGTGAGAGAGGGCATCCCTGCCTTGTGCCAGTTTTCAAAGGGAATGACTTCAGTTTTTCTCCATTCAGTATGATATTGACTATGGGTTTGTCATAAATAGCTCTTATTATTTTGAAATACGTTCCATCAATACCTAGTTTATTGAGAGTTTTTAGCATGAAGAGTTGTTGAATTTTGTCAAAGGCCTTTTCTGCATCTATTGAGATAATCATGTGGTTTTTGTCATTGATTCTTTTTTTGTGATGGATTATGTTTATTGATTTGCATGTGTTGAACCAGCCTTGCATCCCAGGGATGAAGCCCACTTGATCATGGTGGATAAGCTTTTTGATGTGCTGCTGGATTCAGTTTGCCAGTATTTTATTGGGGATTTTCTCATTAATGTTTATCATGGATATTGGATTAAAAGTCTCTTTTTCTAGTTCCTCTGCCAGGCTTTGGTATCAGGATGATGCTGGCCTCATAAAATGAGTTAGGGAGGATTCCCTCTTTTTCTATTGATTGGAATAGTTTCAGAAGGAATGGTACCAGCTCCTCTTTGTACCTCTGGTAGAATTCGGCTGTGAATCCATGTGGCCCTCGACTTGTTTTGGTTGGTAGGCTATTAATTATTGCCTCAATTTCAGAGCCTCTTATTGGTCTATTCAGTGATTCAACTTCTTCCTGGTTTAGTCTTGGGAGGGTGTATGTGTCCAGGAATTTATCCATTTCTTCTAGATTTTCTAGTTTATTGGCATAGAGGTGTTTACAGTATTCTCTGATGGTAGTTTCTATTTCTGTGGGATTGGTGGTGATATCCCCTTTATCATTTTTTATTGTGTCTATTTGATTCTTCTCTCTTTTCTTCTTTATTAGTCTTGCTAGTGGTCTATCAATGTTGTTGATCTTTTCAAAAAACCAGCTACTGGATTCATTGATTTTTGGCAGGTTTTCTTGTATCTCTATCTCCTTCAGTTCTGCTCTGATCTTAATTTCTCGCCTTCTGTTAGCTTTTGAATTTGTTTGCTCTTTCTTCTCTAGTTCTTTTAATTGTGATTTTAGGGTGTCAATTTTAGATCTTTCCTGCTTTCTCTTGTGGGCATTTAGTGCTATAAATTTCCCTCTACATACTACTTTAAATGTATCCCAGAGATTCTGATATGTTGTGTCATCGTTGTCATTGTTTTCAAAGAACATCTTTATTTCTGCCTGCATTTCGTTATTTACTGAGTAGTCATTCAGCGGCAGGTCGTTCAGTTTCCATGTGGTTGTGTGGTTTAGAGTGGGTTTCTTAATCCTGAGTTCTAATTTGATTGCACTGTGGTCTGAGAGACAGTTGGTCATGATTTCTGTTCTTTTACATTTGTTAAGGAGTGCTTTACTTCCAACTATGTGGTCAATTTTGGAATAAGGGCAATGTGGTTCTGAGAAGAATGTATATTCTGTTAATTTGGGGTGGAGAGTTCTGTAGATGTCTATTAGGTCTGCTTGTTTCAGAGCTGAGTTCAAGTCCTGGATATCCTTGTTGACCTTCTGTCTCGTTGATCTGTCTAATGTTGACAGTGGGGTGTTAAATTCTCCCATTATTATTGTGTGGGAGTCTAAGTCTCTTTGTAGGTCTCTAAGGACTTGCTTTATGAATCTGGGTGCTCCTGTATTTGGTGCATACATATTTAGGATAGTTAGCTCTTCTTGTTGAATTGTTCCCTTTACCTTTATGTAATGGTCTTCTTCGTCTCTTTTGATCTTTGTTGGTTTAAAGTCTGTTTTATCAGAGACTAGGATTGCAACCCCTGCTTTTTTTGCTTTCCATTTGCTTGGTAGATCTTCCTCCATCCTTTTATTTTGAGCCTATGTGTGTCTTTGCACGTGAGTTGGGTCTCCTGAATACAGCACACTGATGGATCTTGACTCATCAGTTAATATTGTTATGTGTGAATTTGATCCTGTCATTATGATGTTAGCTGGTTATTTTGCCCGTTAGTTGATGCAGTTTCTTCCTAGCATTGACGGTCTCTACAAATTGGCATGTTTTTGCAGTGGCTTCTACCAGTTGTTTCTTTCCATGTTTAGTGCTTCCTTCAGGAGCTCTTATAAGGCAGGCCTGCTGGTGACAAAATCTCTCAGCTTAGTTTGAAGCTTAGTTTGGCTGGATATGAAATTCTGGGTTGAAAATTCTTTTCTTCAAGAATGTTGAATATTGGCCCCCACTCTCTTCTGGCTTATAGTGTTTCTGCCGATGGTTCTGCTGTTAGTCTAATGGGCTTTCCTTTGTCAGTAGCCCGACCTTTCTCTATGGCTGCCCTTAACATTTTTTCCTTCATTTCAACCTTGGTGAATCTGGCCATTATGTGTCTTGGGGTTCCTCTTCTCCTGGCGTATCTTTGTGGTGTTCTCTGTATTTCCTGAATTTGAATGTTGGCTTGCCTTGCTAAGTTGGGGAAGTTCTCCTGGATAATATCCTGAAGAGTGTTTTCCAACTTTGTTCCATTCTCCCCATCACTTTCAGGTACACCAATCAAACGTAGATTTGGTCTTCACATAAAGACAATTCTTTATACAACAGTGTTAAAAATGGGACTTCTTTTCACATTGTTGTAAATACGAAGCTCACCTGTTGTTTACAATTTTTTAAATTTTGTGTTTTCCAAATGTGCATATTGTACACTTTGGGGGATATGCTTAGTAATGCTATGTGTGATTTTTCTGGAGTTTGATAAGTTTGCTTGCAGTACATTTTCTTTAAAAGAATGGGCAGCTACATGCATACTTCAAAAATATTTTCCTATAAAAAGAAGTTATATAGGTTGTGTTTGCTATCTTAATTTTAGTTGTATTCTTTGATGTTAACATATTTTGTATAATTGTATTTTATAGCTGTATTGAATCGTGTAGTATCAAATATTAGATGTGATTTAATAGTGTTAAATTTAAACCCATTTTTAGTCATTTTTCCAAAACATACTGCCAGATGCAGATGTTCAGTGTAATTTCTTTGCTTGTTCATTTACAGAAAAAGGTGCTCAGTTGTAGAAAGTATTGTACCTTTTAACACCTGATGCATACATCACATGTAACAGGAAAAGCAACAATAAAGTAGCAATCATTAAGAAAAAATACGGCAGAACAAGCTCTATAAGCACAGTCTTATTTTCTTTTGTTATCCAGAATTCTTATGATTCTTAAGCCTCCTAGAAATTGGAAGCTGAATGAAGCAACTCAAGTTTCCTTTATTTTGCACTCGATTACAGCAATTTATAATTTTTTTAAAAAGTTCCTCTGAAGGTATATCTGGATCATGACATTACTGAAGAAGCACCATATCCAGCCACTGCTTTTTTTCATGCAACCAGAGAGCAGAAATAAGGATCAGAAAATACTGAATAGAGTTCAAAGCTCAGAGGTACCAGGTTGCAGCAGAAAACTCCAGGTCTAGTTCTAAAAATGAAAGCTTGCCTTGTTTGAGAAGTTTACAGACTAGGCATATTAGAAGTGTAGTTTGTGATAAAAATAGTCTCATTAATTTCACATCCAGCTCTTTTACTAGTAAGTGTTAATCTGGGAGAAAAATGAGAAGCAACTGGTGACTACTTATATGCAGAATATTTTATTAATTCCAAGGTATTCTGTTAACTTGGTCTTTGCCTTATGATACAGAAGTAGCATTTACAATTTTTTTCAAAAAATACTGTTTGCATATGTTGTTTTGTGATTTAACCTAAATATACAATTTTGTATGAGGTATAATACATCATTATAAAAATGTGAACTTTGAAAATAGTTACAATTATATTGAATTAATTGCTTTTGTAGCTTACAGGCGTTTTTGTACCCCCATTATGAAGGTTTTGCAACTAAATTTATACCTAAAAATCTATTTTCTCCTGGATATATGTTAATATCATTGAAGCAAAAAGCTATGCTTAAATCTGATAAACAAAAGTTTATTTGCATAGAAAAGATGTTAAAGATAATTTTGAAATTAGAAAAACAAATGCTGTAGTGTTTGTTGTTGCTGCTGGCTTGTTTCTTTTTTTGTTTTTTAGCAAAACTCCACTGATGTCTCTTGGCTCCTAAAAACCCACAAGATGAAGTCCAAACACCTAATAGTTTTCTCTTAGTCACTCACGGTCCTCATGTAGTTAAGTCACACTGAACTTCATGCCATTCCCCCAAACACTCCATCCACTTTGTTCACATTGTTGTCTCTGTAATGCCTCTACTCCAGTTTGCCATTTATTCTTCAAAACTAGCTCAAAATGTATTTTTTCCAATGCCCTTTCATGTCTTTCCCAGGAAGAATGTCTCCCCATTTCCATGTCAATTTCTCACATCTGTTTCATCATATTTACATTATAAATATGTCTCCCACTAGTATCCCTCAGCTTTTTATCCTCAGCATCTAAGATGGACCTTGACACATTAGCATATCCTCAATAAAATCTTGAGAACTAAAAATAATAGAAAATAAAGCTTTATCATCAAAAGGCTTGGGGTTAATACAGGAATATTTCACAGGACGTTAAACATACAAACTAAAAGTAGCTGTTTAGAATTATTTGTCAATATTGGAATTGGATGACAAAGAAACAAGGCTTAGAAGTCCAGGGCCAGAAATAGAAAAGTGAGGTTCTGAAGGATAAAATGGGTTACTTAAAAAGGAGATGTAGCTGATGAATGGTAGAAGGGGAAACTTGATTCTTCATCACAAGTCAAATTCTCTTCACATGGCACTCGAGGTTCTCCATGGCTCGGCTCCATCCTGCCTTTTATGCTTTATATTCCACTGTTCACTTTCATGTGTGAAAATACTCTCTATAAACAAAATTCCTTTCTTTCACAAAACACACCCTTCTTTCCTTAGTTTCTATGCCATTGTTTCTAGGATTTCTTTTCCTTTGCTCAAAATTTGGAACAACAGCCACTCTCCTCGTGCGACTTTCCATGACTCTCCACCTGGATTTAAGTTCTGTCTCCCCTGTACCCACCTCTAACTTTACTTAACACCATTATTGTAACAGTAGCTAAAGACAGACTTGGCACCAACCAGGCTGGGTAAGTTTAGAGATTAATGAATGTCAGGGGATAAGTAGGCACAGTAAGGAAGGCAGTGTTCCAAAAGGGAGCAATGGCATTTCAAAGATCAAAGAGAGAGGTCAACAACTCTGGCTGACTCATGCACTCTTGGATTCTCTCCCTTTGAGCAAAGGCTAAGACACGAGTCTCCTCCCAAAAGCGGCGGTGCCCCTCCTTAGTGAGCTTCCAAAGGCAAGAGCGAGGTCTTGCATTATCTTCATCCTTAAGGCTGTCTGGCACCTTCTCAAAGCTGTCCAGGAAGCAGAGGTTGTAATGAATGGTGCTCTTCCAGCCATCCGGAGCTGTCCAGAAAAAGGGGAAATGCTGTCGGGTGAAATTGTAGATCTCCTGCACACTGAGGCCACAGTGGGGGTTGTTTCTTAATGCTAGGGCAATAAGGTGGCTACAATTGAGAGGGGGCCTTTGCCAGGACTTCTCTTGGTTGTTGATTTGCCATAGTTTCTGGCTCTGGTAACATTTCATTTCAGGGGACTGGAGGGAGTTGTCGTCTGGTTCCTCAGCCTCCTCTTCTGTGAGCTCAAAGTCACTGGGGGAATGGATACCCTGCTTCTGTAAAGGAGACTGCTCACTGGAGGAAGATGGCAGAGACTCTACCACTTTGTCCTCTGAGCAGTTAGACCCTTCGTCTTTTTGTGGGGGCTGAGGGAAAGGAGAAATGTTTGTCAGATCCTCTTTTCCACTGGGCTTTGGGGCCTCCTGGCTGCCAAGGGGGCACAGGATATTGGGGTCCACCCACATCCACAGATTGGGTTCACAGGGAGGACCATCTCCATCAGGACTGGGTCTCCTCTTCTGAGGCATTTCTGGGGGCTTCATTACTCCGACTCTGTATTTGGCAAGGATTTGCTCAGCTAAAGAGCACTGGTCTGTGGTACAAGGCAGAAATAACTCATTCCTCATGTCCCAGTCCAGCAGCCCTGGGACCTGGCCATGGAGACTATACCAAAATTCACAGTCTTTTAGTTTTAAGTCCATCTTTACTGGAGAGATAGGTGGAGAGAGACTTCTGAAAGAACAGATATCTAGCAGGCACTTAAAGCTGTCCTTTGGGCATCATTTTTTTATGCAGTGTATCTCATCTAGGGAGCTTATCAGTAGGCCTGCTAGAAGCACTGAAGAAAGAGGCACCAATGTCTCACTGATTAGTGGTCAGACCTGGAGAAACCTCAGCTTTCTGGAACAAGGCTCAAAACATGGAAGTAATAAAAAAGAGCTTTTGAGCAGAAAAACATTTTTAGGTGGAATTCTTGAGCTTTGATTGGAAGCAGAAAGTCACTTCAAGAGGAATTATAAACTGAATTATGTGCAAACTATGGTGACTTGCATAATAGGTGATCATCTGGCACATATTTAAACCCTTGATGAGTTCATTTAAGGAAGGGACAAACATATGTATAGATCACATTATATTTCTGAGTCTTCCTTAATGGTTTTAAAAATCATTTCATTCATCGAGTGCCTTTGGATTTTGGTTAAGTGCTTTCACATAGATGATCTCAACTGATTTTCATCACAGCCCTGCAAGATAACATGGTATTATTATCCTCATGTCACAGACATGGCAACTGAGATATACAGACATGAGTAAGTAGGAGAGCTAGATCCACAGCCCAGATCTTTTATTTTCACTATACGCATTGCCTCTTGATCATACTCAACATACGATATACAACAGGCAGTAATATGTGCAACCTGAGTTTTATAGTAAGATGGTAACTATCAGAACATGGCCTCTATTATTCTCATACTGATACTAGAATCTAACCTTGCTGCCGTTTTCAATCCTTTTCTGGGAAACAGCTGGCTTTCCTCTCTCCAGGTCACCTTCTTAGGAAATGAGTTCTGAACTATACTCTGAACAGTAGGACCAAAATTTAGCCACAGTATGCAAGGTCCTGAAAGCCCCAGAGGTTCTATTTCCAGTAAGTTCACACCCAGGACATTTGTAAGAAAAATAAAATGGCAAGGTTTCCTTTAATTCAGTTTGCACAAAATCCATGTGTAAAGTATGCGATATCATTAAAATCACTACATAGGACTATGTTGCAAACATATCCAGCAAATGTCAATGGGAGCTATTGGAGAGGCACTTTAATCTCCATATTGTTTCCATACTCTGGTTCTCTTCTACTCTAATCTTTCATACAAGTGGCCTGAGTTGTCTTTCTACAGCATAAATACAAAAAACAACACAACAGTTGTACCAACTGTTAATTATTACAGAATGCTGTAAGCACTCTAACTCAAATCTTCAAAATAATCCTATGAAGTAGGTACTCTTATTATTCTTCCTTTACAGAGTAAAAAACATAAGGCACAAAAAAGCCTAAGTCACAGAGCTAGTAAAGGCCAGAGCTGACTTTCAAACATAGGCAACCTGACTGCAGAACACATGCTTTTACTAACTATACCAATCTTCTCTATTTTGGTGTTATAACATAAAATCTTATAACTTAATGCAACATAAAAGTCCCTCCAAAATCTCACCCCTGCTTACCTTTCCAGGGTAACTTAACACCCTAGCTTTCTTGCTTCATACTTCACGTCCAAAAAGTACTGAAATGCTGGGATCTTCACCACACACCCGTTTTTTTCTCATGTCCCTTTGCTCAAAAACATTCGCTTAAAATGGCTTACTACCCATTGCCTTGACTTAGCTAACCTCTACTCATCTTTTAAGACAACAGAAAGCCTTCTCTAATAAAAACGCTGCTTCCATCTCCCCATAGGGAATTAATGGATCTCCTTCCAGTGGGGCACTGATCTTGGAAAAGCAGGAGATTAACTTGAAATATTTAGCTTATTATGCCAACCACGGAGAGCCTGGAAGCATTTTAGTGCTCAGCAGTCTTTTATTCCTTAAATGGGGGCTCTAGTGTTACAGAATTTCTCCTCCATCTTCACCTGGGAGAGTGCTCCAATCCTTAGATATTGGCTAGTAAAACCAAGTTATCACTGTGTATTGTTTCTTTGGGCCTCATTTAGAAACATTCAATATTTACGTATTGAGCATCCACCATGTTCCAAGAAGTATGTAATAGATCTGGCAGATGAGTAAGA
Organism: Homo sapiens; assembly: GCF_000001405.40. Lineage (NCBI taxonomy): Eukaryota > Metazoa > Chordata > Mammalia > Primates > Hominidae > Homo > Homo sapiens. Next base: position 55,621,626 of record NC_000023.11, on the reverse strand, counting down.
CACAACCCAAGAGGATATCACAGAGTAATGCGGAAAGACAGAGAAGTAAACAAAAGGTTAAAATACAGTGTGATGAGTATTAGATACTTCAATAGAAGAACATAGAGAGGAACAACTTAACCCAGATAATAGGAATCAAAAGGGATCCCATGGAAGATATTATTTAAGCTTAAAAGACATGTTACCCAGAAGCAGAGATATGGAGAACAGGCTAGCACATGCCAACCAGGTACACATTCAACACAGTATATGTACTATACAAAGCAAAACCCATAAAACTATATGAGTTTTAGAGTAAGATGTTAACCATCAAAAGATGGCCTCCGTTAATCTCAAACACATGTTAGAACCCAATCTTGCTTAAGTGTGCTCCAGGAAAGGAGACAGGGACATTTTGCACATGCTCTGGAAAAGTACTGAAACTCATATTTGTGGGTAGCCTGTTTCCCAGGTCCCAACCTATCCCGAGTGTTGATATAGGCAAAAATGTCAGCGGTTGATGAAACCATATGTTATAAGCAAAAAATGGCACAACAACATAAAAAGTTGGAAAAAGTGGTGGGAACTCATAATGACCTTAGAAATACCTCTTCAGCATGGGCATGCTTATGCTTGCTCTCTTATACACATACACACACACACACACACGCAGTCCCAATGGTATGATTTGGCTCTGTCCCCCACCTAAATCTCATGTTGAATTGTAATCCCCAATGTTGGAGGAAGGACATGGTGGGAGGTGATTGTATAATGGGGATGAATTTCTCCCTTGCTGTTCTCATGATATTGAGTTCTCACAAGATGTTTTTTTGAAAGTGTGTAGCACTTCCCCCTTTGCTCTCTCTCTCTCCTGCTGTCATGTGAAGATGTGCTGGCTTGCCCTTCACCTTCTGCCATAATTGTAAGTTTCCTGAGGCCTCCCCAGCCATGCCTCCTGTACAGCCTGTGGAACTGTGAATCAACTAAACCTCTTTTCTTTATAAGTTATCCAATCTCAGGTAGTTCTTTATAGCAGTGTGAGAACGGACTAATACACCCAACAACAGGAGCAGCAGTAGAAGCAGTGCTGTTACCTGCCTTCAATTTTCAAAAGCATTCCTGTGCCCAGATTTTGGTCCCCACTCAAAGGACTGATAAGGAGGGTAGCTGATACACATTTTTGGGCAGAAAAAAGTCAGCAATATTAATAAAGACTCTTGTTACAATAAAAATTCTTTCAAGAATGTCAGGAGCAGTGTTGAAAGGATGAAAAGTCACCTTAAAGGGGCTCTCATTACCAAATTGTAACTTTTTATTTTACCACATATGCTATGATTAATTGAAACTATTTTAGTCTGTTAAATGCTGTAAGTACATGATGATACTCCTAAAAGTAAAAAAGGTAGTTGTGGGCTGGGTGCAGTGGCTCATGCCTGTAATTCCAGTGCTTTGAGAGGCCAAGGCAGGAGGATTGCTTGGAGCCAAATGTTTGAGACCAGCCTGGGCAACAGAGTGAGACTCTGCCTCTGTAATTTTTTAAAAAATCAGCTGTGCATGATGGCATGCGCCTGTAGTTCTAGCTACTCAGAATCCTGAGGTGCGAAGATTGCTTCAGCCCAAGAGTTCAACGCTGCAGTGAGCTGTGATGGCACCACTACACTCCAGCCTGGTCAGTGGAATAAGACCTTTTCTCTTATAAAAAAAAGAAAAAAAGGTACTTGTAATGAAAAAAAAAAAATGCCATAGGATATTTAAGATTTGTTGCTTTTATATACGAAACTGCTAAATATTCATGGGTACTTTTTTCATTTTAAGTATATGTCTTTTGTAAAGCATAGATATGTACTTGTTTCCATCAATGGGCAATCAGGAAAGAATACAGGAAAAACGATGAGTAAGCTATATGTGGTTCCAGAAAAACAGGTACAATACCAATGGCTGCTGTGTATAGTTGTATAGGTTGCATGCAGCCCAAGGGTGCCTGTGATGGTTAATACTGAATGTCAACTTAATTGGATTGAAGGATGCAAATTATTGATCCTGGGTGTATCTGTGAGGGTGCTGACAAAGGAGATTAACATTTGAGTCAGTGGGCTGGGAAAGGCAGACCCACCCTTAATCTGGGAGGGCACCATCTAATCAGCTGCCAGTGTGGCTAGAATATAAAGCAGGCAGAAAAACATAAAAAGACTAGACTGACCCAATCTTCCAGCCTACATCTTTCTCCCATGCTGGATGCTTCCTGCCCTAGAACATCAGACTCCAAGTTCTTCAGTTTTGGGACTCGGTCTGGCTCTCCTTGCTCCTCAGCTTGCAGATGGCCTATTGTGGGGCTTGTGATAGTGTGAATTAATACTTAGTAAACTCCCCTTTGTGCGTGTGTGTGTGTGTGTGTGTGTGTGTGTGTGTGTGTATATATAGCGAGACAGAGAGGTGGGGAGACAGATAGAGAGCGCTCTGGCATTGGCTAATTAATCATGGTGTTCTAGAAGTGAAATTGATAGGAAGCCTACTGCATTCCTACTTAATTTATATAAGCAGAAAACTTCTAGGTCGAATGGACAAAAGACTAATTTGAATTATGAAAACAGAAAATCACGGCCTCTCAATCAATTTCTAGACTTGAGCCAGTTTACAGACCCGAACCCCTTGAATGAAGAGGAGGCCGAGTCCCCTTGAGGAAGGACCCCATTACACTACTGACAATTTATGCTGTTAATCTTTCTCCCATCCTTCCGCAAGGAGACCTCCGGCCTTTTACCAGGGTAACTGCATTGAAGAAACGGAAATGATCAGACATTTTGGGGACTACTGGAAACTGGCTCTGAGCTGACATTGATTTTGTGGGACCGAAAACGTCATTGTGGTCTTCCAGTTAAAGTAGGGGCTTATGGATGTCAGGTAATTAATGGAGTTTTAGCTCAGGTCCGATTTACAGTGGGTCCAGTGGGTTCCCGGACTCATCCTGTGGTCATTTCCCCAGTGCCAGAGTGTATAATTGGTATACACATACTTAGCAGCTGGCAAAACCCCTACATTGGCTCCCTGACTGGTAGGGTGAGGGGTATTATGGTGGGAAAGGCCAAATGGAAGCCATTAGAGCTGCCTCTACCTAGAAAAATAGTAAACCAAAAACAATATCGCATCCCTGGAGGGATTGTGGACATTAGTGCCACCATCAAGGACTTGAAAGACACAGGAGTGGTGATTCCCACCACATCCCCATTCAACTCTCCCATTTGTTTTGTGCAGAAGACAGATTGATCTTGGAGAGTGACAGTGGATAATAGTAGGCTTAACCAAGCGGTGACTCCAATCGAAGCTGCTGTACCAGACGTGGTTTCATTGGTTGAGCAAATTAACACATCTCCTGGTACCTGGTATGCGGCCACTGACTTGACAAATGCTTTTTTCTCCATTCCTGTCCATAAGGCCTACCAGAAGCAATATGCCTTCAGCTGGCAAGGCCAGAAATATACCTTTACTGTCGTACCTCAGGGGTATATTGACTTTCTGGCTTTGTGTCATAATCTTACTTGAAGAGACCTTGATCACCACTTTTCACTTCCGCAAGATATCACACTGGTCCATTACATTGATGACATTATGCTGATTAGATCCAGTGGGCAAGAAGTAGCAAACACAGTGGACTTATTGGTGAGACTTTGGAGTGCTAGAGTATGAGAAATAAATCTGACTAAAATTCAGGGACCTTCTGTCTCAGTAAAATTTCTAGGAGTCCAGTGGTATGGGACCTGTCGAGATATTCCTTCTAAGGTGAAGGATAAGTAGCTGCATTTGGCCCCTCCTACAACCAAGAAGAAGCGCAGCGCCTAGTGAGCCTCTTTGGATTTTGGAGGCAACACATTCCTCATTTGGGTGTGTTACTCCAGCTCATTTATCCAGTGACCCAAAAGGCTTCCAGTTTTGAGTGGGATGCAGAATAGGAGAAGGCTCTGCAACAGGTCTAGGCTGCTGTGCAAGCTGCTCTGCCACTTGGGCCATAGGACCCAGCAGATCCAATGGTGCTTGAGGTGTCAGTGGCAGACAGGGATGCTGTTTGGAGCCATTGGCAGGCCCCCATAGATGAATCACAGTGGAAGCCACTAGGATTTTGGAGCAAGGCCCTGCCATCTTCTGTAGATAACTACTCTCCTTTTGACCTGTTACTGGGCTTTGGTGGAAAGTGAACATTTGACTCTGGGTCATCAAGTCACCATGTGATCTGAACTGCCTATCATTAACTGGGTGCTTTCTGTCCCATCTAGCCATAAAGTGGGTTGTACACAGCAGCATTCCATCATCAAATGGAAGAAGTATATTCGTGATTGGGCTTGAGCAGATCCTGAAGGCACAAGTAAGTTACATGAGGAAGTGGTTCAAATGCCCATGGTCTCCACTCCTGCCACCCTGCCTTCTCTCCCCAAGCCTGCACCAATGGCCTCAAGGAGAGTTCCCTATGATCAGTTGACACAGGAAGAGAAGACTAGAACCTGGTTCATAGATGGTTCTGCATGATATGCAGGAACCACCTGAAAGTGGACAGCTGCAGCACTACAGCCACTTTCTAGGACATCCCTGAAGAACACTGGTGAAGGGAAATCTTCACAGTAGGCAGAACTTCGAGCAGTGTAACTGGTTGTGCACTTTGCATGGAAGGAGAAATGGCCAGATGTGGGATTATACACTGATTCATGGGGTGTACCAATGGTTTGGCTGGATGGTCAGGGAGTTGGAAGAAGCATGACTGGAAAATTGGTGACAAAAATTTGGAGAAGAGGTATGTGGATGGACCTGAGTGGTCAAAAACTGTGAAGATATTTGTATCCCATGTGAGTGCTCAACAACAGGTGACCTCAGCAAAGGAGGATTTTAACAATCAAGTGACTAGGATGACCCGTTCTGTGGACACCACTCAGCCTCTTTCCCCAGCCACCCCTGTCATCGCCCAATGAGCCTATGAACAATGTGGCCGTGGTGGCAGGGATGGAGGTTACGCATGGGCTCAGCAATATGAATTTCCACTCACCATGGCTGACCTGGCTACTGCCACTGCTGAGTGCCCAATTTGCCAGCAGCAGAAACCAACACTGAACCCTCAATATGGCATCATTCTTTGGGGTGATCAGCCAGTTATCTGGTGGCAGGTTGATTATATCGGACTTCTTCCATCATGGAAACGGCAGAGATTTGTCCTCACTGAAATAAACACTTACTCCAGATATGGGTTTTCCTATCCTGCACCCAATGCTTCTGCCAAGACTACCATCCGTGGGCTCACAGAATGCCTTATTCACCATCATGGTATTCCACACAGCACTGCCTCTGACCGAGGCACTCACTTTACGGCTAAAGAAGTGCAGCAGTGGGCTCATGCTCATGGAATTCACTGGCCTTACCATGTTCCTCATCATCCTGAAGCAGCTGGATTGATGGAATGGTGGAATGGCCTTTTGAAGTCACAATTACAATGCCAACTAGGTGACAATACTTTGCAAGCCTGCAGCAAAGTTCTCCAGAAGGCCGTGTATACTCTGAATCAGTGTCCAATATATGATAGTTTCTCCCACAGCCAGGATTCATGGGTCCAGGAATCAAGTGGTGGAAGCAGAAGTGGCACCACTTACCATGACACCTAGTAATCCACTAGCAAAATTTTTTCTTCCTGTTCCCACGACATTACATTCTGCTGGTCTAGAGGTCTTAGCTCCAGAGGGAGGAACAATGCCACCAGGAGACACAACATTAAATCCATTCAACTGGAAGTTAAGATTGCCACCTGGACACTTTGGGCTCCTCCTATCTTTAAGTCAACAGGATAAGAAGGGAGTTACAGTGTTGGTTGGGGTGACAGACCCGGACTATCAAGATGAAATCAGTCTTTTACTCCACAACGGAGGTAAGGAAGTGTATGTATGGAATACAAGAGATCCATTAGGGCATCTCTTAGCATTACTATGCCCCATGATTAAGGTCAATGGGAAACAACAACAGCCAAATCCAGGCAGGACTATAAATGGCCCAGACCTTCGGGAATGAAGGTTTGGGTCACTCCACCAGGAAAAAAACCCATGACCTGCTGAGGTGCTTGCTAAAGGTAAAGGGAATAAAGAATGGGTAGTAGAAGGAGGTAGTCATCAGTACCAGCTATGACCACATGACCAGCTGCAGAAATGAGGACTGTAATTGTCATGGGTATTTCCTCCTTCTTTTGTTAAAAACATGTTTGTGCATGTATACACTTGTACTAAGAAAATATCTTAATTTTATTTCCTTTTTCCTTTCTCATGTGACATAAGATTTATTGACTTCATATCAGCATTTAAGTATTGTTAACTTTATGTAATAGTGTTTGGGTTGGGGATTGGTGCCTTTTCAGGTGTACAAAGGATAGTGGTATTATGTTAGTCATAATTATGACCTTATTTTGTTTTTATTTGAAGATTATGTATGATCTCAGGAGATGTGTATGGGCTCAAGTTGACAAAGGGTGGACTTGTGATGGTTAAAACTGAGTATCAACTTGATTGGACTGAAGGATGCAAAGTACTGATCCTGGGTGTGCCTGTGAGGGTGTTGACAAAGGAGGTTAACATTTGAGTCAGTGGGCTGGGAAAGACAGACCTACCCTTAATCTGGGTGGGCACCATCTAATCAGCTGCCAGCTCAGCTAGAATATAAAGCAGGCAGAAAAACATAAAAAGACTAGACTGGCTTAGCCTCCCAGCCTACATCTTTCTCCCATGCTGGATGCTTCCTGCCCTTGAACATCAGACTCCAAGTTCTTCAATTCTCGGACTCCGTCTGGCTCTCCTTACCCCTCAGCTTGCAGATGGCCTATTGTGGGACCTTGTGATCATCTGAGTAAATAATAAATTTCCATATATATATATTATATATATATAAAGGATATATATTATATATATAAAGGATATATATTATATATATATAAAGGATATATATATAAAGGATATATATATATAAAGGATATATATATAAAGGATATACATACATATAAAGGATATATATATAAAGGATATATATATATATATAAAGGTTATATATATATAAAAGGATACATATATATAGGATAGTCCAGCTCTGTCACCCCAGCCAACACTGTAACTCCCTTCTTAGCCTGTTGACTTAAAGATAGGAGGAGCCCAAAGTGTCCAGGTGGCAATCTTAACTTCCAGTTGAATGGATTTGTTATTGTTTCCTGCTGGCATCATTCCTCGCTCTGGAGCTCTATATATGTATATAAAGGACATATATATACATATATAAAGGATATATATGTACATATATAAAGGATATATATATAAAGGATATATATATAAAGGATATATATACACATATATAAAGGATATATATATAAAGGATATATATAAAGAATATATACATAAAGGATATATATATAAAAAGAATATATAAAGGATATATATTTATATATATAAAGGATATAAAGGATATATATATGTCCTTTATATATATATATCCTTTATATATCTATCCATATATATATCCTTTATATATCTATCAATATATATATCTCCTTTATATACATATCCATATATAACCTTTATATATATCCATAAACATATATATCCTTTATATATATATCCATATACATATATATCTTTTATATATATCCATATACATATATATCTTTTATATATATCATATACATATATATCTTTTATATATGTATATATATTATATATATCCTTTATATATATATCCTTTATATATATCTATATATCCTTTATATATATGTATCCATATATATATCCTTTATATATATGCATATATATATGCTTTATAAATAATCCATATATATATGCTTTATATATATACCCTTTATATATATATCCATATATGTATCCTTTATATATACATCCATATATATCCTTTATATATAATACCCATATCCATATATATCCTTTATATATATATATCCATATACATATATATCCTTTATATATATACATATATATCCTTTATATATATCCATATATATATTTATCCTTTATATATATATCCGTATTTATATTTATCCTTTATATATATAATCCATATTTATATTTCTCCTTTATATATATATCCACATTTATATTTATCCTTTATATAGATATATCCATTTATAAATCCTTTATATAGATATATCCACATATATATATCCTTTATTTATATATATCCACATATATATATCCTTTATATATATCCATCCACATATATATATCCTTTATATATATCCACATATATATATCCCTTATATATATATATCCACATATATATATCCCTTATATATATATCCACATATATATATCCCTTATATATATATCCACATATATACATCCCTGATATATATATATATCCACATAATAGACGCAATAAAAAATGATAAAGGGGATATCACCACCAATCCCACAGAAATACAAACTACCATCAGAGAATACTACAAACACCTCTATGCAAATAAACTAGAAAATCTAGAAGAAATGGATAAATTCCTCGACACATGCACTTTCCCAAGACTAAACCAGGAAGAAGTTGAATATCTGAAAAGACCAATAACAGGATCCGAAATTGTGGCAATAATCAGTAGCTTACCAACCAAAAAAAGTCCAGGACCAGATGGATTCACAGCCGAATTCTACCAGAGGTACAAGGAGGAACTGGTACCATTCCTTCTGAAACTATTCCAATCAATAGAAAAAGAGGGAATCCTCCCTAATTCATTTTATGAGGCCAGCATCATCCTGATACCAAAGCCGGGCAGAGACACAACCAAAAAAGAGAATTTTAGACCAATATCCTTGATGAACATTGATGCAAAAATCCTCAACAAAATACTGGCAAACCGAATCCAGCAGCACATCAAAAAGCTTATCCACCATGAACAAGTGGGCTTCAACCCTGGGATGCAAGGCTGGTTCAATATACGCAAATCAACAAATGTAATCCAGCATATAAACAGAACCAAAGACAAAAACCACATGATTATCTCAATAGATGCAGAAGAGGCCTTTGACAAAATTCAACAACCCTTCATGCTAAAAACTCTCAATAAATTAGGTATTGATGGGACATATTTCAAAATAATAAGAGCTATCTATGACAAACCCACAGCCAATATCATACTGAATGGGCAAAAACTGGAAGCATTCCCTTTGAAAACTGGCACAAGGCAGGGATGCCCTCTCTCACCACTCCTATTCAACATAGTGTTGGAAGTTCTGGCCAGGGCAATTAGGCAAGAGAAGGAAATAAAGGGTATTCAATTAGGAAAAGAGGAAGTCAAACTGTCCCTGTTTGCAGATGACATGACTGTATATCTAGAAAATCCCATTGTCTCAGCCCAAAATCTCCTTAAGCTGATAAGCAACTTCAGCAAAGTCTCAGGATACAAAATCAATGTACAAAAATCACAAGCATTCTTATACACCAACAACAGACAAACAGAGAGCCAAATCATGAGTGAACTCCCATTCACAATTGCTTCAAAGAGAATAAAATACCTAGGAATCCAACTTACAAGGGATGTGAAGGACCTCTTCAAGGAGAACTACAAACCACTGCTCGAGGAAATAAAAGAGGATCCAAACAAATGTAAGAACATTCCATGCTCATGGGTAGGAAGAATCTATATCGTGAAAATGGCCATACTGCCCAAGGTAATTTACAGATTCAATGCCATCCCCATCAAGCTACCAACAACTTTCTTCACAGAATTGGAAAAAACTACTATAAAGTTCATATATCCCTTATATATATATATATATCCACATATATATATGCTTTATATATATATATCCACATATATATATCCTTTATATATATATCCACATATGTATATCCTTTATGTATATATCCACATATGTATATCCTTTATATATATAAATCCACATATGTATATCCTTTATATATATAAATCCACATATGTATATCCTTTATATATATAAATCCACATATATATATCCTTTATATATATAAATCCACATATGTATATCCTTTATATATATAAATCCACATATATATATCCTTTATATATATAAATCCACATATATATATCCTTTATATATATATCTCCACATATATATACCCTTTATATATATATATCTCCACATATATATCCTTTATATATATATCTCCACATATACATATCCTTTATATATATATCTCCACATATATATATCCTTTATATATATATATCCACATATATATCCTTTATATATATCTCCACATATATATATCCTTTATATATATATCTCCACATATATCCTTTATATATATATCTTCATAATATATATCTCCATATATATCTCCATAATATATATCTCCATATATATATCTCCATAATATATCTCCATATATATATCTCCATATATATCTCTCCGTATATATATCTCCATATATATATCTCCGTATATATATCTCCATATATATATCTCCGTATTTATATCTCCATATATATCTCCGTATATATATCTCCGTATATATATCTCCATATATATTTCTCCGTATATATATCTCCACGTATATATCTCCATGTATATATCTTCACGTATATATCTCCATGTATATATCTTCACGTATATATCTCCGTATATATCTCCACGTATATATCGCCGTATATATATCCATATATATATCCATATATTATCCATATATATATCCATATATATATCCATATATTCTTTTATATATATATCCGTATATATATCCTTTATATATATATCCGTATATATATCCTTTATATATATATCCGTATATATATCCTTTATATATATATCCGTATATATATCCTTTATATATATATCCGTATATATATCCTTTATATATATATCCGTATATATATCCTTTATATATATATCCGTATATATATCCTTTATATATATATCCGTATATATATCCTTTATATATATATCCGTATATATATCCTTTATATATATATCCGTATATATATCCTTTATATATCCATATATATGTCCTTTATATATATATATCCATATATATGTCCTTTATATATATATCCATATATATCCATATATATATATCCTTTATATATATATATATATATCTCCTATTAGTTCTGTCCCTCTAGAGAACCCTGACTAATACAGTGCCCAACCAGATAGCATGAAATTCAGCCTGAGCTCTGTTTTCCAAACCATGTACTCTGGTTCTGGGGCTGTGTCAATCCCAAAGTGGTATCTCTTTTTAATTCACTCAGAGGAGCCATTCGGTCACCATGTGGCTAAACTGTATCCTCCTAGACAGGACATCTTTATTCTAATTCACACAAAGACCAGCCGCCATGTATACCAAGAACTAGTAAGACAGATTAATACTGATGGTCACAAGTAATAATCACGTAGAAATAGGTCCAATAGGGTGTTGCAAGATTATTAACAACATGATTTAAAGAAAGGAACTACCGGCTGGGCACAGTGCCTCACACCTATAACTCCAGCACTTTGGAAGGCCAAGGCAGGTGGATCACGAGGTCAAGAGATCGAGACCATCCCAGCCAACACAGTGAAACCCCGTCTCTACTAAAAATACAAAATTAGCTGGGCGTGGTGGCACACACCTGCAGTCCCAGCTACTCGAGAGGCTGAGGCAGGAGAATCACTTGAACCTGAGAGGCGGAGGTTGCAGTGAGCGGAGATTGCACCACTGCACTCGAGCCTGGTGGCAGAGCGAGACTTTGTCTCAAAAAAAATAAAAAAGAAAAAAAAGAAAAGAACTACCTAAGAAAACTCAATCCCTTACCTTCTAAAAAATGAATCCTTTCAAAAGTCCTAATAATTATAACAAAATATTAATAAGGAATACATAAACCTTAGATTAGGTAAATATGGCAAGAAGACAGGACAGGATAATGGATACTACCAAACATGTATAAATTAAAGAATGCTTCATTTTTGTTAAAGACAAGTTGCAAAAGCAAACAAACAAAAAAAGAAAAAACAAACAAACAAACAAAACAAAACCTCTGTGTGACAGACAGGGAATTAGTACCATGAGATAATAAATTAAAAATTGTTATCAAAAGGACTTCAGCCAATACCTTATGGTTAAATCATTTTGAACTACCCAATCATGTCTTATGATCCCCTTGCCCCAAGAATCAATTTACTCGGTAACCTGTATTCTGTTACCTTGGCATGTCTGAAATGGTATTTCTCTTTTCCTCTCAGTTGGCTAAGATTATTGAAACCCTAGGAAAATGTAAAAAGGAATAAAATTACTAAAATCCTGGGAAGATAAAATAAGTTAGCCCAAGGAAGAAAAATATGCAAGGCTGGAAATAAAGAGGAAATAAATTAAACCTGTGGTGTTCATATTTTAGAGTAACTTTAAATGTAAGTGCATGGATATATTTTTAATCATTTTATCTGTGTAGATTTCATATACTAGTCAAGCTGTTTGAAGTGTTTCAGAAAAGGCCACGTCAAATTTGTAATTGCAGTTTAAAACTTTTAGGAAATTTAATTCATCAAATTGGTAACCAATGTTTAGATGGTCAATAAAAATTAGTTTTAAAATCTTTGTTTATAAGTTATTTGAATTTCATAAAATTGAGCAGTAGGCAAAGAACAAGTAGTAGTAAGTATTTATATCCATGTACAAAAGCCACTGGACACCCAAGAATCTATGAAAGGATTTATTATGTTAACACTATTTTCTTTAGCTTTTCTCTTTAGCAATCAGATTAACTTTTCGAGTTTCTGGAGAACTCCTCAGCATTCTCACACGCACCAAAAATGAAATAGTTCAATTCTGGAAATGTTATATTTGAAGTAGCTGTGCATGTAGCAAACTAAAGTAGGCTATTGGAATAAGTGATTGCTAATAGACTCACCAACTTGTTTCTGCCACACCTTACTAAGCTTCTTCATCTGTAAAATGAAGATAATAAAAAGTCCTACCTCAATGAGTTATTGAGAATATCAAAAGAAATACTTTAATGTGTATCATTAATTTATGTATCGTGTATATCAAGGTCTAAGTTTAGTGTTTGACAATTATAGTGTTCCATAAATGTAAACTTTTATTATGTTATGTTATTCTAAGGGCAACACTGGTTCTTAAACTTGAATATATCACACAGAAATGATAGTGACAAACAAAGAGGATTGATTTTAATAACTATGCATGGAAAGCTTACTTGGGAGTCTTCAGATTGAATTTTAATCCTTTAGGAGCTGCGATTTGAACTAAAATCCTCAATCCAACAAAATTTGGAGTCTTACTTTATTCCAAGGCTTCGAGAGTTTTGAATTTGTGGGAGAAAATTACCTTTTTATTTGGAATACTTTTTATCAAGTGTTCTGAGATGCTTTAAAAGGCAATAACCCCTTGTTAATTGTCACTTACTGCTTGTTTTTCTTTCCAAGGGTTCAGCCTCAAGTGCCTGGAAAGGGGAAGGAGACTGTCTGCAAAACAAAAGAAAACATAAAATCAGATAAAAACCTTGCGGAGATGGCTATATCCTGGGTCAAGTTTTGCACAGCTTAATGTAATGAATCTATTCTGCAATATGAATTAAATGGCATGTCAGGAACATACAGAATACAGAGAGTAGAGTCAGGATTTTAGGTCCAGTACACGTTTCACATAATCTCAGCTGCTTTTTGCTATTCTCAGGACAAGTCACACCAACATACATATATTAAACACATATTATGGCCAGGTCAATTTGGTATGCTGATTTAATACACTTTAGGAACCCTCTTCTTTTTGCTCCAAATATATAAGGAATAAAATTACACAGATAGATAGACCATAAAAAAATCAAGCTCAAATATAAGGAAAAAAAGCATCTTACTAGACAAGAAAAAAGCAAAATAATGAGTGAAACTAAGCCATTGGATTGCTGGACTCTGGATTTTCAAGCAGGAATTGATAGTTCAGAGTTTTATTTTTTATTTTTTATTTTTTTTTTATTGGTGGGGGAAGAAAGGAGACCAAAATTCAGTGGCATTCTAGCCCCATCCTAGGGACTACCTCTGCTTGTGAAAAGAAGCTAAAAAAGTATTGCTGCCAAACCCTGGCAAACTGTAGGTCTAGGAAAGAAGATCATCACTGATGAAACCTTGCGACCAGAATTTGGGCCAAGCCCACTAGCTATTGTAACTGATTCTACTGGATCTGTAGTATTCTCTGTAACATCATGAGACAGTAACTCAGAACTTTCATTCTGAAATGTGGTAGTGGATTGAAGCCTGGAGTGCTGGGAGAAAGCAACGAAAAAGCCTCTAGAAAGGGTTGAGGCAACACAGGCTAATGAATAAAGGTAGGCAAGAGGTGGAGAACCAAAACTATCCATTCAAATCAGGCAGAAAACCAAAATCCCAAAAATACATGAAGAAATTTAATGACAAGAAAAATTAGGTAATGAATTCACTCAAGAAAACAATAATGTTATACAGCCACCTGGATAATAAAATAAGTATGGTCAGTATAGTCAAAGCAACAAAGAGTGAATATAATAAAATATATGCAAGGAAAGCAATACAGATAGAAATAAAAAAGCAATTAAAAATGTTGAATACAAAATGTCACTGAAATTTAAAGAATGCAATAGATGAGACAAACAAAATTGGACATGGTCAAAGAGTAAATTGGTTAATTGGAAGATAGAGTACTAAAGAACATCCAACATGCAGTAGTCATAAAAATATAAAAATAAGGGCCTTTGAGAAGATGGCCAAGTAGGAACAGCTCTGGTCTGCAGCTCCCAGAGAGACCAACAAGGAAGGCAGGTGATTTCTGCATTTCCAACTGAAGTACCATGCTCATCACATTGGGACTGGTTAGGCAGTGGGTGCAGCCCAAAGAGGGAGAGTGGAAGCAGGGTGGGGCATCGTCTCACCCAAGAAATGCAACGATCTGGGGACCTCCCTCCCCCAGCCAAGGGAAGCCGCAAGGGAATGTGCTATCCGACCCGGATACTACACTTTTCTCACAGTTTTTGCAATCTGCATATCAGGAGATTCCCTCATATGCCTACACCACCAGGGACCTAGGTTTCAAGCACAAAACTGAGCGGCTGTTTGGGCAGACACCAAACTAGAAGAAGGAGGATTTTTTTTGTTGTACCCCAGTGGCACCTGGAACCCCAGCAAGACAGAACCATTCACTCCCCTGGAAAGGGGTTTGAAGCCAGGGAGCCAACTGGTCTCACTCAGGGGGGTCCCACTTTTACAGAGCCAGCATGCTAAGAACCACTGGCTTGAAATTCTCACTGCCATCACAGCAGTCTGAAGTCTACCTGGGACGATCGAGCTTAGTGAAAGGAGGAGCATCCGCCATTACTGAGGCTTGAGTAGGTGGTTTTCCCCTGACAGTGCTAAGGAAGCCAGGATGTTTGGACTGGGCAGAATTCACCACAGCCTGGCAAGGGGCTGTGGCCAGACTGCCTCTCTAGATTCCTCCTCACTAGGAAGACATCTCTGAAAGAAAGGCAGTAGCCCAAGTCAGGGGCTTATAGAAAAAACTCCCATCTCCCTGGGATAGAGCACATGAAGAAGGGCCAGCTGTGGGCATAGCTTCAGCAGACTTAAGCTCCTGCCTGCCAGCTCTGATGAGAGCAGCTGATACTGACAAGGAGGATTTTCCCAGTGCAGTGCTCAAGCTCTGCTAAGGGACAGACTGCCTCCGCAAGTGGGTCCCTGACCCCCCTGCCTCCTGATGGGGAGAGACCTCCCAAAACGGGTCGACAGACACCTCATACAGGAGAGCTCCGGCTGGCATCAGGGCAGTACCCTGCAGGGATGGAGCTTCCAGAGGAAGGAGCAGGCAGCAATCTTTGCTGCTCTGCAGCCACCACTGGTGATACCCAGGCAAAAAGGGTCTGGAGTGGACCTCCAACAAATTTCTTCTGTTAGAAGAAAAAGATACAGAAAACAACATCAACATAAAGAACCCCGAAACAAAAACCACATCCAAAGGTCATCAGCCTCAAAGATCAAAGGTAGATAAATCCATGAAGATGAGGAAAAACCAGCACAAAACGCTGAAAATTCCAAAAACCAGAATGCCTTTTCTCCTCCGAATGATTGCAACTCCTCTCCAGCAAGAGACCAAAACTGGATGGAGAATCAGTTTGATGAACTGACAGAGGTAGGCTTTGGAAAGTGGGTAATAACAAACTCTTCTGAGCTAAAAGAGCATGTTCTAATTCAATGCAAGGAAGCTAAGAACCTTCATAAAAGGTTACAGGAACTGCTAACTAGAATAACCAGTTTAGAGAGAAACATAAATGACCTGATGGAGCTGAAAAACACAGTACGAGAACTTCGTGAAGCATACACAAGTATCAATAGCCAAATCAATTGAGTGGAAGAAAGAATATCAAAGATTGAAGATTAACTTACTGAAATAAGGCATGAAGACAAGATTAGAAAAAAAAGAATGAAAAAGAATGAACAAAGCCTCCAGGAAATACGGGAATATGTGAAAAGACCAAACCTACAATAGATTGGTGTACCTGAAGTGACAGGGAGAATGGAACAAAGTTGGAAAACACACTTCAGGATATTATCCAAGAGAACTTCCCCTAACTGGCAAGACAGGCCAACATTCAAATTCAGGAAATACAGAGAACACCACTAACATACTTCTCAAGAAGATCAATTCCAAGACACATAGTCATCAGATTCACCAAGGTTGAAACAAAGGAAAAACTGTTCATGGCAGCCAGAGAGAAAGGTCAGGTTACCTACAAAGGCAAGCCAATCAGACTAACAGCAAATCTCTCTGCAGAAACTCTACAAGCTGGAACAGAGTGGGGGACGAATATTCAACATTCTTAAAGAAAAGAATTTTCAACCCAGAATTTCATATCCAGCTAAACTAAGCTTTATATGCAAAGGAGAAAAAATAATCCTTTCCAGACAAGCAAATACTGAGCGATTTTGTCACCACCAAGCCTGCCTTACAAGAGCTCCTGAAGGAAGCACTAAATATAGAAAGGAAAAACCAGTACCACCCACTGGATAAACACACCAAAATATAAAGACCAATGACATTATGAAGAACCTACATCAAATAATGTGTAAAATAACCAGTTAGTATCATAATGACAGGATCAAATTCACACATTACAATATTAATCTGAAATGTAAATGGGCTAAAGGTCCCAATTAAAAGATACAGACTGGCAAATAGGATACAGAGTCAACACCCATCAGTGTGCTGTATTCAGGAGACCAATCTCACGTGCAAAGACACATGTAGGCTCGAAATAAAGGGATGGAGGAAGATTTACCAAGCAAATGTAAAGCAAAAGAAAGCAGGGGTTGCAATTGTAGTCTCTGATAAAACAGACTTTAAACCAACAAACATCAAAAAAGACAAAGAAGGGCATTTTATAATGGTAAAAGGATCAATACAACAAGAGGAGCTAACTAACCTAAATATATATGCACCCAATACAGGAGCACCCAGATTCATAAAGAAAGTTCTTTGAGTCCTACAAAGAGACTCCCACACAATAATAGTCGGAGACTTTAACACCCCACTGTCAGTATTAGACAGATCAATGAGAGAAAATTTACAAGGATATACAGGACTTGAACTCGGCTCTGAAACAAGCAACACTAACAGACATCTACTGAACTCTCCACCTCAAATCAACAGAATATACATTCTTCTCAGCACCACATAGCACTTATTCTAAAATTGATCACATAATTCGAAGTAAAACACTCCTCACCAAATGTAAAAGAATGGAAATCATATCGATCAGTCTCTCAGACTGCAGTGGAATCAATTTAGAACTCAGGATTAAGAAACTCCCTCAAAACTGCACAACTACATGGAAAACGAACAACTTGCTCCTGAATGACTACTGGGTAAATAATAAAATTGAGGCAGAAATAAAGAAGTTCTTTAAACCAATGAGAACAAAGAGAAAAGTACCAGAATCTCTGGGACACAGCTAAAGCAGTGTTAAGTGGGAAATTTATAGCACCAAATGCCTACATCAGAAAGCTGGAAATATATGAAATAGACATCTGAACATCAAAATTAAAAGAAATAGGAAAGCAAGAGCAAACAAATTCAAAAGCTAGCAGAAGACAAGAAATAACTAAGATCACAGCAGAACTGAAGGAGATAGAGACACGAAAAACCCTTCAAAAAAAAGAATGAATCCAGAAGCTGGTTTTTTGAAAAGGTTAACAAAATAGACTGCTAGCTAGACCAATAAAGAAGAAAAGAGAGAAGAATCAAACAGGCACAATAAAAAATGATAAAGGAGTTATCACCACCAATCCCACAGAAATACGAGCTACCATCAGAGAATGCTATAAACACATCTATGCAAATAAACTAGAAAATCTAGAAGAAATGGATAAATTCCTGGACACATACATCCTTCCAAAACTAAACCAGGAAGAAGTTGAATCCTTGAACAGATCAATAACAAGTTCTGAAATTGATGCAGTAATTAATAGCCTACCAATAAAAAAAAGCCCAGGACAAGACCAATTCACAGCCGAATTCTACCAGAGGTATAAAGAGGGGTTTGTACCATTCCTTCTAAAACTACTCCAAACAATGGAAAAAAAGGGACTCCTCCCTAACTCATTTTATGAGGCCAGTATCATCTTGATATGAAAACCTGGCAGAGACACAACAAAACAAGAAAATTTCAGGCCAATATCCCTGATGAACACCGATGTGAAAATCCTCAGTAAAATACTGGCAAAATGAATCCACCAGCACATCAAAAAGCTTACCCACCACAATCAATCGGCTTCATTCCTGTGATGCAAGGCTGGTTCAACATATGCAAATCAATAAATGTAATCCATCACATAGACAGAAACAATGACAAAAACCACATGATTATCTCAATAGATGCAGAAAAGGCCTTCAATAAAATTCAAAACCCCTTCATGCTAAAAACTCTCAATAAACTAGAGATTAATGGAAAATATCTCAAAATAATAAAAGCTGTTTGTTGGAAACCCACAGCCCATATCATACTGAATGGGCAAAAACTGGAAGCATTCCCTTTGAAAACCGGCACAAGACAAGGACGCTCTTTCTCACCACTCCTATTCAACATAGTATTGAAAGTTCTGGCCAGGGAAATCAGGTAAGAGAAAGAAATAAATGGTATTCAAATAGGAAGAGAGGAAGTCAAATTGTCTTTGTTTGCAGATGACATGATTTTATATTTAGAATGCCCCATAATCTCAGCCCAAAAACTGCTTAAGCTGATAAGCAACTTCAGCAAAGTCTCAGGATACAAAGTCAGTGTGCAAAAATCACAAGGATTCCTATACACCAACATTAGATAAACAGAGAGACAAATCATGAGTGAACGCCCATTCACAATTTCTACAAAGAGAATGAAATACTTAGGAATACAACTTACAAGGGACGTGAAAGACCTCTTCAAGGAGAACTACAAACCACTGCTCAAGAAAATAAGAGAGAAACAAATGAAAAAGACTTCCATGCTCATGGATAGGAAGAATCAATATCATGAAAATGGCCATACTGCCCAAAGTAATTTATAGATTCAATGCTATTCCCATTCCCATAAAGCTACCAATGACTTTCTTCACAGAACTAGAAAAACCTACTTTAAATTTAATATGGAACCAAAAAAGAGCCCGTATAGCCAAGATAATCCTAAGCAAAATGAAAAGCTGGAGGCATCACGCCACCTGTCTTCAAACTATACCATGAGGCTACAGAACCAAAACAGCATGGTACTGGTACCAAAACAGATATGTAGACCAATGGAACAGAATAGAGGCCTCAGAAATAACACCACACATTTACAACCATCTGGTCTTCGACAAACCTGATGAAAACAAGCAATGGGGAAAGATTTCCTATTTAATAAATGGTGCTGGGAAAACGGGCTAGCCATATGCAGAAAACAGAAACTGGACCCCTTCCTTACACCTTATACGGAAATTAACTCAAGATGGATTAAAGGCTTAAAGGTAAAACCTAAAACCATAAAAACCCTAGAAGAAAACCTAGACAATACCATTCAGGACATAGGCATGGGCAAGGACTTCATGACTAAAACACCAAAAGCAATTGCAAAAAAGCCAAAATTGACAAATGGGATTTAAACTAAACTAAAGAGCTTCTGCAAAGCAAACTAAACTATCATCAGAGTGAATAGGCAACGTACAGAATGGGAGAAAATTTTTGCAATCTACTCATCTGACAAAGGTCTAGTATCCAGACTCTAGAGGCATCTTAAACAAATTTACAACAGAAAAACAACCCCATCAAAAAGTGGGTGAAGGATATGAACAGACACTTCTCAAAAGAAGACATTTATGTGGCCAACAAACTTATGAAAAAATGCTCATGATCACTGGTCATTAAAGAAATGCAAATCAAAATCAGAATGAGATACCATCTCACGCCAGTTAGAATGGTGATCGTTAAAAAGTCAGGAAACAACAGGTGTTGGCAAGGCTGTGGAGAAATAGGAACGCTTTTACACTGTTGGTCGGAATGTAAATTAGTTCAACTACTGTGGAAGACAGTGTGGCAATTCCTCGAGGATCTAGAACCACAGATACCATTTGACCCAAGAATGCCACTACTGGGTATATACCCAAAGGATTACAAATCATTCTACTATAAAGACACAGGCACACATATGTTTATTGCACCACTATTTACAATAGCAAAGACTTGGATCCAACCCGAATGCCCATCAATGATAGACTGGATAAAGAAAATGTGAAATATATACACCATGGAATCCTATACAGCCATAAAAAAAGAATGAGTTCATGTCCTTTGCATGGACATGGTTCAAGCTGGAAACCATCATTCTCAGCAAACTAACACAGGAACAGAAAACCACACCACATGTTCTCACTGATAAGTGGAAGTTGAACAATGAGAACAAATGGACACAGGAAGGAGAACATCACACACTGGGGCCTGTTGTGGGGTGGGGGTCAAGGAGAGGGAGAGCATTAAAGCAAATATTTAATGCATGCGGGGCTTAAAACCTATATGACGGGTTGACAGGTGCAGCAAACCACTATGGCGCATGTATACCTGTGTAACAAACCTGCACATTCTGCACATATATCCCAGAACTTAAAGTAAAATAAAAAATATATATATGTATATATAAATACAAAAGAATAGTGAAGAGAAATTGAAGGTATACTGAGAAACTCCAACATTCATCTACTAAAAGTTTCAAAAGAATATATAGAGAATTATAAAGGATTAATAACGAGGAGAAATTGCTAATGACTTTCCAGATTTGAAGAAAGACATGAGTTCTCAAATTAAAAAGTCCACTGAACAGGGTAAATACAAGTCAACCCACTCCAAGACACACTGAATAAAACCTTATAATATCAAGAATAAAGCGTCAGGGAAGGTGGGTGCTCGATACAATGGCAGTGGTGCTGAGTTGGGTACTGCTTGAGGTGTGCCAGCTTTCATAATCTCCAAGAAGCCACAGGTATTTTCTGTCTTTGATATATTTCTTATCTAAAATAATCTTCCCTCATTATTTCCAAGATTATTTCAAGTGCAATATGCCACAGAGATGCTCAAGCTTTGTTTTATAACCATTAGTATACAGACTTCAGATGTATCTTATCTGTGTGCCTAGCTATAGAAAAGAGAATTATAGCTATTGCCCCACAGCAGTGAGAAAATTGTAGATATTGTCAGGAGTAGGCTGTTGCTGATAAGACTTTAACTGATAAAGCTACTGTGCAGACACAGAACTGCTGGCTCATCTGCAATAAAACAATAACACTGGAAATTTTTTAAAATTCAAACCTAGCTGTGCAATTTAGAGAAGATGAAGGTATAGATGCCATGCTTCATTCCTTTGAAATAATCGCCAAATGCTTCATATGAACTCTTCTGGGACCTTTGGTACAACGTGATGTTTGAGCAATTGGCTCTGCCTCAGAGGATGCTGAGAGCTTTTTGCAAGAAGTTTGCCATAAATTGCTGAAGCCCTACAGCATTAAAAATTAGAAATAATTCAAATACATTAAAATGCATAGAATGTACATATTCAATTTCATCAACTTTGACAATTATTTATACCCATGTAACTACCATCCAGCATGAGAAGTGGAACATTTCTTTCACCCCAGAGGATTTTCTCATCCCCTTTCCAAACTTCACTCACCCTTGTAACTACTTTCTGTTGTCTATCATCACAGATTAGTTGTGCTTGTGTTTGCACTTTATGTAAAAAGAATTATATGACATTAATAATAAATCATAATAAAGCAACAATCTTAAGAGCCACTAGAGGGGAAAAAGCTTTATTCTAAAGGAAGATCAACTACACTGAGGGCAAAAAACAATGGATACTAGAAATACTTATAAATGTTGAAGTAAAATAACTGTCACTCATAAGTTTGTACTCAATTATTCAAGTGTGAGAGCAAAATAAAGACATTTTCCGTCATTAGAGTTAACCAAAGATCATCACTATACTCACAGGTAAACAATGTTTTTTAATATGAGCAGTGAAGCCAGAGGGAAAATATAGGGGAAAGAGAAACAACAATGAAGAAAGAAACTAACAGACTATGTTTATTATGACTATAAAATTATAACTGATTTTTTTTGTGTTTAAAAGGGTAAAGAAAAACAAAACTGTGTCCAAAAATAATAAGTAGGGGTTCAATGGGTAGCTCCAGAATACTAAGGCTTTTGCCATAGTTAAAAGGATAGGAAATATTGAGTAACCAAAGATTTTGTTAGAAAAATTAATTGTGTGTACATCTAAAAAATTTAAAGACAAACACAGTAAGAATATAATCTGCAGCATCCAAAGCAGCAGAGGAAATGAGGGACAAAGAAGCCAAGAAAAGTGATGTTAAACTGAAAACCTGGCCAGGCGCAGTGGCTCACGCCTGTAATCCTCCCACTTTGGGAGGCCAAGGCAGGCGGATCACTTGAGCCAGGAGTTCAAGACTAACCTGGACAACATGGCGAGACTCCAGCTCTACCAGAAATACAAAACTTAGCCAGGTGTGGTGGCATGTGCCTGTAGTCTCAGCTACTTGCCAGGCAGAGGTGGGAAAATCGCTTGTGCCCCAAAAGGTCAAGGCTGCAGTGAGCCATGATTGCGCCATTGCATTCCAGCCTGAGCGACAGAGCAAGACCTTGTCTTGAAAAAAAAAACGAACAAACTGAAAACCCCCCAAAATAGTAAAAATGAGTCAAAATCTATTCATAAACATAATAATGAAAAAAGTTAACTTCATCTAATAAAGACAAGATAACCAGAATCATTTTTAAATAATCGAGCTATATAGTATTTCTAAGAGCTACATCTAAAAGAAAAAAACATCAAAAAATTAAATATTGGAGAAAATAGAATTAAAGGCAAAAAGCATCAATAGAGGGACACTCCAAAATAATAAAAGAAACAGTGCATCATGGACTTGGATGCATGTCTCCAGGTAGCAACAAAACAGATAAAACAAAAACTGACAGAATTACGAGTTGACATTTACGAATCTACAAAAAAGACATAATTACACTCTCCTCTATTATATTAGAAACAGAGAAAAAATAAGAAGAATGGGAATCCTTTTCAAATTGATCCTCAATATTATAGGGAAGAACAAAAGCCCTAGAATACCCTAAAGCATATTAAAGAAAATACAGTGGAGCAATATTTCCTACCAAACACCAAGTCTTATTATAAAGCTACAGTAAATTAAGACCGTTATTATAAAGGGAAAACAAAAGGCCCAAAGGAAAAATAGAGTCAAGAAACAAACCTATATAAATTAAAAAGTCCCAATAAATAAACCCCAATAAAATTAAAGATTAACCTATATATAAAAACCTGCACCCAAGAAATAATCTCATTTTTTTCAAGAATTTGCAAAATTTACCATGTCTTAAAAATTTCAAATAATCTGTAACATATTCACTTTCTTTGATCACAATACAATTAACTATGAAATATAGTAAAAATAAGAAAAAATGCTTACAAATTTCTAAAACTTTTTTTTTTTTTTTGAGACGGAGTTTCGCTCTTGTCGCCCAGGCTGGAGTGCAGTGACGCAATCTCAGCTCACCACAACCTCCGCTTCCCAGGTTCAAGCGATTCTCCTGCCTCAGCCTCCCGAGCAGCTGGGATTACAGGCGCCTGCCACCACGCCCAGCTAATTTCTTGTATTTTTAGTAGAGACGGAGTTTCCCCATGTTGGGCAGGCTGGTCTCTAACTCCTGCCCTCAGTTGATCCGCCCATCTCAGCCTCCCAATCAAAAACCATTCTTTAAAATCTCATTTGTTAAAGAAGAGTTCAAAATGAAAATTACAAGATATTCAAACCTAAACAGCAATAAACAGACTATATTCTGAAACTTGTGAGATGCAGTAAAATGACATTTAGAAAGGTATTTATAGCTACAAATGAACAATTGTAATCAAAAATAAAACACACTACAAATGATGTCTTTCACCAAAAATATTAAAAACCCAACAAACTTAACAAACCTTCATAAAAGACATAAAATATGGTCTTAATAAATGAATAGATATACCATGCTAATATAATGAAATTCTCAGTTTCATAAAGATATCAACATTCTGCATTTTACTTTAAAAATGGAATAGCATTCCAATCAAAATTCCAGAAAGAGTGTTAAAACAACTTTTCAAGTTGATCCTCAATATTACAGAGGGGAACAAAAGCCCTAGAATATCTAAGACATATTACAGAAAATACAATTAGGAGATTTGTTCTACTAGGCACCTATACTTATTATAAAGCTATAGTAAATTAAAACTCTGTTATTAACAAAGGGAAAGCCCAAAGAGACAAAGGAGTCCAGAAACAAACCGCATCATCTGTACTCTCTATCCCTCTTTTTCTCCTTAGCACTTATTCCCTAAAATGATACACTATTCTATTATTTAATGGTCTTGTTCAACAGACTGTAAGGTCAATAAAGACTGAAAGTTTTGGTCAGGCACGGTGGCTCACGCCTGTAATCCCAGCACTCTGGAAGGCAGAGACAGGCAGATCACTTGAGGTCAGGAGTTCCAGACCAGCCTAGCCAACATAGTGAAACCCCGTCTCTATTAAAAACACAAAAATTAGCCAGGCGTGGTGGCTTGCACCTGTAATCCCAGCTATTCGGGAGGCTGAGGCATGAGAATTGCTTGAACCCAGGAGGTGGAGTTTGCAGTGAGCCGAGATGCCGAGATCACGCCACTGCACTCTAGCCTGGGTGACAGAGAGAGACACCATCTCAAAAAAAAAAAAAAAAATAGACTGGGTGACAGAGAGAGACACCATCTCAAAAAAAAAAAAAGACTGAGATTTTTGCCTATATTTGTTCGTTTGTTTTGATGAAGTATTCCCAGTGCCCAGAAGAATCCCTGGCTCAATAAATATTTATTGAATGAATAAGACCTAAATGTGAAAATCAAAACTGATATTTGTAATTTTAATTAATTAATTAATTTTTTGAGACCAGGTCTCACTCTGTCACCCAGGCTGGAGTGGTGATCTAGACTCATTGCAGCCTCCCAGGCTCAAGCAATCCTCCCACCTCAGCCTCCCGAGTAGCTGGGACCACAGGTGTGTGCCACCACACCTGGCTAATTTTTGTAATTTTTGTGGAGATAGGCTTTCGCCATGTTGCTCAGGCTGGTCTCGAACTGCTGAGCTCAAATTGATCTGCCTGCCTCAGCCTCCCAAAGTGCTGGGATTGCAGGCGTGGGCCACCATGCCCAGCCTAAAACTGGTATTCTTTAGAATACAGGGGAATAAATACGATTGTGTCCTTGGAGTAGAGAAGAATTTCTTAGAAATATTAAAAAAATGGATTACATAAAACTTAAAACTCATGGACACACATACAGACAGAAGTAACAAACAAAGGGTAAAAACAAGCCACTACAGACTGCAGGAAGATTTATGAGACACATAAAACAAGAACACAAGAGGAATTCCAGTGTATCAACAAGAAAAGAACAACTAACACAGTAGAATAGGCAAAGGATATGAAAAGGCTAGTTCACAGAAGAAAAACCCTAAATGGCCAAGAAAACACAAAAGATGCTCAACCTCAATAGTAATCAGAAAAATGCAAATTAAAACAAAATAAGGTTATGTTACACACCATCAGATTAGAAATAGCTAGTAAATTAAAAGATACTTAAAACTTACAACCTGGGGATTCTATTTTTAGGTTATATTCTAGAGAAATTCTTTCACATGTGCACACTGAGAAATATAGCAGAAAAACAGCACTGTTTGAAATGGTAAAACAAATGAAAAATAGCTAACAGCCTAATGTCCATAGCAAATATAAGGATATGCAATAGACTAATATTAGCATGTAAACCAAGCTACACATTTCAATATGAATTAATTTCAAAAAGAAAATTTTGAATGAAAAAAGCAAATGAATATATACCATATGCCATCATTTAAATGAAACTTTAAAGGCTGCAAAACAATACTATTTTAATTATTTAAAAATAAATAGGGAAAGTGTAAAACCATGCCAAGGGAGAAAAGAGAATAGGATTAGGGAGGAGTTCACAGGGAGTTTCAATTGAGGCTGTAATGTGGAAAAATACATCAATTATGAGATACCAATTCGCATCCATCATTTTGGCAAAAAAAAAACACACACATACAAAAAAGCATGCAAACAATAACATCGAGCTTTGACAAGAATGGAAGGAAATACTCTCATCCACTAGTTGCAAAAGTGTAAACTGGTACAACCATGTTAAAGGCAGTTTGTCAGTGTTTATTACAAGTTATAATTTGAGTACCTTAAGTTTCTGACGTTTTTACTTCCAGGCGTGTATTCTAGAAAACACTTGTAACTATGATTAAGGAAACAGGAGAGGGTGCGCCCCACACTACTGCTTGAAATGCTGAAAATAGTTAAAATATCCATCAATGTGGATGGTAACAGGGGACTTAAATAGCATAAAAACTATACTAAGGAGCACTATGTAGCTTTAAAAATAATAAAAAAAAAAAAAGCCGGGCGTGGCGGCTCATGCCTGTAATCCCAGCACTTTTGGAGGCCGAGGCACTTTGGGCGGATCACCTGTGGTCAGAAGTTCGAGACCAGCCTGGCCAACATGGTGAAACCACGCCTCTACTAAAAATACAAAAATCAGCCAGGCATGGTGGCGTGCACCTGTAATCCCAGCTACTCGGGAGGTCGAGGCAAGAGAATTTCTTGAACCCGGGAGGCGTAGGTTGCAGTGAGCCAAGATTGTGCCATTGCACTCCAGCCTGGGCGACAAGAGCAAAACTCCATCTCAAAAAAAAAAAAAAAATCTTTTGTAGGAAGACTGAGCGCAGTTCAGGAGAACTGTTTGGTGAAAAAAATCAAGTTGTAGGTTATCGGAATCTACCAGAGGAATTACTTGTATTGAGGAGAGGATTCAGGCATAGGTGGTGATTACCAAAAGCCTACCTGTAGTGATGATAAGGACCCTGATGTCGCAGAATTGACCAGAAGACTGCCTCTAGAGAAGAGAAATACCCTATTATGGCGACACATGCGACCATCCGCCATCGCAAAAGAGTACCATGCTCACGGGGCGCAGCTCTCCACAGGCCTTCCCGTATTACATAGTAACTCATGTGAGTGAACTGACCCATGAAAAAGAGAGACATTATGATGCTGGGTGGAGCCAACTGGAAGCCTGCCAATAGAAATGCGAGGTACTCTACAGTGGGTGGTTCACCCATATGTCGGCTTGTACGATAGAGGACCCTTATGTGGGAAGGGCTGTCCAGTGGACTGCCTATAAATAGAAAATACATAATTGCCGTGGGCAGGCCTACTAAGATGCCTCCCAATATGAGAATACCACTCTGGTGTTGGTAAGATTGAGCATAGAACTGCCCGTGTGCTTATGGAAGGACCTGGTGTGTACTCAGACGAATAAAGAACTCCTTGCAGAGAAAGATCCTGTAGTATAGGCAGGGATTCACCAATAGAAATAAGAACAACTTTTACGTGGGTGGAACTGCCTAGAGGACTGCTTCTACGGAAAAGAAATACCCTGGGTTGAGAGGGAATGAACAGAAGCCTTTGAATAAAGGATAGAAGAACCTTGGTTATAGATGGGGTTAACTAGAAGCCTGCCAATCATAAGAAGGACTTGACGGGGATGGGGCTGTCCAAAGACTTGCCTGTAATGATGGTGGTGAAGACATTTATCTGGTTGGAGCTGGCAGAGGGGTTTGACTGTGTTAATAAAAAGGACTCTGAATTGGTTGCAGTATCAGAGACCTGTTTGTAACAAATTAGGAAAACCCCTGTATGGCGAGATAAAATAGAAGCCCGACTATAGTAATAAAGAGGATTGAAAATGGGCAAGGGTGGCTGGGCGCGGTGGCTCACGCCTGGATTCCCAGCACTTTGGGAGGCCTAGGTGGGTGGATCACCTGAGGTCAGGAGTTCGAGAACAGCCTGGCCAACATGGCGAAACCCCGTCTCTACTAAAAATACGAAAAAATTAGCCAGACGTGGTGGTGCACGCCTGTAGTCCCAGCTACTCGGGAGGCTGAGGCACCAGAATCACTTGAACCAGGAGGCAGAGGTTGTGGTGAGCCAAGATCGTGCAACTTTGCTCCAGCCTGGGTGACAGAGCAAGATTCTATCTCGAGAAAAAAAAAATCCAGATGATAATCATTTCTGTTGAAATTTCAAGGAAGACATAAGGGCTAACTTAACATCAACAAATTAACAAGATGTGCCACTTCCTGTAGGCATAATGATGGAGAAACATAATTTCTGTAGAAACGCTTATGTAAGTACTGTCCTGATGAATATTGGGAGCACCTCAGAGTTTGTATAGATGAGAACTGATTTGGAGAGTGAGGGTACTATTCTTAGTAGGGCACTGTTACCCTTGGTTGACATACTGACCATGACAGCCCCCTTTCTCCTACAGAGCTCCCCTCAGCCCAAGACCATGCAGTACTTTTTAATGAAGACTTATCCCTTACAGAATTGATTCCCTTACTATACTTTTCAGTTCTAGAATTCCCAGATTTTATTTGACTTTCAAAGAAGTGACTCATCAAGACAATTTTGGAATTGAGATAGGCCTCCACCATCCATTCACCTCAAATGATAGGTGCTCAGAAAAAAAGAGTGTTGTTCACATCCTGAAGGAATAACTTTGCTCTGGCAATGAAGCCACCTACATTCCTATTGTGACTACTGTTTACACTCAGTCACTGCTATGTCATCCTCCCCTTACAGCAGGGGAGTGCACCTACACTCCAGCAAAGAGAGTTCTGGTCTTTATCTAACTGTAGTCCCATACTCAGATAGTTATTTCCTCACTATCTTTGGGCTTGTACATGAAGGAGATGCTCAACAGCAGCATCAGAAGCTCACCATTAGATGGCCAAATACATAAAGAAATGGCCAAGGCTACAAATCATCCTACAACAGGGCATGACATTCAGCTGAGGAAGTGGGGTTTGAGGTAGAGATGGGGGAGGGGCAGTGCTCTTATTCCAAAATGTCTAGTATTCTTGATACAACCAAAAGTTAGGAACCATTTCTGGACGTATCCTGGAAAAAAATAAATAAACTTGTTTGTGAAGTGTTGACCTTTATTGGGCCGGAGATGCCTTGTAATTTGTTGAGCATTCTCTAAGCAGTCTTTTAGTCTATTGGTGAAATTACACAATGGTCAAATTGATAGAAATTAAATGATTTGAGCCATTATTTATGAGTTTGATACAATTAAGAATTAGTAGAGAAAATCATGTAAAATTTTGTGAGTAGTTTGGGCTGCTTTTCACAATTTGGAGACAGTTTTGGTTTTGTGCTTTATTTGGTAATTTTATTTCTAGTCTATTGTAAACCAATTACTCCCATTCTTACATTTCATGATGCATATATTAATTTCTTAATTAAACATAATTTGAAAATGAATTTTATCAACCGCCAAGTTATTATTATACTTCATAACTCATGCATTTTATGTTGATGGGTAAACTACTGTTTCTCCTTTTTGGGGCAATGTTATGCTAAATTTTTAATATTTTATACAGACACTACATCATTCTCCCCTTTTAGAATTTACTCAGACCTTGAAGGAAAGTTTTTAGACTTGTTTCACCCGATGTTCTCCCAAGAATCAGCCTCTGGGTTCCCTCATCCCTTTGGGCGTGCACATAGAATTATGTGGTAAACAGACAATTAATAGCAGTCAACAGTCCCAGGAAATCAAATGCTCAAGCTCACTAGCATCAAACAACAGTAGATGCCAACTATGTCAGGGGACAGATAGGACTCACTGAACCCAGAGCATTTTACACTGCACATTGAGTTGTCAGTGGATAGCCCTTGCATGGGCTAGGGCTCTATCTTTTTGGGGGAGAAACGTCTGGTCTGGCATGGTTTAAGAAGGCTTCTCTGCATAAGCTTTAAATGAGAGGGTGGCAGTCTTTTAAATGGACTGTATCATTTAGTCAATTAGAAAAGTAGAATTTAAAAAATTGTGATTTTTATGAAATTTTAAAGAAAATTTTATAAAGCTTTTCCACTATATTTCTCTAAGGGTTTTTATAGTTTTAGCTCTTATGCATAAGCTTTTGATCCATTTCAGTTAATTTTTGTATATGGTGTTAGGTAAAGGTCCAACTTCATGTTTTTACAAGTAGATATCTAGCTTTCACAGCACCTTTTGTTGAAAAGTTTGCGTTTACCCCACTTAATGATCTTGACACTCTCGTTGAAAATCATTTGACCATATATGCAAAGGTTTATTTATTAGCACTCTATTATATTTCACTGGTTAATATGCCTCCACCCTCTTTTTTATTAAACTACTTTATTGAGGCATGATTAACATACAAAATGCTATATATATTTGATATATACGACTTCATGAGTTTGGAGATAAGTATACAATCATGAAACCATCACCAAAATCTATGCCATAAACATATTCATCGCTTCTCAAAATTTCCTTCTCCTCTTTGTTATTTTGTCTGTATGCGTATGAAAAGAAAACATGAAATCTACCATTTAAGGAGTTTTAAACAATAAAATATGGTATTTTTAACTATAGGCATAGTGAGGAAGAGATCTTTAGGGCTTACTCATCTTGCATAACTGAGACTTTGTACCCTTTAATTAATATCTCCCATTTCCTTCTCTTCCTACCTGCTGGCAACCACCATTTTACACTCTGCTTCTATGAGTTTGACTATTTTAGATTTCTCATCAAAATGATATCATATGGTATTTGTCCATCCGTGTTTGACTTATTTCACTTAGCATAATGTCCTCTAGGTTCATCCATGTTGTCACAAATGGCAGGATTTCCTTCTCTTTAAAGACCTAATAATATTCTAATGTATGTTTAGACAATATTTTCTCTTTCCCCCACCCATATTAACAAATAAAAATTGTATATATTTATGGTGTAGAACATGATGTTTTGATATACATTGTGAAATGATTACCATAATCAAGCTAATTAACATATTTTTCATCACACATAGTTATCTTCTCTTGTGAGGAGAATATTTGAGATCTACTGTCTCAACAAAATTGAATATACAACAGGGTATTATTGATCATTGTCATCATGATTTACATTAGAAATGCAGAATTTATTCATCCTGCTTAACTGAAACTTTGTACCCTTTGACCAACATCTCCCCACTTCATTTCCAGCCCCTGGCAACCACCATTTTACTCTTTGCTTCTGTGAGTTTAACATTTTTAGATTCCACATATAAGTAAGATTATAAAGCTTTTGTCTTTCTGTACTTCAATTATTTCACTTAGCATAAAGTTCTCCCGGTTCATCCATGTTGTTGCCAATGGCAGAATTTCTTACTTTTAAGGTTAATAATATTTTATTTTATATAAAATGTATATATATATATATATATAGTCATGCATTGAGAACGATGGTGATACATTCTGAGAAATGTGTCGTTAGATGATTTTGTCATTGTGCAGACATCATAGAGTGTTCTTACACAAACCTAGATGGTATAGCCTACTACACGTCTAGGCTTTATGTTATAGCTTATTGCTCCTAGGCTACAAAGCTGTACAGTGCACTACTGTACTGAATATTATAGGCAATTGTAACACAATGATAAGTATTTGTGTATCTAAACATGGAAAAGGCGCAGTTAAAATACAGTATTATAATCTTATGGGACCACCACCACATATATGGTCTATCATTAACTGAAACATCATTACGTGGCACATGATTGCATATAATCACATTTTCTTTATATATTTATCCATCAGCAAACACTTAGGTTGATTCATATCTTGGCTATTGTGAATAATGCTGCAATTAACATGGGATGCAGATATTGCTTTAAGATATTGATTTCATTTACTTTGGATATATACTCAGAAGTAGCATTGCTGGATTATATGGTAGTTCTATTTTAAATTTTTAGAGAAACCTCCATGCTGTTTTCAATAATGGCTGCACCAATTTACATCACTATCGACAGTATTCTTGAAAACATGTATCTTTCCTTTTTTTGATAATAGCTATTGTAACACGTATGAGGTGATAGCTCATTGTAGTTTTTATTTACATCGTCCTGAGGATTAGTGATGCCGAATGCCTTTTCATATACTTGTTGGCCATTGCTATGTCTTACTTGGAGAAATATCTATTCAGTTTCTTTGTCTATTTTTAAAGCAGGTGATTTTTTTTCTATTAAGTTGTAGGTGCTCCTTATGTGTTTTGGATATTAACCCTTTATCAGACATATGGTTTGCAAATATTTTCTCTCATTCTGTAGTTTGACTTTTCATTTTGTTGATTATTTCCTTTGCTGTGCAGGAGCTTCTTAGTTTGATGTAATTCCATTTGACATTTTTACTTTTGTTGTTTGTGCTTTTGGGTTAAAAAAATTATTGGCTCAGACAATGTCAAGAAGATTTTCCCTTATGTTTTAGTCCATGAGTTTTATAGTTTCCAATCTTATGTTAACACCTTTAATTCATTTTGAGTTGAATTTTGCACATAGTGTAAGATAAGGGTCCAGTTTTCCCAGCAAGTATCAAAAGTGGATTATCTTTTACCCATTACATATTCTTGGCACCCTTGTTGAAGATCAGTTGACAGTATATGTGTGAGCTTATTTCTGGGTTCTCTATTCAGACATTTAATATTATTTTTTAATCCACAAACATGATATATCTTTCTATTTATTTGTTTGTGCTTCAATTTGTTTCATCCATGTTTTATAGTTTGCAATGTACAGGTCCTTCATTTCCTTGGTTAAGTTTTTTCCTAAGTATTTTATTCTTTTTGATGCTATTATAAATAGAAATGTTGTCTTAATTTTCTTTTTGAATAATTCATTGTTACTGTATAGAAATGCAACTGATTTTCATATGATGATTTTGTATCCTGCAACTTTACTACATTTATTTATTAGTTCTAACAAATATTTTGCAGAGTTTTTGCAGTTAGTGTTTTCTACACATAAAATCATGTCATCTTCAAACAGAGATAATTTCACTTCTGATTTGAATGTCTTTTATTTCTTTTTCTTGCCAAGTAGTTTTAGCTGGGACTTCCAATACTATTTTGAATAGAAGGTGTGAAAGTGGACCTCCTTGACTTGTTCCAGATCTTACAGGAAAGCTTTTAGTTCTTCACCATTGAGCATGTTGTTAGCTGTGAGCTTTTCATATACAGTCTTCATTGTGCTAAGGTAAGTTCCTTCTATAACTCATTTATTGAGAGTTTTTTTAAAATCTTTAAAGGGTGTTGACAGGAAAAGAAAACCAAACACCGCATATTCTCACTCATAAGTGGGAGTTGAACAAGGAGAACACATGGACACAGGGAGGGGAAGAACACACACTGGGGCCTGTTGGGGGGTGCGGAGTAAGGGGAGGGAGAGCATTAGGACAAATACCTAATGCATGCAGGGCTTAAAACCTATATGACAGGTTAATAGGTGCAGCAAAGCACCACAGCACACGTATACCTATGTAACAAACCTGCACGTTCTGCACATGTATTGCAGAATGTAAAATTTAAAAAGTAAAATAAAAAAAAGAAAAAAGGTTGTTGAGTTTTTTTTCAAAGGCTTTTATTACATCTATTGAGATGATCATGTGCTTTTCCCCCTGCATTCTGTTAATGTGATGTATTATATTGATTTGCATATGTTAAAACATTCTTACATCACAGGGATAAAGAACACCTGGGTGTGGTATATAATACTTTTATTGTGCTGTTGAATTTGGTTGGCTAATATTTTATTCAGGATAGTGTACCCTTGTTCATCAGGGATATTGGCCTGTAGTTTTCTGGTGGTGTCTTTATCTGGCTTTGGTATCAGGGCAATGCTGGCCTAATAAAAGGAGTTTGGAAGTGCTATTTCTTCTATTTTTTTGAAAGACTTTAAGAGTGATTGATATTGATTCTTCTTTAAATATTTGGTAGATTTCATTTGTGAAGCCAGCTGGTCGTGGGCTTTTGGGAGATTTATGATTACTGATTTAGTCTCATTATTTGTTTTTTGTTGTGGCCAGGCTTTCTTTTTTCTTCTAGATTCAAGTTTGGTAGGATGTATGTTTCTATGAATTTATCCTTTTCTTCTAGGTTATCTAATTTGTTGGTTATAATTGTTCATAATAATCGTTTATGATCTTTTAAAAATTTCTGGGCTAATATCCAGAATCTACAATGAACTCAAACAAATTTACAAGAAAAAAACAAACAACCCCATCAAAAAGTGGGCGAGGGACATGAACAGACACTTCTCAAAAGAAGACATTTATGCAGCCAAAAAACACATGAAAAAATGCTCATCATCACTGGCCATCAGAGAAATGCAAATCAAAACCACTATGAGATATCATCTCACACCAGTTAGAATGGCAATCATTAAAAAGTCAGGAAACAACAGGTGCTGGAGAGGATGTGGAGAAATAGGAACACTTTTACACTGTTGGTGGGACTGGAAACTAGTTCAACCATTGTGGAAGTCAGTGTGGCGATTCCTCAGGGATCTAGAACTAGAAATACCATTTGACCCAGCCATCCCATTACTGGGTATATACACAAATGACTATAAATCATGCTGCTATAAAGACACATGCACACTTATGTTTATTGCGGCATTATTCACAATAGCAAAGACTTGGAACCAACCCAAATTTCCAACAATGATAGACTGGATTAAGAAAATGTGGCACATATACACCATGGAATGCTATGCAGCCATAAAAAATGATGAGTTCATGTCCTTTGTAGGGACATGGATGAAATTGGAAACCATCATTCTCAGTAAACTATCGCAAGAACAAAAAACCAAACACCGCGTATTCTCACTCATAGGTGGGAATTGAACAATGAGATCACATGGACACAGGAAGGGGAATATCACACTCTGGGGACTGTGGTGGGGAGGGGGGAGGGGGGAGGGATAGCATTGGGAGATATACCTAATGCAAGATGACGAGTTAGTGGGTGCAGCGCACCAGCATGGCACATGTATACATATGTAACTAACCTGCACAATGTGCACATGTACCCTAAAACTTAAAGTATAATTAAAATAATAATAATAATAAAAAGAAAAAAAATTTCTGTAGCATTGTTTACAATGTACTCTTTTTGATTTCTGATTTTATTTATTTGAATCCTCTCTTTCTTCATAGTTCCAGGTGTTTGTGGACTTTATCTTTTCAATAAATCATCTCTTTGTTTCCTTAATTTTTTTCTATTGTTTTTCGTCTTCTATTTATTTCTGCTCTCATCTTTGTTATTTTCTTCCTCCTGTTAATTTTGGGCTTTGTTTGTTATTTTCTAGTCCTTTTAGGTATAAAGTTAGGTTATTAACATTTTTTTTCCTTGTTTAATATTGGTGTTTACCACTATAAACTTCTCTCTTGGCACTTCTTTGCATCTAATAAGTTTTGTTGAGTTGTATTTTTGTTTTCTTTTCTCTCAAGATAATTTCTAACTTTCCTTTGGGTTTTTTCTTTGATTTAATGGTTGTTCAAGAATGTGCTGTATAATTTTCACATATTTGTGAATTTTTCCATTTCTCTTTTGTTATTGATTGCTAGTTAGATTCCCCTGGGGTCAGAAAAGGTATTTGGAATGATCTTAATATTTTTAAATTTGTTGAGACTTGTTTTGTGACCAAGAATGTAATCTTCCCTGGAGAGTGTATAGGATGCACTTGAGAAGAATGTGTATCTTATTGCTGATTGGTAGTGTCTTAGTCCAGTCAGGTGGCTATAACAAAATACCATAGACTAGATGGTTTGCAGACAACCGAAATTTGTTTCTAACAGTTCTGCAGGCTGGGACATCCAAAATCAAGGCACTAGCTGATTCAGTGTCTGGTGAGAGCCTGCTTCCTTGTTCACATATACCTGTCCTTTCACTGTGTCCTTACATGGCAGAAGGGGTGAGAATGTATTTTATAAGGGCACTAATGCCATTCTTGCTGGCTCCAACCTCATCACCTAATCACCTCACAAAGGCTCCACCTCCAAATATCTTCACATGGGAATTAGGTTTCGATAATGAATTTTGGGGGGACACAAACATTCAGTCCATAGCAGGTGGAAGGAATGTTCTGTACATGTCTGTTAGGTCCATTTGACCTATAAAGTTGCAGTCTGCCATTTCCTTATTAATTTTATGTCTGGTTGTTTTTTCTATTATTTAAACTGGGATATTGAAGTCCTCTATGTATTCCTTCTTTTCAGATCTATAAATGTTTGATATAAACACATGTGCATGCACACACACATATATACTCAAATTGTTACTCTGATATTGGATGCACATATGTTTGTAATTGTTATATATTCCTTTTGAATCAATTCTTTATCATATTGTTACTCTGATATTGGATGCATATATATTTGTAATTGTTATATATTCCTATTGAATCAATTCTTTATCACTATGTAATAACCTTTTTATCTTTTCTGACAGTTTTCAACTTATAACCTATTTTATCTAATGTAAGTATAACAACTCCTGCTCTCTTTTGGTTACTGTTTGCATGGAATGTCTTCTTCTGTCCTCTTACTTTCAGCCTATATGTGTTCTTAAATCTAAAGGAGTCTTTTGTCAACAGCACATAGACAGGTTTTGGGTTTGTTTTTTCACATTAAGCCATTCTATATCTTTGGATTTGTGCATTTAATGCATTTACATTTAAAGTAGCTATCGATAGATAGGGACTTATTATTGCCACTTTGTTAATTGTTTTCTGTGTGTTTTGTAATCATTTTCGTCTAATCTTCCTCTCTTGAAATCTTACTTTATGATTAGTGAATTTTTGTAGTGATATT
The DNA here is from genome assembly GCF_000001405.40 of Homo sapiens. Lineage (NCBI taxonomy): Eukaryota > Metazoa > Chordata > Mammalia > Primates > Hominidae > Homo > Homo sapiens. Next base: position 55,584,300 of record NC_000023.11, on the reverse strand, counting down.
CTTTGAATTGTTTTGTATTTTTTTTTGTATCTACTATCGGTTTTTTTCTTTGTAGTTATCATGAGACTACACAAAATTTCATTTAGTTGTAAAAATCTATTTTATGCTGATAATAACTAAACTTTAATTGCATGTGAAAACGCTATACTTTTTATTCTCTCCTGTACCCAAATGTTATGTTATTGAAGCCAAAATTTAATTATTTTTATATTGTGTATCCATTAACAAACTTTTATGGTTATATTCTAGGATTTAATGTGTTTTATGCACTACTGCTACAGTGAAATGATTATGTATTTGTATATTTAGCTTTACTAGTGAGACTTATATTTTCATATGCTTTCAACAAGTATCTGTTTAGCTTTTTTTTTTTTTTTTTTTTTTGAGATGGAATCTCACTCGGTCACCCAGGCTGGAGTGCGGTAGCACGATCTTGGCAGGCTTGGCTAATTTTTGTACTTTTAGTAGAGATGGGTTTTTGCCATGTTGGCCAGGCTGGTCTCGAACTCCTGACCTCAAGTGATCCACCCACCTTGGCCTCCCATAGTGCTGGGATTACAAGCATGAGCCACCGCACCCAGCCCCTTTATCACTTCTTGTAAGGAAGTGCTATTGCTGACAAACCCCCTCAGTTTCTATTTCTGTTTTTCTCAGAAAGTGTTTCCTCTCCTTTTTTTTTTTTTTTTTTTGAGATGGTGTCTGTCACCCAGGCTGGAGTGCAGTGGTGCAATCTCGGCTCACTGCAACCTCCACCTCCTGAGTTTAAGCGATTCTCCTGCCTCAGCCTTCTGAGTAGCTGGGATTACAGGCATGTGCCACTGTGCCCAGCTAATTTTTGTATTTTTAGTAGAGATGGGGTTTTGCCATGTTGGCCAGGCTGGTCTCGAACTCCTGAACTCAGGTGACCTGCCCACCTCTGCCTCCTAAAGTGCTAGGATTACAGATGTTAGCCACTGCACCCAGCCTCTCCTTCATTTTTAAATTTCTTTCAGCACTTTTAATATAGCATCACACTGTTTCCTGGCCTGAAAGGTTTTTGCTGAGAAATCCACTCAATTGTATGGACATTTTCTTATTTGCTGAGAAATCCACTCAATTGTATGGACATTTTCTTATTTGCTGAGAAATCCACTCAATTGTGTGGACATTCTCTTATATGTGATGACTCATGTTTCTTTTGCTGTTTTCAAAATTCTCTCCTTATCTTTGACTTTTGATAATTTAATTATAATATCTATCTCCATAGACCTCTTTACATTCAACATATTTGGAGTCCTTTGGACTTCATGAATTTGGATGTCCATTTGCCTCACCATAAGTGGGAAGTTTTCAGCCATTATTTCTTTAAATAAACTATCTGCCCTTTCTCTTTCTCTTACCCTTCTTTGAGTTCCATAATGTGTATATTTATTCTTCTGATGATGTCCCATATATCCCATAGTCTTTCTTTACTCTTTTTTTTTCTTTAAAGGCTAGTCAAGTGAAGCACTGGGAGTACAGAAAGAGCAAAGAAATCTGTAATTGGATGTGATCAATTAGTTGTAAGCATCACTGCACTCAAACCAGCCTACTAATTTTAATTGTATTTTTATATTGTTTCTTTGATTGGATAATTTCAAATAACCTGTTTTTGAATTCGCTGATTCTTTCTTCTGATTGATTGAGCTTGCTGTTGAAGCTCTCTATTGAATTTTTCAGTTCAGACACTGTATTCTTCAGCTCCAGGATATGTGTTTGGTTCCTTTTATAATTTCTATCTCTTTGTTGAGCATCTGATATTATTTATTTATTATTTTTTCTGATTTTTGTTTCATTTTCTATCTTTGTTTTCTTGTAGCTTGCTGAGCATCTTTAACATGATTATTTTGAATTATTTGTGGCCAGTTCATAGACCTCCATTTTTTAAATTATAGATTTAAGGAATACAAGTGCAGTTTTGTTACATGAATATATTGCATAGTGGTGAAGTCTGAGCTCTTAGTGAAGCCATCAACCCAATAGTATACATTGCATCCATTAAGTAATTTTTCATCCCTCACCCTCCTTCAACACTTCCACCCTCCTGAGCCTCCAATATCTATTATTCCACTTTCTATATTCCTGTGTAGGCATCACTTAGCTCCCATTTATAAGTGACAACATGTGGTATTTGACTTTCTGTTTCTGAGTAATTTCACTTAAGACAATGGTCTCTAGTTCCATCCACACTACTGCAAGACATGATTTAATTTTTTTTAAGTAAGTTGTATTCCATGGGAGATATATATATATATATATTTTTCTTTATCCACTCATTCATTGATGAACATTTAGGTTGATTCCATATCTTTGCTACTGTGAATAGTGTGGCAATAAACATATAAGTGCAGTTATCATTTTGGTATAATAATTTATTTTCTTTCAGATACATACCCAGTAATGAGATTGTTGGATCAAATTGTAGTTCTATTTTTAGTTCTTTAAGAAATCTCCACACTGATTTCTATTGAGGTTTTAATAATTTACATTCCCATTAACAGTATATAAGTGTTTCCTTTTCTCCACATCCTCACCAATATATGTTTTTTTTTAACTTTTTAATAATAGCCATTATTCTGACTGGTGTGAGATGATATCTCATTGTGGTTTTAATTTGCATTTCCCTGATGATTAGTGATGTTGAGCATTTTTTCCTATGCTTATTGGTAATTTCTATGTCTTCTTTTGGAAAATATCTACTCATGTCTTTTGCCCACTATTTAATGGGGTATTTATTGTTTTCTTATTGAAATGTTTGAGTTCCTCATAGATTCTGAATGTTAGTCCTTTGTCAGTTGCATAATTTGCATATATTTTCTCTCATACATCAGATTGTCCATTCATTCTGTTGATGATTTATTTTGCTGTGCAGAAGCTTTTAGTTTAATTAACTCCCATTTGCCTACTTTTGTTTTTGTTCCTATGATTTAGAGGTCTCAGTCATAAATACTTTGCCAAGGCTAATGTCCGGAAGAGTGTTTTCCTAGGTTTTTTCTAGTATTTTAATAGTTTCCAGTCTTACCTTTAAATCTTTAATCCACCTTGAGTTGATTTCTGCGTATGGTGAAAGATAGGGATCCAGTTTCATTCTTCTGCACATGGCAATCCATTTATCCCAGAACCATTTATTGAATAGGGAGTCCTTTCTCCAGTGTATGTTTTTGTTGACTTTGTTAAAAATCAATTGGCATTAGGTATGTTATGTGGCTTTATTTTTGAGCTTATATACATTGAACTATATTTATATTTTTATGTGAGTATTATGTTGTTTTTGTTACTATAGGCTTGCAGTATAATTTGAAGTCAGGTAATGTGATGCCTCCAGCTTTGTTCTTTTTGTTTAGAATTGATTTGGCTATTTAGGCTCTTTCTTGGTTCCATATAGATTTTAGGATTATTTTTTCTAATTTCTGTGAAAAATGATGGTATTTTGGTAAGATTTGCATTGTATCTGTAGATTGCATTGGGTAGTATGGTCATTTTAATGATTTTGATTATTCCAATTCATGAGCATGAGATGTTTTTCTATTTGCTTGTGTCATCTATGATTTTTATCATGAGTGTTTTGTAGGTTTTCTTGTAGATATCTTTCACCTGCTTGATTAAATATACTCCCAGTTATTTTTTTTTTAGCTATTGTAGTTCAGATTTACTTCTTGATTTGGTTTCCAGATTGATTGTTATTGCTATATAGAAATGCAATTGATTTTTGTATATTCATTATGTATCCTGAAACTTTACTGAATTTATTTATCAAATCTAGGAGTCTGGATAAAGTCTTAAGGGATTTCTAGGTATAAGATTATATTATTAATATCACCAAACAGAGGTAATTTACTTGCTCTTTTCTAATTCATGCCTTCTGTCCTCTAAGGCTTCTGCTGAGAAATCACCTAATAATTTCATTTAGGGTCTTTGCTATGTATGAGTATCTTTTGTTGCTTTCAACATTCTCTCTCTTTATCTTTCGACAATTTGATTGTAATATGTCTCAATGTGGGTCTTTTTGGGTTTTTCCTTTTTGGAGTTTGTTGAGCTTCTTGGATTTGATTATTCATGTTCTTCCTCAAATATAGGAAATTCTCTGCCATTATTTTTTTATATAGCCTTTATCTCTTTTTCTCTCCTTTTGAACTACCACAATGTATATACTGGTCCACTTGATCATGTCTCATAACTTCCTTAGGCTCTATTCACTTTCTCCTGTCTTTTTTCTTTCTGCTCCTTAGACTTGATAATTTCCAATGTCTTCTCTTCAAGTTCACCAATTCTTTCTTCTGCATACTCAAATTTGCTGTTGAACCCCTTAGCAAATATTTCAATCAATATGGTCATTATATTTTCCAATTCCAGAATTTTTATTTTTTCTTTTTTAAAAAATAATTTATTTCTCTTTGTTGATATTCTTGTTTTTTATATGTTGCTTTCCTGAAAGCTTTTGTTTTTTATCTGTTTTCCTTCAGTTCTTTGAGCATATTTATGACAGTTTTAAAGTCTTTTGACTAGCTTTATGCCTGTGCTTCCTCAGGGATTGCTTTTGTCATTTCATTTTTATCCTTTGAATTGGTTATGTCCTTTCCTGTTTCATTGTATACATCATGAATTTTTGTTGTTGAAAATTGCACACTAAAAAAATGTAGGGGAGGTGGTGGGAAGAGATTGGTCAACAGGTATGAAGCTACAGTTAGAAGGAATAAGTTCTGGTGTTCTATTACATAGTAGTATGATTAGAGTTAACAATAACGCATTGTATATTTCAAAATAATTAGAAAATAGGTCTTTGAACATTCTCATTACAAAGAAATAATAAATGTTTAAGGTGATGGATAATGGTAATTACTGTGATTTTATCATTACATAATATATACATGTATCAAAACATCATGTTGTAATACATAAATATGTGCAATTATTATGTGTCAATTATAATTTTTTAAAGAGTCACCTCTCCCACTTTTCACAATTGGCTCTGTGCCAAAATAGTCCTTCACTGATTAGCTAACCATGTTCTGTTTGCAACAGCCTGAGGGGAAAGCCTATGATCTTCTCAGTCTGGATATTTTATATAAATGTAATACAATGTGTGATCTTTATGTCTGATTCTTCCACAAAGCATATTTTCTTTTTAAAAATTTTCCTTTAGGTTCAGAGGTACTTGTGCATATTTGTTATATAGGTAAGTTGCATGCCATGAGGTTTGGTGTGCAGATTATTTTGCCATCCAAGTAATAAGCATAGTACCTAATAAGGTAGTTTTTCTATCCTCACCTTCCTTCTTTCTTCCATCCTCAAGTAGGCCCTGCTGTCTGTTGTTCCATTATTTGTTTCCATATGTACTCACATGTTTAGTTCCCACTTATAGGTGGGAACATGTGGTATTTGGTTTTCTGTTCCTGCATTAGTTTGCTTAGGATAATGGCCTCCAGCACCATCCATGTTGCTGCAAAGGACATGATCTCATTCTTCTTTTATGACTGCATAGTATTCCATGGTGTATATGTACCACATTTTCTTTATCCAGTCTACCACTGATGGCCATTTAGATTGATTCCACATCTTTGCTATTGTGAATAGTACTGTGATGAACATACGCATGCATCTATCTGTATGGTAGAATGATTTATATTCCTTTGGCTATAATCCCAATAATGGGATTGCTGGGTGGAATGGTAATTCTACTTTGAGCTCTTTGAGAAATTGCCAAACTGCTTCCCACAATGGCTGAACTAATTTACATTCTCAACAGCAGTGTATAAGTATTCTTTTTTCTCAGCAACCTCGCCAGCATTGCTTTCTAATAATAGCCATTCTTACTGATGTGAGATGGTATCTCATGGTGATTTTGATTTGCATTCTGTAATGATTAGTGATGTTGAGCACTTTTTCATATGCTTGTTAGTCATGTGTGTGTCTTTTTTAAAAAATTGTGTATTTATGTTCTTTGCCCATTGTTAATGGGATTGTTTGTTTGTTGCTTGTTGATTTGTTGCAGTCATTTATAGATTCTGGACATTGACTTTTGTTGGATGTGTAGTTTGAAAATATTTTCTCCTATTCTGTAGGTTGCCTGTTAATTCTGTAGGTTGCCTGTTAACTCTGTTGCTAGTTTCTTTTGCTATGCAGAAGCTCTTTAGTTTAATTAGGCCCTATTTGTCTAACGTTGTTTATGTTGTAATTGCTTTTGGCATCTTCATCATGAAATCTTTGCCGGGTCCTATGTCCAGAATGGCATTTCCTAGGTTGTCTTCCAGGTTTTTATAGTTTTAGATTTTACATTTAGGTCTTTAATCCATGTTGAGTTGATTTTTGTGTATGGTATAAGGAACAGGTCCTGTTTCAATCTTCTGCATATTGCTAGCCAGCTATCCCAGCACCATTTATTGAATAGGGAGTCCTTCCCCCATTTCTTGTTTTTGTTTACTTTTTCAAAGACCAGATGATTATGGGTGTGTGGCATTATTTCTGGGCTATCTATTCTGTTCCATTGGTCTATGTCTCTGTTTCTGTACCCATACCGTGCTGTTTTGTTCATAAAAGCCTTATAGTATATTTTGAAGTCTGGTAACATAATGCCTCCAGCTTTGTTCTTTTTGCATTTCACTTAGGATATCTTCGGTTCATCCATGTTTTAACATATATTAGTACTTCATTGCTTTTTATGGCTGAATAATATTCCAGTGAATGGGCATATTGTAATATATTGTGCTTATTCACTGTTCCAGTGGTGGACATTTAGACTGTTTTCACCTTTGGACTATTGTGAATATTACTGCTATGAGCATTCGTGTACAAGCTTTTGTTTGAACACCAGTTTTCAATTCTCTCAAAAGTATATCTAGGATTGGAATTACTGGGAAACAAGGAGATTCTAAGTTTAACTTATTGAGGAAGAGTTGTTTACACAGTGGCTGCATCATTTTACACTTTAACCAGTAATATAGAAGGGTTCCAATCTCTCCACATCTTTACCATTGCTTATTTTCTGATTTTTAAAATTATAGCCAGCTTAGTGGCTATGAGGTAGTAATTCATTATGGTTTTGATTTGTATTTTTCTTAATGAATAATGATGGTGAGCATCTTTTCGTGTATGTATTTGCCATTTATATATCTTCTTTGGGTAAAAGTCTGCTGAAATCCTTTGCTCCATTTTTTAATAGAGTTGATGTTTTTTGTTTTGTTTTGTTTTTGCTAAGTTGAAGGAGATCTTTATAAAGTCTGGTTATTTGACACTTAACCACATATATGACTTGCAAATATTTTCTGTAATTGTGTGGTTTTTCTTTTAAATTTATTGATAAAATATTTTTCATGTGCAAAAGTTGAAGGTTTGAAGTCCAATTTGTCTATTTTTTGTTGTTTGTGTTTTTAGTGTCATATTTAAGAATCCATTATTAAATCCAAAGTCATACAAAATAGACCCTTAGGTTTTCTTTTAATAGTTTTATATTTCTGTCTCTTATATTGAGAACTCTGATCAACTTTGACTTAATTTTTGTATATATTTTGTATATGGTGTGAGGTAACGGTCCAACTGCATTGTAAACAGTTTTGCATGTGGCTATGCAATTGTCCCAACATCATTTGTTGAAGTGATTCTAGTTTCCCCATTGAATGTTTTTGGCAGCCCTTTCAAAAATCAATTGATCAAAGATTTATCGGTTTATTTCTGGAATCTCAATTGTATCCCATTAATTTGTATTTTTATCTTTACATTAGTACCATGTTGTTTTTGATTGCTGTAACTTTGTAGTAAGTTTTGAACCTAAAATTTTGAGTCCTTCAATTTTCTAATTTTTTTGGCTATTCAGTGTCTCTTGAAATGCCATTTGACTTTTAGAAATTTTATTTTTATTTCAACAATGAATCCACTAGAATTTTGATAGGGATTGCATTGAATATATAGATTTCTTTGGGGAGTATTGCTACCTTTTAAAAAAAGTTATTTATTTTTGAATTATTTTAATTACAAAATTATATGTATTTATGGTGTACAACATGGTGTTTTGGAATATACATTGTGGAATGGCTAAATCAAGCTAATTAATATATGCATTACCTCATATATTTATCATTTTTGTGGTTAGAACACTTGACATCTCTTTTAGCAGTTTTCTAGTGTACAGTGCATTCTTTTTAATCATTGCCATCATGTTGTACAATTGATCTCTTGAACTAATTCCTCCTGTCTATCTGAAATTGTGTATCCTTTAACCAACATATCCCCAGTCCTCTCTTCCCCTAGCCCTTGGTAACCCTCATGCTACTCTCTGCTTGTATACGTTTGACTTCATTAGATAGATTCCACATATAAATCAAATCATTTGGTATTTGTTTTTCTTGCCTGGCTTATTTTACATCCAGGTTCATTTATATCATTGCAAATGACAGAATTTTCTTCTGTTTTGTCTATGTACCACATTTCTTTATCCAAGTATTGCCATCTTAACAATATTTAGTCTTCCCATCCATAAATACGTGTTATATTTCCATTTGTCATTTGCTTAGGTCATCTTTAATTTCTTTCAGCATATCATGTAGTTTTCAGTGTAAAAATCTTGCATCTCCTTGGTTAAATTTATTCCTAGGTATTTTATTCTTTTTGATACTATCATAAATGGAATTGTTTCTTAATTTTTTTTCAGATTGACAATTTCTAGGATACAGAAATAAAACAGATTTTTGTCTGTTCATCTCATATCTTGCAACTTTGCAGAATTCATTGATGGGTTCCAATCATTTTTCATGGGATTTTTAGTATTTTTATATATAAAGTCATGCAATTTGAAAGTAGACATATTTTTATTTTTTTCTTTTCAGTTTAGATGGTTTTATTTTTCTTCTTTAATTGATTTTGCTGGAACTTACAGTACAATGTCCAATGGAAGGGATGAATGTGTGCACCTTTATTTTGTTCCTGATTTTATGGGGAGAGCTTTCAGTTTTTCATCACTGAAATTTTAATAAATGCTTTCCCATGTTGAGGAAATTCTCTTCTATTCCTAGGTTGTTAAGGGTTTTTATAATGGAAGCATGTTCAAATTAGTCAAATGCTTTTTCTGAATCGGTTGAAATGATCATGTGATTTTTTTCTCCCTCATTTTGCTAATGTGGTGTATTACATTGACTGCTTTCCATATATTGAAACACCCTTGCATTTCTGGAACAAATCTCACTTGGCAATGGTTAATTATTATTTTAATTTGTTTCTGGATTTTATTTGCTAATATTTTGCTGAAGATTTTTGCACATGTATTCATAAGTGTTATTTGTCTGTGGCTCTCTTTTCTTGTCATATATTTGGTTTGGTATCAGAGTAATGCTGGCTTCATAGACTAAATTAAGAAGTATTCATTCCTTTTCATTTCTTTGAAGCATTTTAGAAGGATCGGTAATATTTCTTTTTAAAGAGTTTGATAGAATTTACTAGTGAAGCCATGTGATCCTGGGCTTTTCTTTGTTTGAAAGTTGTTGAGGGCTTATTCGGTCTCCTTACTAATAATAGGTCTATTCGGATTTTCTATTTATCATTGTGTTCAGTTGTGATAGTTGTGTGTATCTTTGGAATTTGTCCACTTTATCAAGTTATCTAATTTTTTGGTGTACAAGTCATAATCATCTTGATAATGCTATTTATTTATATAAGGTTGGTAGTAATATCTATATCTTCATTTCTTACATTAAAACTTGAGTCCTTTTTTGCCTTAATCAGTCTAGCTTAAGGTTTACCAATTTGTTGATCTTTTCAAAGAATGAAGCTTTGGTTTCAGGTTTTTCTCTGTGGTTGTTCTATTTTCTTTTACATTTCTCTCATCTTTATTATTTCCTCCTTATACTAGCTAGTATACTAGCTCATTATCTATTTTTTCTATAGTTTTTAGTTGTAAATGTAGTTTATTCACTTGTAACCTCTCTTTTCTTTTATTGTAAACACTTAAAACTATAAATTTTTCTCTGAGCACTCCTTCTGCCATATCCTATTTGCCTTACTATGTTGTGTTTTCATTTTCATTCATCTCAAAGTATTTTCTAATTTCCCTTGTCATTTCTTTTTTGATCCATTGGTTGCTTACTTGTATCTTAAGTTCTAAAAATTTGGGGGAATTTCCAGCTTTTCTTCTGTTATCTATAGATGGTTTTATTCAGAGAAAACACTTTGTAAGGTTTCCATCTTTTGAAATTTATTGAGACTTGATTTGGTGGATTTTTTTAGTTACCATTTTGATTCTCTTCTTATTTTCTTTTTGTATATTTTCTAGTCATTTTCTTAGAACCAATGTGGGGATGAAAACTCACATCTTAAATTTATAACAATCTAGTTTCAATTGATACCAGCTTACCTTCAGCAGTATACAAAAATTCTCTGTCTATAAATCTCTAGCCCTCCCCCTTTATGTTATTGTCACAAATTACATATTTATACATTGCATGCCCATTAACATTTGTTAATAATATTGTTTTATGGACTTATCCTTTCTATCATATAGGAATAAAGAGACATTGCAAACACAAAATGAAACAAGATTGGCTTTTGTATTTGCTGCTGTATTTTTATTTAATGATATACTTTCTTGCATCATATGGCTTTGAGTTAACTGTCTATCATCCTTCATTTCAGCCTAAGAGACTACTTTTGTATTTCTTGTAAGGCAGGTCTACCAGTGACAAACTCCCTCAGCTTTTGTTTGTGTAGGAATAACTTAATTTCTTCTGTATTTTTGAGGAAGTGTTTTACCAGGCATAGAATTCTTGATTGACAGGGCTTTTTCTTTCAGCACTTTAAATATTATCTGCTGCCTCTAGACTCCACAGATTATGATAATAAATTGGCTTTTAATGTTATTGAGGATACCTTATACAATACAATTCATTTCTCTCTTGCTGCATTTAAGATATTTTATCTCTGGTTTGATAATTTAATTATAACGTGTTTTAGTGTGAGCTGCTTTAATATGTGCTGCTTTGAATCCAATGGATCTCAATGGGTTCTACTTGGAACCACTGAGATTCTTGGTTGTGTAGATTCATGTCTGTTAACAAATTTTCAAAGTTTTTTGACTTTATTTCTTCTTGTCTCTGCACTCTTACTTCTTTTTTTCCTTCTGGGGACACACTTATGGGTATGTTGGTAGGATCAGTGGTGTACCATATGTACCTTAGAATCTTTATTTTTCTTCATTATTTTTCTTTCTGCATCTCAGATTACATAATTTCAATTGACCCATTTGTATGTTTGCTGATTGTTTATCTTCCTTGCTCAAGTCGTATGTGGAACCCTTCTAGTGATTTTTCTAAAAGTATCAGTTATTATACCTTTTAGCTCCAAAATTTCGATTTGGTTTCTTTTAAATAATTGATTTCCCTTTATTGATATTCTTTCTGTAGTGACATACCATTCTCCTGGATTACATTACATATTTTTGCCAGATTCTCTTGAGCTCTTTGAACATATTAAAAGCCATTTATTTAAAGTCCTTTTCTAGTAAACTGAATGTCTGGTCTTCCTAGGTGACAGTTTCTGTTAATTTTATTTTTTTATTTGAAAGGGCCATGATTTCTTGTCTCTATTTCTATCATGTAATTTACTTTCTTCTTTTTTTAAAAAGAATTATTTTTATTTTAAGTTCTGGGGTACAGGTGCAGGATGGGCAGGTGTATTACATAGATAAACATATGTCATGGTCATTTACTGCACCTATCAACCCATCATCTAGGTAGTAAGCCCAGGATGCATTAGCTATTTTTCCTAATGCTCTCCTTCCCCCACCACCCCCCGCGACATGCCCCAATGTGTATTGTTCCCATCCCTGTGTCCATGTGTTCTCATTGTTCAGCTCCTGCTTATAAGTGGGAACATGTGGTTTTTGCCTTTCTGTTCCTGCGGTAGTTTGCTGAGGATAATGGCTTCTAGCTCCATCAATGTCCCAGCAAAGGACATGATCTCGTTCCTTTTGATGGCTACATAGTATCCCATCATGTATATGTACCACATTTTTTAATCCAGTCTATCATTGATGGAGATTTGGGTTGATACCATGTCTTTGCTATTGTGAATAGTGATGCAATGAACATACATGTGCATGTATCTTTGTAATAGGATGGTTTATATTCCTTTGGGTATATACCAAGTAATGGAATTGCTGGGTCAAATGGTATTTCTGGTTCTAAATCTTTGAGGAATTGCTACACTGTCTTCCACATGGTTCAACTAATTCACATTTCCACCAGCAGTGTAAAAGCATTCCTATTTCTCCGCAACCTCGCCAGCATCTGTTGTTTCTTGACTTTTTAATAATCACCATTTTGACTGGCATGAGATGGTATTTCATTGTGGTTTTGATTTGCATTTCTCTAATGATCAGTGATGTTGAGCTTCTTTTCATATGTTTGTTGACTGCATGGATTTGAGAAGTGTCTGTTCATGTCCTTTGCACACTTTTTCATGGGGTTGTTTTGTTTTTCTCCTATAAATTTGTTTAAGTTCCTTGTAGAGTCTGGATATTAGAACCTTGTCACGTGGGTAGATGGCAAAAATTTTCTGCCATTCTGTAGGTTGCCTGTTCAATCTAATGATAAGTTTCTTTTGCAGTACAGAAGCTATTTAGTTGAATGAGATCCCATTTGTCAAGTTTTGCTTTTGTTGCAATTGCTTTTGGCAATTTCATCATGAAATCTTTGCCTGTGCCTATGTCCTGAATGGCATTGCCTATATTTTCTTTTAGGGTTTTTATAGCTTTGGGTTTTATATTTACATCTTTCATTCATCTTGAGTTAATTTTTGTAAAAGGAGTAAGGAAGGGGTACAGTTTCAATTTTCTGCATATGGCTAGCCAATTCTCCCAGCACCATTTATTAAACAGGGAATCCCTTCCTCATTGCTTGTTTTTGTCAGGATTGTCAAAGATCAGATGGTTGTAAATGTGCAGTCTTATTTCTGAGTTCTCTATTCTATTCCATTGGTGTATGTGTTTTTCTACCAGTACCATGCTGTTTTGGTTACTGTAGCCTTGTAGTATAGTTTGAAGTCTGGTGACGTGATGCCTCCATCTTTGTTCTTTTTGCTCAGAGTTGTCTTGGCTATATGAGCTCTTTTTTGGTTTCATATGAATTTTAAAATAGTTTCTTCTAATTCTGTGAAGAATGTCAATGGTAGTTTAATGGGAGTAGCATTGAATCTATAGATTGCTTTGGGCAGTATGGCCATTTTCATGATATTGATTCTTCCTATCCATGAGCATGGAATGTTTCTCCATTTGTTTTTCTGATTTCCTTGAGCAGTAGTTTTTACTTCTCCTTGAAGAGGTCCTTCACTTCCCTTGTTAGTTGTATTCTTAGGTATTGCATTCCCTTTGTAGCAGTTGTGAATGGGAGTTTATTCATGATTTGGCTCTCTACTTGTCTGTTGTTGGTGTATAGGAATGCTTGTGACTTCTGCATATTGCTTTTGTATCCTGAGACTTTCCTGAAGTTGGTTATTAGCTTAAGAAGCTTTGGGCTGAGATAAAGAAGTCTTCTAGACATAGGATCATGTCATCTGCAAACAAAGACAATTTGACATCCTCTTTTCCTATTTGAATACCCTTCATTTCTTTCTCTTGCCTGATTGCCCTGGCCTGAACTTTCAATACTATGTGAATAAGAGTGGTAAGAGGGTGTATCCTTGTCTTGTGCTGGTTTTCAAAGGGAATGCTTCCAGCTTTTGCCTAATTCATCATAATGTTGGCTGTGGGTTTGTCATAAATAGCTCTTATTATTTTGATCTATGTTCCTTCAATACCCGCTTTATTGACAGTTTTTCAGTTTTTAACATGAAGCGATGTTGAATTTTATCAAAGGCCTTTTCTGCATCTATTGAGATAATCATGTGGCTTTAGTTTTTAGTTCTGTTTATGTGATAAATTGTGTTTATTGATTTGTGTATGTTGAGCCAGCCTTGCATCCTGGGGATGAAGCCAATTGATTATGGAGGATAAGCTTTTTGATGTGTTGCTGTATTCGGTTTGCCAATATTTTACTGAGAAGTTTTGCATCAACATTCATCAGGGATATTGGCCTGAAGTTTCCTTTTTTTCGTTGTATCTCTGTCAGGTTTTGGTATTGGGGTGATGCTGGCCTCATAAAATGAGTTAGTGGGGAGTCCTTTCTTTTCAAGTGGAATAGTTTCAGAAGAAAGGGTATCAGCTTCTCTTTGTACCTCTGGCAGAATTCAGCTGTAAATCCATCTGGTCCTGGGCTCTTTTTGATTGGTAGGCTATTAATTACTGTCTCAATTTCAGAACTTGTTATTGGTCTATTTAGGGATTCTACTTCTTCCTGGTTCAGTAATTGGGAGGGTGTATGTGTCCAGGAATTTGTCCATTTCTTTTAGATTTTCTAGTTTATTTGCATAGAGGTGTTTATAGTATTCTCTGATGGTTATTTGTGTTTCTGTGGGGTCAGTGGTAATATCCCCTTTACCATTTTTTATTGTGTCCATTTGATTTTTCTCTCTTTTATTCTTCGTTAGTCTAGCTAGTGGTCTATTTTATTAATTTTTTCAAAAAACCAGCTCCTGGATTTGTTGATTTTTTGAAGGGTTTTTCATGTCTCTGTCTCCTTCAGTTTCACTCTGAGTTTGGTTATTTCTTGTCTTCTGCTACCTTTGGGGTTTGTTTTCTCTTGGTTCTCTAGTTCTTTTAGTTGAGATGTTAGGTTGTTACATAGATCTATTGAGTTCTTTGATGTGGGCATTTAGTCCTATAAATTTCCCTCCTAACACTGCTTTAGCTGCATTTCAGAGATTCTGGTACCTTGTATCTTTGTTCTCATTTTTTTCAAAGAACTTCTTGATTTCTGCCTTAATTTCATTATTTACACAGGAGTCATTTAAGAGCAGGTTGTTCAATTTCTATGTAGTTCTGTGGTTTGGGGTGAGTTTCTTGGTCTTGAGTTCTAATTTGATTGTGCTGTGGTCTGAGAGCCTATTCATTATGATTTTGGGTTTTTTTTTTGCATTTGCTTAGGAGTGATTTACTTCCAATTATGTGGTCAATTTTAGAGTAAGTTCCATGTGATGCCAAGAATGTATATTCTGTTGTTTTAGGGTGGAGACTTCTATAGATACTTATCAGGTTCACTTGATCCGGAGTTGAATTCAAGTCCTGAATATCTTTGTTAATTTTCTGTCTCATTGATCTCTCTGATATTGACAACGGGAAGTTAAAGTCTTCCATTATTATTGTGTGGGAGTCTACGCCTCTTTGTATGTTTCTAAGAGCTTGTTTTATGAATCTGGGTTCTCTGGATTGGATGTGTATATATTTAGGATAGTTAGTTCTTCTTTTTGAATTGACCCCTTTACTTTATGTAATGCCCTTCTTTGTCCTTTTTGATGTTTGTTGATTTAAAGTCTGTTTTTTCAGAAACTAGGACTGCAACCCCTGCTTTTTTCTGTTTTCCATTTGCTTGGTAAATTTTCTTCTATCCCTTTATTTTGAGTGTATGTCTGTCTTTGCAGGTGAGATGGGTGTCTTGAATACAACACAGCAATGGATCTTGACTGTTTATCCAGATTGCCATTCTGTGTCTTTTAATTGAGGCATTTCACCCATTTACATTTAAGGTTAATAATGTTATGTGTGTATTTGTTCCTGTCATCATGATGCTAGCTGGTGATTTTGCACACTTGTTTATATAGTTGCTATACAGTGTCATTGTTCTGTGTACTTCAGTAGTGTTTTTTGTTTGTTTGTTTGTTTGTTTTTTGAGATGGAGTTTCGCTCTTGTTGCCCAGGCTGGAGTGCAATGTCGTGATCTCAGCTCATTGCAATCTCTGCCTTCTGGGTTCAAGCAATTCTGCTGCCTCAGCCTCCCAAGTAGCTGAGATTACAGGTGCCTGCTACCAGGCCCAACTAATTTTTGTATTTTTAGTAGAGATGGGGTTTCACCATGTTGGCCATGCTGGTCTCGAACTCTTGACCTCAGGTGATCCACCCACCTTGACCTCCCATAGTGCTGGGATTACAGGTGTGAGCCACTGCACCCAGCTCAGTGTGTTTTGAAGTGGCTTATAATGGTTTTTCCTTTCCATATTCAGTGCTTTTTTTTTCAGGACCTCTTGCAAGGCAGGCCTGGTGGTGATGAATTCCATCAGCATTTACTTGTTTGGAAAAGATTTTATTTCTCTTCCACTTATGAAGCTTAGTTTGGCCAGATATGAAATTCTAGGTTAGAAATTCTTTTCTTTAAGAATGTTGAATATTGGCCCCCAATCTCTTTTGACTTTTAGGGTTTCTGATGAGAGGTCTGCTGTTAGTCTTATGGGCTTCCTTTTATAGGTGATCTGGCCTTTCTCTCCAGCTGCCCTTAACATTTTTTTCTTCATTTTGACCTTGGAGAATCTGATGATTATGTGTCTTGGGGTTGATCTTCTCATGGATTATCTTACCGGAGTTCTCTGTATTTTCTGAATTTGAATGTTGGCCTGTCTTGCTAGGTTGGGGAAGTTCTCCTGGATGATATCCTGAAGTGTGTTTTTCAACTTGGGTCATTCTCTTCGTCTCTTTCAGGTACCCCAATCAGTTGTAGGTTCAGTCTTTTTACACAATTTCATAGTTCTCAGAGGTATCGTTTGTTTCTATTCATTCTTTTTTTTTAATCTTGTCTGCCTGCCTTATTTCAACGAGATAGTCTTCAAGCTCTGATATCCTTTCTTCTGCTTGGTCTTTTCAGCTATTGATATTTGTGTTTGCATTGTGATATTCTCATGTTGTGTTTGTCAGCTCTATCAGGTCATTTATGTTCCTCTCTATACTGGTTATTCTGGTTAACAGCTCCTGTAATGGTTTATCATGCTTCTTAGCTTATCTGAAATGGGTTAGAACATACTCCTTTAGCTCAGCAAAGTTTGTTATTATCCATCTTCTGAAGCCTACTTCTGTCAATTTATCCATCTCAGCCTCTGCCCAGTTTTGTGTCCTTGCTGGAAACATGTTGCAATCATCTGGAGGAGATGAGGCACTCTAACTTTTTGAGTTTTCAATGTCTTAGTATTGATTCTTTCTCATTTTCATGGGTTTATCTACCTCTGATCTTTGAGGCTGCTGACCTTTGGATAGAGTTTTTGTGGGGTTTCATTGATGTTGTTGTTGCTTTCTGTTTGTTTTTCTTTTAGCAATCAGGCCCCTCTTCCAAAGGGCTGCTGCGATTTGCTGGGGGTCCACTCCACTCCTTACTTACCTGGGTCCCTCCTGCACTTGGAGGTATCTCCAGTGGAGGCTGCAGAACAGCGACAATGTCAGCCTACTCTTTCCTCAGGGAGCTCTGTCCCAGAGGGGCACTGACCTGATGCCATTTGGAACGCTCCCATGTGAGGTTTCTGGAACCCCCTGTTGGGAGGTCTCACCCCGTCAGGAGGAACAGGATCAGGAACACACTGAAATAAGCAGTCTGGCTGCCCCTTGGTGAAGCAGGTATGCTGTGCTGGGGGGAATGTCCCTGATTCAGGCTGCCTTGACTCTCCAGAGTCAGGGGGCAGAAAAGTCTAAGACCAGTGATCCATGATACTGCAGCTGCCACTCCTCCTAGGGGCTCCTCTCAGGGAGATCAGAGTTCTGTCCATAAACTCCTGGCTGGGGATGCTGGAAATCACACAGGGAGGCCATGCTCAGTGAGGAGGAATGGGTCAGGGTCCCACTTACAGAAGTTGTCTGACCACAAACTGTCACAGCCACTGTGCTGCACTGTGGGGAATTGCTCCCAGTGCAAACTACCCAGTCTCACTGGCACTGGTGGCAAGGGAAAATGGCCGACAGGAGTTGCAGTGATGACAGCTGCCCCTCCCCCTGCAGAACTCAGTCTTCTTAGGCAGTCTCCTGACTGCTGCACTGGCGAATGGGGATTCCAAGCTGGTAGGTTTTAGCTTGTGGGTTGCATGGAATTGGGGACCGCTGAGCAAGGCTGATTGGCTCCCTGGCTTCAGCCCCCTTCCCATGGGATTGGACAGATCTCCTGCCTGACTGGAGTTCCTGGAGCGGGAGTATGCAAAAACTCCTGTGTCTCAGTGCCTGCCCCCATCTACTGCCTACCTGACCAGTTGCTGTGAGTCTGCACAGCTCTATGCTTGGGACCCAAAGCCCTGGTGGCACGGGCTCACAAGGAGATCTCTTGATCCAGAGGTTGCAAAGATCCATGGGAAAAGCATGGTTTTCAGGGCGGGGTAGCACAATCCCTCACCACCTTCCTTGGCTAGGGGAGGGAACTGCCTTCGCCCCTTGCAGCTCCAGGGGTGGGGCCCTGGCTCCACCTTGCTTTTCCTTGTTCTCTGTGGGTCACACCAGCTGACTAGTCAGTCCCAGTGAGAGAACCTGGGTACCTCAATCGAAGATGCAGAATTCACTCACTGTTTTTATTCTCCATGGGAGCTGCAGACTGGAGCTCTTTCTATTCAGCCATCTTGGCTCCTCCCCATGTCATTTATTTTGTTGCTGAAAACTAGTCATCTTGAATCATATAATGTGATAACTCTAGAAACCAAGTTATCCTCACTCTTCAGGGTTTGTTGTTGTTACTTCTTTTGGATTAGTTTTTTGTTTTTGCAGATTGGCTCTGTATTGAGGAATTTCTTCAAAACATAGCCAAGGAACTAAAAATTCTTCCTTAGCCTTCACTTCCTGCTTACAAGGAGCCTAAAATTCAGATTGAGATGTAAACTTAGGGTTTTCTCATGTATTTTCTGAGCATGCACCTATCTATAGGCATTTGCATGGCCTTCTGAATTCCGTAGGATTTGCAAAATCTTTTCCAAGCCCTTATACCCTCCTCCCTTAAGTATCTCATTCCCCAGCATCTTTTCTCCTAAGTTTTCAATCTGCCTGTTGCTTGCCCCCAGTGTTGTCCCTTAACTCAGGCAGCAGAAGTTAGTATTTACTTTTAAATGTTTTTGTAAAATGCTGTCTGGGAGGATCATCCGGCCCTGAGTTCTAAGGGAGACAAAACCAAACCAGGCCCCTGAGTTAATGCCTCACGGAGACACCAGACACATCAAAATCCACAACCATAATTCTTTGTAAATGATTGCCCCCTCTGATATCAGTAAGCCACCCCAAAAAGTGAACCACCATCATCATGGCCACTGCTTGACTGGAGAGTGGAGGGTCATCGGTAAATAATTTAAAATGCCCTAGTATTCTATTAAGAAATTTTGCAGCCTCTTTCTTCATTAAACACTCTCCTTGTTGTTGTAAGTTTTTAAAAATACATATTTTAGCGTTCTGAAAGAGTTGATTCTGATAGTTTTAGTCAGTTTAATGGTTGTTTGTATGGAATAACAGATCCCTGGAGCTCTCTGCTCCACCAGTGTCAAAGATAGCGCTCATTAATTTGTTTTTAAGAGGAGTTCACATTGTTCAAAATGAAAAAAAAGTATTTACTTCTACAGATAGATTTCTAAGCAGCTATAATGAATACTTCTTGTTGCTATTGTTGTTATTGTTTTAGGAAGTGTATGTAGTCTCTCTAAATATATGATGTCCATCAGCAGGTGGCCATGAAGTATTTGAAGCTACAGTTACAAATAGACACAGCTAAGTGATTCCTCACACTGGGCTGAGATATTATAAAACTTGGACTCATCTGACTGACTCCATGTTGAAGAGTCCCTATGCAGCACATCAGGAAAACTTATAATTGGTTGAATTTTTTGCCAAGGATTATTAAAACATCCCAGAAGCTTCCTCATAAAAGAGGAAAGAAGTTCCTCATAAAAAGGGAAAAAAAAAACTTCACAGAGTGTTATTGAAACTCTATGACTGTTGAACTATTCCCAAGTTCCAGGATACATCAGTACTAGTCAAAATGTGCTCATTGGTCCAGCTACATCATTATTACCAGAGAATAAGAAATGGAAATGTATGGGCCCCATTCCTGACCTATTCAAGAAGTATAGCAGGAATTTATGTTCTAATAAGCTCTCCAGACTACTCGTATGAACAGTAATATTTGGCAAGCATTGTAAAATACAATATTACCTACACATTCCCATTATTCAACCACCTATTGTCTCCCAAATTTCACCAAGCAGGTGATGATCTGGGCAGAAATGAGTCCTGGGATCAAATAATTAATTTCAGGTTTTTTTTGCTCTCTCTATATTTTATCAGTGGGAAAATATTGTAAAATTGTAGGATTTGGGTAGAACTTAATGTAAATAAACTTTATTTATCTCTATGTATGAATATTCACTTTGTTTCTTGGTTATTACCTATTATTGGTGTTTGTAGGTATAATTCCAAAAGTAATTACATTAGTAGGATAATAATTATTTTGAGGATATATTGGACAATTTTTCCGTTTTCTAATTTGTGATCTTCCCTTTAAAAATCCCCAAAGAAGCCACCATTCACCATAGTTTTGGCAACTGAAATGTAATGTTATTTAAAATAGCTTTTTCTAAATGATTCTAACATTATATGGTCAAGTGAGTGGTCTGATGCAGTTCTCTAATAATAGGTTTAAACCTGTAGAAACCATTATGGGATGAAAAACCTTGCAAGCAGAATTATACTAGCTTCTTTTATATTCAATCTGTCATATGCATTATATTTACATAAACATCAATATGACTCAAATGTGGAATGACTTATTTTATGATATATTCTAACAAATTATTCAATCTTTATCTGTGCATCTTACATACCCTGGGAGGAGATTTTTTCCTCTTTCACTTAGGGAGTGAAGAGTTTTCTTGAGGGGTAGGGGAAATAAAAGCATCTAAAAGGACAGATTGGATTCACCACAAAGGACAGATTAGATTCATACTCTAATAGCATGAAGAAGTGGCAAGGATGCTTAGCTGAAGCAGCAAAACTTGAGTTTGTAAAGGTAACATCTCAAAGCTGATGGAGAACCTGAATGGGTATTACATTGTCGTGGTTGTAAAGAAGCTGAGGATATGAAGACTTTTTCTGTTCCTCCATAGCAGCTATTCCCCTGTCCTTGGATACTGGTGAGTAACCAGGTAATAAAGCATAAAATTACAGCCAGGAGTATAGGTTCAATTAGTTATCTGCTTGGAAGGGGATGGCATCAAAGGAAATAGTGGCCTCAAGAGGATTAATTATAAAATGATTTAAGTTAACCTGACATGCTGAAGGGTCCTGTAACTTTGCCCTTTATATGGTTGACTATGAGTTACTTGAAGGCTATTCCCTGGGATGTGTAGTTTTCCATGATTGATGTGATGGGGGATGAGGCAGTGGGGCAGGTGCAGGACAGATTAAGAATAAGTGCAGTGATATTTTTAATGTGAATGTAAATTAGTACAGCCATTATGGATAACAGTATGGCAGTTCCTCAAAAAATTAAAAATAGAACTCTTATGTGATTCAGCAATCTTACTACTGGGTATATATCCAAAGGAAATGAAATCAATATGTTGAAGAGATATCTGTACTCCAATGCTTATTATAGCATTATTCACAACAGCCAAGATATGAAATCCACCTAAGTGTCTATCAATGAATGAATGGATAAAGAAAATGTGGTGTATATACACAATGGAATACTATTCAGCCTTTAAAAAGAATAAAATCTTGTCACTTGTGACAACGTGGATGAATCTGAAGGACATTATATTAATTAAGCCAGGCACAGAAAGATAAATACCACATGATCTAATTCGTATGTGGAATTTAAAAAAGTTGATCTCATAAAATGAGAGTAGAATGGTGATTGCCAGGAGCTGAAGAAATTACTGGGGAGAGGTTAGGGAGATGTTGGTCAAAGGATATAAAATTTTAGTGAGATACTAGATATAAGTTCAAGAAATCTCTTGTGCCACATGGTGACAATAGTTAATAACAATATATTGTGTTCTCAAATGCTAAGAGAGTAGGTGTTAGGTGTTCTCACCATAAAAATGATAACTATATGAGGTAATGCATATGTTAATTATTATATTTAGTTATTCCACCATGTATATTTACTTCAAAACATTATGTTGTACATGATAAATACATAGAATTTTATTTGTTGATTAAAAAAATTTAAAGTATAAATACAGTGAAATGGGGTACCTAATTTGCTGTAGGAAGGAGTGCACCCTTGTATTACTTATCTATGGCTGCAAAATAAATTACTCCAAAACTTAGCAGCTTAAAGCAATAAACATTTATTATTTTATAGTTACTTTGGGTCAGGTATCAATGCATGGCTTAATCGATGATTCTGCATCAAGTTTTCTTTTTCTAATTTTTTTTTAAATAGAGACAGGGTTTCACCATGTTGGCCAGGCTAATCTCGAAATCCTGGCCTCAAGTGATCCACCTGCCTCAGCATCCCAAAGTGCTGGGATTACAGGCGTGAGCCACCACATCCAGCCTGCATCTAGTTTTCATTGAATATTGGTGAATTACCAGATTTTTCAAGAAAGCATGAAGTTACAGCCAGGAGTATCCATCCAATTAGTTCATAAGACTGCAATTAAGGTGTTGGCTAGGGCTACAGTCTCATTTCAAGGTTTTGCTGGGAGAGGATCTGTTTCCAAGCTCATTCAAGTAGTGTTTGGAAAGATTCAATTTGTTGCAAGCTGTTGAGCTTAGGGCCTCAGTTCACTGCTGATCATTGGCTAGAAGCTGCTCCCATTTCCTTACAACATGCACCTCTCTATAGGGCAAAATACAACATAAAATATAGCTTCCGTCAGAATGAACAAATAAGAGAACAAGAGAAAATGAAGACAGAAGTCAGAGTGTTTTTGTTACCCAATTTTGGAATTGACATCCCATTACCTCTGCCATTAGAAGCAAGTCATTAAGTAGAGCTTATTATACTAAAAAGGATGGGGTTACATAAGACATGAATAACCAAGACAGGATCATTGGAAACCATATTAAAGGCTGCCTGCCATAATACCCATTGTGGGAGATATTCCATACATCTTCCCACTTTTCTGGGCTTTGCTGTCAGTGAAAATGAGATCTGTACTGGAAGTACATTACTTGAGACAATTCTACATCATTACATAATGTCAGAATTTTTGGTACAAAATGCTGTCATTCTGTTGTCAATAAAAGGGAAAGACACTACCTAGAGGTAGGGCTATGACTTACCCCCAGGCAGAAAGAATCTGCAATAAAAACTGAGCTCTCTTAATCAGCATATCAACCACATATTATTCTCTTCTGAGAGTAGGTCAACCCCAACATAGAAATAGAGAATTCCCTCCTGTCCCTACACCATCAGGTGGGCCCCAACCCTATTCCGTAAATTAGCCTTCACTCAGATCAGAAACCTCTCCTCATATCCTCACACCTACTGATAACCACTACAATGGTAAAGAACCTTATTTTCCACGTTCTTATCATAAAACAGTGTCTTCTGAAATCAATATTTTTATTTCTATTTTATGGAAATCCAGGCGACCCTCACACTGACCAAGTTGCAATGCACGTTTAATAAGAGGCAGAATATGCCAGGCAAGAGTAATTATATATTACGGATATATAAAGATTACCCTAAGTTATAAGAAATTAAGCACAAGAAAAATTTAAATAGAAATGTAGGACTAAATGGGTAAATTAATTTCATACTAAAAATGATTTTTAAATCTACAAAAGCAGATATCGTACTGGAAAGCCAACAAAACTAAAGCAAATAAGATGTAAATCATAAATCATGTCTTTAGATAAAATTTAAAAATATATACTGGTGACATTTTAAAGCAATTAAAAAATAAAAATTATTAAAATATTGGCAAATGGGGAGAATATGCATAATGGGCTAAAATGAGTCAGAAATAAAATTTAAAAATCACAAATTATTCAAAGAATCCCAAATGATGAAAATGCTTTTTCTCATCAAAGTTGTTCTATGATACAGAAAAGTTACCAATGAGTAACAAACCACCCACAAGGCATATTTGTTTTCTATAAATTAGACGTGTAAACCAAATTTAGTGTTAACTAAATATTTCCTTATGAAACATATTTTCTTTCCCATTAATGCACATTACCTGGTACACAGCTGAATCTAGTTCATTGTGTCTCAGACCTAGAGGCTGAATTCCTATCTCTACTCTATGTTACCCCATCACAGACTCATGACACACATACGCTCACACACATATGTGTATGCACATATACACATGCACATACATAATCTCACAAAGCCTGTAGGTATCAAAAGCACAGAAAATAATACTTGACTCCTGAATACACCATTCAATCATGACACATCAACAAGTACTGAAGAGGCAGATTTTGTGGGGCCTGAAGCTTATATGATTTTCTTTAAGAAAAAATACAAAGTTACAAATACAAAATTAAGTAGGAAAATAAATACTCATTTACAATAAGAAATGACATTACAATATTTTACACTTTTTAAAGCTGAGAAACCTGTTAAATGCTACCAAATCTAGAAAAAATACCATATTTATTATTACCTAACTCATCTCTAATCTTTATCCTATGCTTTTTAGCTGCCTACTCTTTGATTACCGCTTCATATAACAAGGGTTTTGTAATATATTTGATTGACCAAATTTATTTTTTAGTTATAAATAGTTGGGATACATAAATAATGCAAATTCACACATATGTATGTGTTGTCTGTTACAACTCTGTCCCCTGTGAACCCAAGGATTCTGATGAATTACTTTTCACCCAATTTCTATCAAAAGCAAACGAAAATGTGTGGTACATGCATAATTGAATAAGCTGCATTATTAGTATGGTCCTTTCAGGCAAGTCCTTTTGTTTTTTCCAGGCATAGATGAGAACCAAATTTAAATTATAATTTTACATATCTGATGATTTGAAGATTTTTCCACAGATTACTATCTTGCTTAGTTCCTTTCAAACTTTGTTTCTCCTCCTTTACCTACATATTTCTCAAGCCATAAACCTTCATGTCAAGACACCAAGTGAACTGGCACAATTGGAAATAGGAGGATTCCTGGAAGCCATTTCTATACCAAGACAGTTAGCAATAAATTAACTACATGGAAGCAACTGCAAACCACTTAATACTCACCTTGCCCTTTGCTAGATCCCAAATATGCTTGCTAGCATTCCATTGCTGTCTGGCAGAAGAGATAGTATGATGGAGGGGAAGTCAGAGTGGAAAGCAACAATAGTCTTAACCAATTGCTGTCAAAATACCTTAGCTTTCAAATTAAAGAAAGGCATAAAATCATGTTAGCATGTTTCTAACGACTCTCTCAGGGCCTTGAAAGGGGCCTGTGCAACTGACAGACACTGAAGATTAATATTCCTTAGCTTCATAGTAGATGCACCTCTGCACCACATCTGATACATCAAGTCTAGAACTCTTAAGGTTAATAAGTGGTTGACCCTCCAGTAGTTGTGCTGGTGGCCCAGTCCAGCACTGTTGACTAATACAACTCTCACGTTTATTTGCAAACCTCCTAGAAGTCTTTCTTAGACAAGTTCAATCACTTCTCCTCAAAGGAAAATTTTGTGGATTTGTCATTTAAGATGGCAAAGATGTATTTGTCTCTTGGGAATTGCCCCTAAACAGAAAGGAAAATGAGACTTAGTAACATAAACTCTAACATCAAGAAAACAAGAATATATTTAGATGTATAACCTTGAACCACAATGAGGAAAGAGGATTAGTAGCTTACTTAGCAGAGCAATAGAATGTAAATTTAAGTGTTTTCAGAGAGGCATAGAAAAAAAGATGAAAACCCATTTACTCCAAAGACAATTAGAAAAGTTTTTGGAATTTTGGGCACCAGAAACTGTGGAAGTGGAGGTATGGCATTGGGATGAAAACTGGAGTGTTGCTAGAAATTCTAATACTTAGAAATTCCACACCATCTTCTAATCATACCTAGACTTTCAAGGTGATCTTAGTTCCACAGCATCTGTCTCCACTGCCTCTATGACTGTTACAGTAAGTAGAGCCCTGTGCCACAGAGTCCTCCCAAAGCTCAAAGCTTGAATTCTTTGTGACTTCTTTCATAGTGGTATATAGCTTGCCAAAGCTTGAGTGTCTTTTATCAAAAAATAAGGGGAAAGAATGTTCAGGAGTAGCTTTCAGACTCTACATCATGGTTATCCTTGGCAATTTGCCTTTTAATTGCTCTTCAGCTAGTGAGATCAGCTATTATGGAGGATGTCTGTGCACAATTAGTGACAATTAGTTTTCAAGGTTCGTTAAACTTAACTGGTATTTCCAGTTGTGATCCTCCAGTTACAAACATGGTGATGCCATTTGACCCCTGTGTTGCTGATGAGTCACATTTTATGTAGATTAGTAGTTTTAGAAGTCAGCAAGCAATATGAAATCTTATGTAGTCAAAATAACTCTGGATATCTATTAAGTTGTGAACAAGCACAATATACAGGATTTTGTGCACAAAATGAAATAACATCTATGTATAATTAAATAATGTATACTATGTAATAAAGAGAACACATTTAATGTAATTTAATGCCATTTTAATTATATAGGAGAAAGAAAAGAATTAAATGTCATGTCTGTGAGCATACATATTTGAAATCACTTAAGGTATATGTTTGAGGGTAGAATTTTATTTATTTGGATCAGAACAATAACTAGAACAGAAACTCTTATTCAAGGCAGTAAAAGTTTTGAGAGCCAGAGAGAATAGCCAAGTTGTATTCCCATAGGGATTAGATATACAAGCACCAAAAAACCTATTTTAAATACCAAAGTCCAAAGAGCTAAAGCAATCTCAAAGATGGTGATGCACCAACTTTTGGGATGCACTTCAGCAATTTCCCTGACTTCTCTTATGGTTCTTTCCCTTACCAGGCATCAAGTACAGGATCTTTTGTGTGCCAAGGCCAGTTTCTTTCCATGCATAAAGCAGGTCTCCAGCTCAAAGTTTCCCTCCACAAAATTTTGAATTGGCTGCACAAATCACCTAAGGTGCATTATCGTTGGAAAAATTAGGAATTCTTCTGCCAGCCTCCCTTGCCTGTTGCAAATTAACAGCCTTTTATGTAGAAGTAGCCTTCACTGCCCTCTGACACTTTGGGAGCCACAATGGTGATTCAGTTCTCAGCTGAGCACAGGCAACTGTATGGATCAAATTGTTTGTGTTTACACCTCAGTTACCTTCAACTAAGGCTGAATAGGAAATATTTAGGCTAGAGAGCCTCTCAGAGCAGAGCACTTCCCACACATGTTCCCCATATTTCATAATGTCCAACACAACGTTTAATGGGAGCTCTAGACATAGGAGAGTAAAGAATTTTAAAATGGAATGACTAGATTAAAAAGGTGCATGCCATTTAGTGTGAGCTGAATTGTATGATTTCCTTAAACTCATCCAAGATGCATTGATCAGATTTTCAGTCAACAGGTACTGGGCAACTTCAAACCTGAAAGGTCAATATATGTAATCTGAAAAGGGATAGTGTCCAGCTCTGCCTGAAATAGCCACTTTGGAAAAAAGGTAGATGTATTTGTTCATTCTCATGCTGCTATAAGGATATACCCGAGACTGGGTAATTTATAAAGAAAAGAGGTTTAATTGACTCACAGTTCTGCATGGCTGGGGAGGCCTCAGGAAACTTAAAATCATGGAGGAAGTTACCTCTTCACAGGGCAGCAGGAGAGAGAATGACAGCTGAACAAAGGGGGAAAAGCCCCTTATAAAACCATCACCCCCATGATTCAATTACCTCCCATGGGTTTCTCCCACGACACATGGGGATTATGGGAGTTAAATTCAAAATGAGATTTGGGTGGGGACACAGCCAAACCATATCAACAGAGGAGTGGGTATTGTTACTAATCCTGGGATTAACCCTGTGGTAGGATGGTCAGTACATCTGTTTTGAAGGTGCTTCCGGGTTCCTATTTGTGGTGAGTTATGGCAGGTTGGGGTAGGGTAGACCAGGTGAGCAGGGTTTTAAGTTCTTGGAATAACATTGTTACAGTCAGAGTTTAGGCAAATATACTCCCTGTGGGGACTTAGTTTGTAAGCCAAATACTTCAAATGCAAACTTGGGAGCTGAAATGTGCATGCAGTACCTGACTAAAACCAGGGAGGTGATGGGGATATCAAATAGGACAAAACCTCAATCCTCAAATTGGTCCAGCTATGTCTAGAAGGCTGCTTTCCATTCTTTTTCCTACTTAAATCTGGATAAGGATGCGCATATTTCTCATCACATGGGCCCTGTTTCCTTTGAACTCTTTCAGGAACTCAAGGATTAGTTAATGAGAAGAGGGATCTCACATGGCTACTGGATCAAGGCTTTGCCTCCAGACAGAACTGGAGCCCTTGGTTCCTACTGACAAAGAGCACAGAGCTTCTGCAAGGCAAGTGAAAAGTGTTGTCTGCAGGCAATGACTGCAAAAGAAGTTGAAAGGTAGTATGAAGGTTCAACAGAAAGACCAGAGTATAAGCATTCTAGCTTATCTGACACCAACAAGGGCAGTGGTAACGTGAATAATCAGTCATAGTCCTAGCTATCTCTGTTTCCTTCTAGGAGATACAGTATGCTACTTCTCCCCAACACCAAGGCATTGTGGGACTCACTAGGTGCTTTCTAGATGAATGGAGGTCATGCACCAGAGCCAACAGTTCCCTTGTTAGTGACATAGTCATAAGGTACGCTGACAACAGAGGTGACACTTCCCAGCCCTTCAAAGGTGAGTAAAACTGCCCATCTCACACAGATGGATTCACAGAAATGCCTGTTCTGGAACCAGTTGTTTAGAGTAGTCATCTTACCTCTGCTCTTTCATTTTTGTTTTTCTGGTAAGGAAAACCTTCTAAACTTCTTTTATACCAAGTTTATTTATTATATGTAGGGGTGGGCATCTATTTTATAATTACTCCTAGGCCTGAATCAGTGAATATAAAAGCTAAAATAAATATCTTTCATAATAAAGTGTGTTATAATTAATCATCCATAACAGAGTTGGGGAGATATTGGCTAGAGAAATTATGTATGTTAGTATATGTAAATTATATTATCATGAATTTTATTTCAGAATGACAAAGAGCATGTATCAGGATAAATTAGATTGTCTCTGGTATCAAATGACCTTAAAATTTCAGTGCATTTCAACTACAAAGTTTATTTCTTGCTCATGCTATCTGATTTGTTCCAGCCAGCTATGACTCTGCTCTGTCATTGCCTTCACCCTGGGACTGAAACTGAAAAAGCATCCTCTATCTGAGAACTTGCCAATCCTGGTGGCAGAGGGAAGAAGGGAATAGGGCAAACCACATCCTATCTTTTAAAGCTTCCACCCAGAAAAGACACTTGTCTCCTCTATGCATATATTGTTGGTTAAAGCAAATCACATGGCCAACCCTGCCATAATTAAGAAGAGGAACTATAATACTTGCTCAGGGAGGAATAGCAGATCTTTTTGAAAAATAAACTATAGAGTGGGCATTACAAAACCTTGTTGTATAAACAGAGCACTGGGTCTGAAAGCATTAGAAACTAATGAAAAACAGAAACCTGCACATAATGTATGGCCCTTTCCCTTCAGAAGTAGACGAATAAGTGCTTTCAATCACAAGAACCTTAGTCAAGCTGCTGAGACCTGAAATATCAAAGTGAATTTTGGGATCCTTTAAATCATATGCAAAATAATGTATATAATATGAATATGTGTATGGCCTGAAGTGTGTCCTCCCGAAACTTGTAAGTTGAAGCCCTAATCCTCAACGTGACTATGTTATGTGGTAGGGCCTTTAAGGAGGTAATTAAGCTTAACTGAGGTCATAAGAGTGGGGCCCTGTTCCAATAGGACAGGTATCTTTATAAGATTAAGAAGAGACATCAGGATTTTACACACACAGATAAAAGGACAATGTGAGGACCATGCAGGCTGTATATCTGCAATCCAAGGATTAGGATAAAGAGGACTGTGAAGGTTAATTGGAATATCTTTCAGCTAGTCTTGACATTTTGGAAAAAAAAAATCTGTCTCTCCTTTATAAAACATATTTTTAGTTAAACTTCTTTATTTTAAAGTAATTGTAGATTAACACACGGTTGTAAAAAAAAAGATTTCATAGATATCCCATGCCTACTTTACCTAGTTTCCCTCAATTATAACATCTTGCAAAAGCTGCAGTACAATATTACAACCAGGGTATTGACATTGATAGAATCTACTGATCTTATTCAGATTTCCCCAGTTTAACTTGTGTGTGCGTGTGTGTGTGTGTGTGTGTGTGTGTGTGTGTGTGTGTGTGATTTAGTTCTATGAAATCTTGTAGTGCATTTAGGCTCAGATCACCACCACCACCATAATTGAGACAAACAATGACAACAAAAACCGTGCCATCACCACAAGGATCCTTTCTGTTGTCCTTTTATAACCACAATGGCCTCACTCTTGCTTTGCCCTTAATCGCTGGCAACCACTAAACCATTCTCCAATTCTACAATTTTGTCTTTTCAAAAATACAATATAAATGAAATGCAATAGGATAATTTGGGCTGAGATGATGGGGTTTTCTAAATATACAATCATGTCATCCGCAAACAGGGACAATTTGACTTCCTCTTTTCCTAATTGAATACCCTTTATTTCTTTCTCCTGCCTGATTGCCCTGGCCAGAACTTCCAACATTATGTTGAATAGGAGTGGTGAGAGAGGGTATCCCTGTCTTGTGCCAGTTTTCAAAGAGAATGCTTCCAGTTTTTGCCCATTCAGTATGACATTGGCTGTGGGTTTGTCATAAATAGCTCTTATTATTTTGAGTTACGTCCCATTAATACCTAATTTACTGAGAGTTTTTAGCATGAAGTGCTGTGGAATTTTGTCAAAGGCCTTTTCTGCATCTATTGAGATAATCATGTGGTTTTTGTCTTTGGTTCCTGGCAGAAATTCTATAAGCCAGAAGAGAGTGGGGGCTAATATTCAACATTCATAAATAAAACAATTTTCAACCCAAAATTTCATATCCAGCCAAACTAAGCTTCATAAGTGAAGGAGAAATAAAATACTTTACAGACAAGCAAATGCTGAGAGATTTTGTCACCACCAGACCTGCCTTACAAGACCTCCTGAAGGAAGCACTAAACATGAAAAGGAACAACCAGAACCAGCCACCGCAAAAACATGCCAAATTGTAAAGGCCATCGAGGCTAGGAAGAAACTGCATCAATTAATGGGAAAAATAACCAGCTAACATCATAATGACAGGATCAAATCCACACATAACAATATGAACCTTAAATGTAAATGGGCTAAATGCTCCAATTAAAAGACACAGCCTGGCAAATTGGATAAGGAGTCAAGACCCATCAGTGTGCTGTATTCAGGAAACCCATCTCACGGGCAGAGACACACATAGGCTCAAAATAAAAGGATGGAGGAAGATCCACCAAGCAAATGGAAAACAAAAAACGGCAGGGGTTGCAATCCTAGTGTCTGATAAAACAGACTTTAAACCAACAAAGATCAAAAGAGACAAAGAAGGCCATTCCATAGTGGTAAAGGGATCAATTCAACAAGAAGAGCTAACTATCCTAAATATATATGCACCCAATACAGAAGAACCCAGATTCATAAAGCAAGTCCTTAGAGACCTAGAAACAGACTTAGACTCCCACACAATAATAATGGGAGACTTTAACACCCCACTGTCAACATTAGACAGAACAATGAGACAGAAAGTTAACAAGGATATCCAGGAATTGAACTCAGCTCTGCACCAAGTGAACCTAACAGACATCTACAGAACTCTCCACCCCAAAATAAACAGAATATACATTCTTCTCAGCACCACATCACACTTACTCCAAAATTGACCACATTGTTGGAAATAAAGCACTCCTCAGCAAATGTAAAAGAATAGAAATTATAACAAACTCTCTCTCAGACCACAGTGCAATCAAACTAGAACTCAGGATTAAGAAACCCACTCAAAACCGCTCAAATACATGGAAACTGAACAACCTGCTCCTGAATGACTACTGGGTACATAATTAAATGAAGGCAGAAATAAAGATGTTCTTTGAAACCAATGAAAACAAAGACACAACATACCAGAATCTCTTCCTTCTTTGACATTACTCTATCAGTGGATGATGGGGTAACACCTTGTTACTACCAGGTGAGGGTAGAAGTCCAAGTTTCCTACTTAGCATTCATTGACACTTGGAGAGGGGCTCCTCATTACTGGTGGATAAGGTTGTATGTTCCAGCTTCTCCCTCAGACTCCACCGCTACTCACTCCCTGACCTCAACTAGACCACCAAAGGGGTGGGTAGCCTCACTACTGCCCTGTGGATGTGATAGTCCCAATTTTCCATTAAATATCTTGCAGCACAATAAAAGTAGGGAGGGAGAGGGATACTTTAATATTGCTAAGTGGAAGTAGAAATTCAGATTCCTTATGTGGTCTTTAAGGACACCAAAATGGTGGAGGAGCTGGTTATCACCCTACGGGGATGAATATCCTGTATCTCTACTGTAACTTGTCTGACACTACCTTGGTTGTGGGGAGAGGAGCCTGAGCATCTGTTTCAGCCTTAAGAGAATGGAAGTCTAGGCTTGTACCCTGCCTTTGCCAGTGCAAATGGGCTTGGGGTCAGAGTCTTTTTTTATGAAGTTTGGCTTAAGAAGAATAATTATTGTCTAAAAGTTTTTGGTATGTTATGTTGTTCCTTTCCAGGTCCCTTGGCTAGAGTAAGCAGGTTTTTCTGGGACTCTTTTGTGTGGATAGATTAGCTTTTCTGAGTTGCCACCTTTTCCAGTACTCAATCTGGGATAATTCAGACAAAACAAAAACTTATGGAACTCATCATCATATTGTTCCCCATGACCTGGTGTCCATAGCCAGTCTTCCTTCTCTCTACCTTTCAAGGCCTTCTTATGTTTGTTTTGTGCATAATATCTGGGGTTTTAGTTTTACCTCTTATAATGAAGAATATGAAAATTTGTGTCTATATTATCTTCCCAACAGCAGAAGTCTCATAATTTTTATGCTTGAAAAGCTTTTGGAAAAAATGCTCAATGGAGATATCTGCCAGAAATGTCATAAAACACAAAAAGTATTAAGCACTTAAATTTAAGATTAAAAACAATTGCATATTACCTGTTTGTTATTTTCATAACATTATCTGTTTTGACTATGGAAAACTTAATGTTTTCACTCATATACTCAGCTTGAGGAAGATAGGACTTCTACCTCTTTTCTAAAGACAAGCTTGCAGAAACAAGTGAAAATAAGGCAATTTCTTAATCCCATACATAAAGTAGGCCTTCCCCATAGCAGGGCCCTCATTACTGCTATAAATAACTCAAGTCATTCTTGCACAGATTGGGATCCTCATTTTTGACCCTCACATAAAACATCAGATTAAGACTAGACCTCACCTCTTCAATGCTATCTTGCTTACTTCAACAGTGCCAAGACCTAGCTGCTGAACCTGTGGCTTAGGCATTAAGTATTGGGTGATATATACAACAATTGAGGGAGAAACTAGATGAAAGCTAAATGTTTCTACACAGAAAAGTAAGAAATACTGAATGACTTCTGGGAAGATTCCAAGAAAAAGATAAAAGCTGTTGCATTTGGAGGAAGTTTAGTGAAACAGTAGCTAGAAAGGAAAGATCTGGTGACTGAAAGCTAAAAAAAAATTTTTAGGGAAGAGATATGTTTAAGAGCATTTCTACTGTGGGGGAGTAAACCCACTGATGTTTCTTTGAAATTTTTAGTAAAATCCACATTCTTCACTCAGAATTTTCTGTGAGTGGAATTTTCTTGATGGATGTGAAAAAGCCACTCTTCCATGTTGGAATGGTGTTGAGAATTTCTGTAGACCCTTGGAAATTGTCCATGTTAATTATATGTAGTCTAATAACATTACCTATATATGACTAAAAGAAAGTGTTCTCATGAAAATATCAAACACCCTCATGCTAGGCAAGCAGGCCATTTATGTCCAGGACAGGGCCCTCACCTCTGCCCCTAACACAAGGAAACAGACCCTGGCCAGATTAGGGAAAAATACCCTAATCTAAGAGAAAAATATAGAAACCTTTGCACTGTATGATATAGTTATTTTAAATAAATTCTCTTTAAATATAAAAGGAATAGTCAATGAAAAAGTGCAAACCAGGCTAAATAGGAAAAATATATATTACTCAATGGAAAGGAGCTAAAATAAAACAAAACAATTAAAAATGACTTGCAAAAATGTCTAACAGGTGTGAACTCGACAAACAGTAGTACTAAGTTGTAAAATGTAAAGTGATGTTTTTCAACTAACTTGTAAAAATGATTTTTTTTCTCCCTCAGCAATATGTAGAACCAATGGGCAGAAACAAGTAAAAGTAAAGCAATCCCTTACCCCCTTGGTATATGAAGTGGGCATTTTCTATAGCAAGCTCTCTGTGCCACTACATACACTTCCAATAACCCCTGTTCGAACTCAGGCACACATCATTGCCCATCACACCAAGACACAGCATCCTGCACTGAGGTCTTTGCAATAGTTTGCAATAGGTCTTTAATATAGTTTCCTTACTTGGGGTCTTTGCAATCCTTAAATATGCTTGATCCATTAGAATACTTTTATGAGCCAGCTACTGACCATGTGGCTGAACAAGGTATTCCAGATATGATGAAACAACAAAGTCAAATCTTCCCAAACCTAGTTCATATCCTTTGCTAAAGAAGTTTTGTCAGAAAAGACCATTTCCTTTTCCTTTTTTCATAGGAAATGATCTGCGCACACTGCACTTCAGCTTATAGCTCAACTACAGAAAGGCCAAAAGGAGGAGATGAAGGAAGAGAGGTGGATTAGAGATGGGGAATAAATTGAACAAGAATGGGGACTATTCTTGCTAAGATATGGGTTCATTTTGAACACAGAGGATGGAAGTTATGAGTGACTGCAAGTCCATTTCACAGTGGGGGAGGTGGGCTACACTGGCCCTGTGGGATAGGCTCCCCTAAAACATCTTTGCTAATTCTATTTTCCATCTGACTACTGGGCTCAGATTTCTAAGGAATGAACACAGGGTTTTTAATGGAACTGTCTAAGGAATGCTCCTGTATAATCAGCCCATGGTGGGTGGAGGAGAAAGCCTGCAGTCTCAAAGAGTATAGCCAGTAATTAATCAAATAAGCGATGAAGTTTTCCATAAAATATGGCCACATTCTTGGAGGAAGGGTTCCTGAAGGTAAAAATTAAATTTCTTGGCAAACAGAAAAACTAGACTTAGTCCCCTGCCTGAAATAGCCCCCACCCCAAGTTCCCACCACACCATTGGCATACCCCATCCAGATTAGGGTCCTTATTTCTCTTCTACACAGCTCATGCAGTCTCAAATCTTACCCAGCATGAACTGATAATTAACACCCCTTGAATAGGCTCTGCACATATATTTTTACTAAAACACCTTGTACATTCACGGTAGCCCTACTATGGCAAAGAGACAACTCAACACAATCACAGCACTACATTCTGTACTGCATAGGTGTCTCTCATGAAGTCTTCAGTACAAGGAACTCCTTGCACTGTCCCCAGAACCTATGCACTGTCCACATACTAGAGTAGGTCCTGCTCTGAGAAGAGACCATGAAATCTGTAGTCATGTTGCCCATATGCCAACCATGGCACATATTTCAAGACTTTAACCACCCCTTATGAATTCTAGTGAGCCCCACTGTGACCACAACTTGTACATCAGCTCCAAAAACCTAGCTTATCTTGTGCCCAATATGGTATATGTCCTCACCTCTGCTGTCTTACTTGAGCCTGCTCCACTTCTCTTTAAGTGCATACATGGACATGCCACACAGCTTTCTTACTCATTGCAGCCATCACAGTCCAACCCATTTTTAAGGGTGCCATTTTAAGTTCAACCGATTTAAGGGTGCCATTTTGTCTACCTGAATCCACATACCAACCAACCCTCAGTTTGAAAGAGTATCTGGTAGTGCTAATGTGAGGGAGAAAAATCTTACCTGTTTCCTTCACTGGATGACACCCACTGTTTATAATGCTTGTTAGTCATGACCTTTTCCTTTCTCTGGCCTGCTGATCCTATTATGCAGCACATAGCTCCTTCCTGGACAACATAATGTCAGGGTGATAGGGTGAAGATATGACTAAATCTGTGCTCACTGAGTGACAGAGTTTGAGGATAAATACTGGATGAGATTTCATGAAGAAGTCTAAGTTTTTTTAATTGATGTGGAGGTTCTTGGTCTGAAAAGTTTTAATCAGGAAGTCAGTTTGTGAATAGGAAAAGCTTCAACTAAATATAAGGTCTCAGTTTCATAGGCTGATGGTTTTCTTCTGGAAAAAGGCAGTCATTTTGGAAACTAGAAATTCCTTACCTACTTTAGTGTCCTCACCATAGGCCCACAGTCATCAGTATAGCCCATGCCCTAATCCTAATCTCTGAAGCTTCCACTATTTATAAAACAAACATAATATGGCATAATGTCCTCAGTTATGATAACAAAAGTACATGGTATGGAAAATCATATTAAGTTTTGATATAGTTTCCTTACTTGAAAGCTGGATAAGATTTAATGGAATATACAACTTGAAAATATCAATGCCTGATTCCACTGAAAATGACAAGGTGGAGAATTCTAAAACATTATCCATCCACTAAATCAAACATTAGCCTGACCAAAAAAAAAAAAAAAAAAAAAAAACTTGTCAGAACCAACTTTTTCAGAATGCTGGAATCTAATTTTAAAAACTTATAACAACTAAGGAAGTGATTAAATCTAGTAAGGGAATATTGTGGCATTTTAATTTATCTGCCTACCATTCCCTACCTCCCATGCCAGTCATGGCTATGGAGATGGTGGCTTGTGTTCCTGATGCAGCTTGCTTATGCCAGAGAAAGCAATATAGACCTTGTTTTCAAAGTATTGTGGTTTTGTATTTTGTCCTGTCTGCTGGCTTCCTGAGGGATAAGCTAAAGGGCTTGCCTTTTCTTCACCAGCCATAAAATGTTCTCAGGACTGAAGTGGCCTCCAGGGAAATATTTGTTGAAAACAATTTTAATGCAGATATACTAGCTGCATCTGTCTGGGTCAAGGAATAACAGAGCGGGTAAGCTGCTAACAGACTGAAAAGCCTAGGAAAAAAAAGTCTGGGAAAAGAGATATGTGACGAAATAAGGGTTTAGAAAAGTTCACGCAAATACCAAGAAATCTAGAAGTCTGTGGACATGTTCAGGAAATGACACATGTTCAGAAAATATCTGAGAAGACCCAAACCTTTTACATTTGGCTGACCTTTGTGCTCCACACATGCAGGAAGTGAAGATTAATGCAGAACGTTTTAGTCCATTCATGTTGCTGTAAAAGAATACCTGAGGCTGGGCTGGGTAATTTATAAAGAAAAGAAGTTGATTTGGCTAATTTTTCTGCAGGCTATAAGAAGCATGGAACCAGAATTTGTTTCTGGTGATGGCCTCTGGAAGTTTCAACTCATGGTAAAAGGTGAATGACAGCCACATGTACAGAAATCACATGGCAAAATGGGAAGCAAAGAAGAGGGGGAGGGAGGTTCCAGGCTCTTTTTAACAACCAGCTTTTGTAGGAACTAATATACCAAGAATTCACTCATTACTGTGAGGACAGTGCCAAAACATTCATAAGGGATCCATCTCATGACCCAAACTCGTCCCATTAAGCCCCACCTCCAACATTGGGTACCAAATTTCAACATGAAGTTTGGAGGGTCAAATATCTAAACTATAGCACAGAATTATAAATGGCCTGATTAAACCTGAAAGAACACTACTACACAGAGCCAGCCAGCAAAGACCAAGAGAGCCTGTTTTATGTTGTTGTTCAAGGCCCTCAAGAAAATCTCTGTCAAATCATTAGTTGACCACTAAGCTAATGCAACATAGACTTTAATGATCACACATGGCAAAAAAGACAGACTTTACAAAACCAATTTTAAAAAGTTACTAAATAAGCAAACAACAACAATCCACAGAAACAAAAACATACTCTGGAAGGGTAAAATCTTATTTTGAGTTATTGCTAATAATATTTAAAAGTCTACTTTTCAATAACAACATAAATAACAAGTTAGGCAAAGAACAAGAAAGTATGGCTCATGCGTAAGGAAAAAGGTATTAACAGAAAATATCATTGAGGAAGCTGAGACATTGCACTTAGAAGACAAACAGTTTTAAACAACTGTCTTAAATATGCTTAAAGAGCTAAAGAAAAGCATGGCAAATAGAGAAAATCAGGAGAAAAATGTTTTAGCAAATGGAGAACATTAATAAAGAAATAGAAATTATAAAAAGGAACCAAATGAAAATTGTGGAGCCAAAAGTACAATAAGTGAAAAAAATTACTGAACAAATCCCAAAGCAGATTTGAGCAGTGTAGAAACAATTAATAAATCTGAAGATAGGTCGATTGAAATGATCAAGTCTAAGGAGCAGAAAGAATAAATTATGAAGAAAAATGATAAAGCCTGACAAAACTGTGGGAAACCAGAGCATATGAGCATACACATAATGGGAGTTTCAGACAGAGAGGAAAGAAAGAAATAGGCAGAAAAAATATTTTTTAAAATAATTTGCCCAATCGTTTACTAATTTGATGAAAGGCATGAATCAACACATCCAAGAAGCTCAACAAAATGCAAGTAGATAACCTCAAAAAGAACCATACTGAAACACATTATAATCAACCTGTCAAAAGCCAAAGACAAAGAGAGAACCTTGAAAGCAGCAAGAGAGAAGCAATTCTCTACCTTTTAATTGGAGAGGTTATACCATTTATATTTAACGTGAATACTAAAAATAAAGTACTTGCTTCTGCCATTTTGCTATTTAATTTTTATGTCTTATACCTTTTTTGTTCTAAATACAAGCAGTTCTAAATAACATTAACAGCCAATTTTTCATCAGAAACCATGGAGGCCAGAAGGCAGTGGGAAGACATATTTAGGCATAAAAGGTAATAATAAAGCCCTTCCATCCACATATCTATGTCTGGCAAAAATCTCCCTCAAAAATTTAGAAAAAGTAAGACAAAAAATAATGCCTGTGGGAAATTTTCACTGCAAAACTTTCTTTTTTATTATTATTATTATACTTTAAGTTTTAGGATACATGTGCACAATGTGCAGGTTAGTTACATATGTATACATGTGCCATGCTGGTGCACTGCACCCACTAACTCGTCATCTAGCATTAGGTATATCTCCTGATGCTATCCCTCCCCCCTCCCCCCAGCCCACAACAGAACCCAGAGTGTGATGTTCCCCTTCCTGTGTCCATGTGTTCTCATTGTTCAATTCCCACCTATGAGTAAGAATATGAGGTGTTTGGTTTTTTGTCCTTGCGACAGTTTACTGAGAATGATGATTTCCAATTTCATCCATGTCCCTACAAAGGACATGAACTCATCATTTTTTATGGCTGCATAGTATTACATGGTGTATATGTGCCACATTTTCTTAATTCAGTCTATTATTGTTGGACATTTGGGTTGGTTCCAAGTCTTTGCTATTGTGAATAATGCCGCAATAAACATACGTGTGCATGTGTCTTTATAGCAGCATGATTTATAGTCCTTTGGGTATATACCCAGTAATGGGATGGCTGGGTCAAATGGTATTTCTAGTTCTAGATTCCTGAGGAATTGCCACACTGACTTCCACAATGGTTGAACTAGTTTCCAGTCCCACTAACAGTGTAAAAGTGTTCCTATTTCTCTGCATCCTCTCCAGCACCTGTTGTTTCCTGACTTTTTAATGATTGCCATTCTAACTGGTGTGCAAAAATCCTCAATAAAATACTGGCAAACCAAATCCAGCAGCACATCAAAAAGCTTATCCACCATGATCAAGTGGGCTTCATCCCTGGGATGCAAGGCTGGTTCAATATATGCAAATCAATAAATGTAATCCAGCATATAAACAGAACCAAAGACAAAAACCACATGATTATCTCAATAGATGCAGTAAAGACCTTTGACAAAATTCAAAAACCCTTCATGCTAAAAACTCTCAATAAATTAGGTATTGATGGGATGTATCTCAAAATAATAAGAGCTATCTATGACAAACCCACAGCCAATATCATACTGAATGGGCAAAAACTGGAAGCATTCCCTTTGAAAACTGCCACAAGACAGGGATGCCCTCTCTCACCACTCCTATTCAACATAGTGTTGGAAGTTCTGGCCAGGGCAATCAGGC
This sequence comes from Homo sapiens, assembly GCF_000001405.40. Taxonomy (NCBI): domain Eukaryota; kingdom Metazoa; phylum Chordata; class Mammalia; order Primates; family Hominidae; genus Homo; species Homo sapiens. The sequence continues at coordinate 55,544,120 of NC_000023.11, read as the reverse complement.
AGGAGAAGGAAATAAAGGGTATTCAATTAGGAAAAGAGGAAGTCAAATTGTCCCTGTTTGCAGACGACATGATTGTATATCTAGTAAACCCCATTGTCTCAGCCCACAATCTCCTTAAGCTGATAAGCAACTTCAGCAAAGTCTCAGAATACAAAATCAATGTACACAAATCACAAGCATTCTTATACACCAACAACAGACAGAGAGCCAAATCATGAGTGAACTCCCATTCACAATTGCTTCAAAGAGAATAAAATACCTAGGAATCCAACTTACAAGGGATGTGAAGGACCTCTTCAAGGAGAACTACAAACCACTGCTCAAGGAAATAAAAGAGGATACAAACAAATGGAAGAACATTCCATGCTCATGAGTAGGAAGAATCAATATGGTGAAAATGGCCACACTGCCCAAGGTAATTTATAGATTCAATGCCATCCCCATCAAGCTACCAATGACTTTCTTCACAGAATTGGAAAAAACTACTTTAAAGTTCATATGGAACCAAAAAAGAGCCCTCATCGCCAAGTCAATCCTGAGCCAAAAGAACAAAGCTGGAGGCATCACACTACCTGACTTCAAACTATACTACAAGGCTACAGTAACCAAAACAGCGTGGTACTGGTACCAAAACAGAGATATAGATCAATGCAACAGAACAGAGCCCTCAGAAAACTTTCTTACAAGAAATTCTAAAGGGAGTTCTTCAGGCTGAAAGGAAAGGACACTAGATAGAAACAAAACTCTATGAGGAAAGGAAAACATTGTTAAATATAAATGCATAGGTATATATAAAAGCCAGTATTAGTCTATGTTTTGCTTGTAACAACTCTCTATATGACTTAAAAGACAAATTAAAAAAACAATAATTAACAAAAAAATTAACAAAAAATAACAAAAATCTATGTTAACAGGCACATGTATAAAGATATAATCTGTGACAATAACTATATAAAGCACAAAAGAGGAAAATGTATAGGAGGAGAATTTTTGTATACTAAATTGGTGTTAATTCAAGCTAGATTGTTATAAATTTAAGATGTTAAATTGTAATCCCTAGGTAACCACTAAGAAAATAACTAAACATATATACAGAAATATAAATAAGAAAAGAACAAAAATGGAACTGCAAAAATCAATTAAACATAAGACAAGAGAGTGGTGGAGGGATTAAAGAACAAAAAAGATATAAGACTTAAAAATTAAATAGCAAAATGGCAGAAGCAAGTACTTTATTTTTAGTATTCACATTAAATATAAATGGTTTAACCTCTCCAATTAAAAGGTAGAGATAGGCATAATGGATACAAAAAATTCTCACCCAACTACATTCTGTCAACAAGAGACTCGCTTAAATCCAAAGATACATATAGTCTGAAGGGTAAATGATGGAAAATGACACTCCATGGAAATAGAAAGCAAAGGAGAGCAGGGGTGACTATAACAATATCAGACAAAATAGACTTTAAGTTAATAATTGTTACAAGAACAAAGAACATTGCATATTGATGAAAGGGTCAATTCATCAAGATGATATGACAATTATAAACATACACACCCCTAATAACAGAACCCCAAAATATATAAAGCAAAATAAATAACAATTTAATGGAGATATAGAAAATTCTAAAATAATAATTGGAAACTAAATTACCCCTCACATTGATTGATGGCTAGAACAACCATACAGAAACCAATAAGGAAATAGATGACGGAACAACTTTATAAACCAACTAAACCTAATAGGCATATAGAGAACACTGCCCCCAACAACACAGACTACACATTCTTCTCAAAATCACATGAAACTTCATCCATAATAGACCATAGTTAGCCCACATAATAAGTTTCAATAAATTTAAAAAAATTGAAATCATACACAGTGTTTTCTCTGAATGAAACTAGATATTGATAATGGAAGGAAAACTCACAAATTTGTGAAAATTAAACAATACACTCCTAAACAACTAATGGATCAAAGAAGAAAAACACAAGAGAAATTGACAAATATTGTGAGAAGAATTAAAATGAAAGCACACAAAACCTATGCAGTACAGTGAAAAAATGCAGACAGAGAAATTTACACATGTAAATGCTTACCTTAAAAGGTGAAAAATAAGTCAAGCCAATAAGCTAACTTCTTTTTACCTTAAGGACCTAGAAAAAAGAAAATTAAATCCAGTGCAAGAAGAAGAAAGGAAATAATAATAATAAAGATTAGAGAGGAGATCAACAAAATTGAGGAGCAGTAAACAATACAGAGAATCAACGAAACGAAAAGTTGGTTCATTGAAAGATCAAAAACATTGTCAAATGTTTAGTCATGACTGAAGAAAAATAGAAGAAACAGAAATTACTATTACCAGAAATGAAAGTGGGAATAATATTACTGACTTTACAGAAATAAAAAAGATCACAAGAGAATATTATGAACAACATAAATAAATTTGATAACCTAGATAAAATGAATAAATTCCTGGAAACACACAAACTACAAAAAATGACTAATGAAAAAATAAAAAGTCTGAATAGGCCTATTACAAGTAAAGAGATTGAATTAGTAATCAAAAAACTCCTAACGACAACAACAAAAAGCCCAGAAGTATATGGCTTCACTGATAAGGTCTGCCAAATGTTTGAAAAATTAACATCAACCTTTTAAAACCTATTTCAAAATGTAGAACATAAAGTAACACTTTGTAACTCATTCTATGAGGCCAGCATTACTCTGATACCAAAGTCAGAAAAAATATATCTTGAGAAAGGAAAACTGCAGAACAATATTCTATATGGACATAATGCAAAAATCCTCAACAAAATACCAGCAAGACGAATGCAGCAGCATGTAAAATGGATTATGCACCATGACAAAATGGGATTTATCCCAAAAATCCAAGAGTGGTTCAACATACAAAAATCAACCAATGTAGATGACTTCAAAAAAATATTGGAGTAAAACACTTAAAGAATCAGTTTCTCAACTAAAACCTCCTTGATCTATCAAAGATTGACTTAATGTTTTTGGAACTCTGGAGTCTAATGAGAAATTTGCTGCAACTGGAGGGGGCTGCTTAATGAAGAAAAGAGCATCAAGTAGGAGAGCACTGTGGCATTTTTTCTTGCCTGCCTACCAGCTCCCATTTTCCAGTGCAATAGCAGCTAAGTGGGGGATGGAAACCCATGTTTCTCATGTAGATTGCTGATGTCTGTAAACTAATATGGACCTTTTTCTTAAAATGTTGAGGTTGTGTATTTTGACCTTTCTGCTGATTTCCTGAGGGACTGACCACAGAGGCTGTCTTTTGCCACCTGCCCCCCACTACCGCTTTCTGGGCAGTAGTGGCATCTGTTGAAATATATAATCATGCACATCCCATTCTTCCCTTAGGAAAAGGACTGCAGATAAGACATGCAGCTGAGAGAATTTAAGAGCCCTGAAACAGCAGGTTACAAAGCAAGGTTTTACTCAGGAAAACAGAGTGAAAAATACATGTGCATGTACAGGGGAGAATGCATACTTAGAAAGTACCTGAGTGATACCTAGGATTCCAACTTCCAGTGGATCTGTGGACTCCACACTAGTAGAAGTTGAAAGGTAAAACAAAATCCCAAGCAGCTTGGTTTAGCATAGAAGGAATACCCCAGTACAGAGCTAAGCTTCAAAGATTGGGAGAGTACTATTTTTTTTTAACCATGTGGCTCCAAATGTTTAAAAGTTTCTGTTGGATCATTGATTGACCATTGAGATAATGGAACAGAGACGTTAGTGACCACACATGACAAAAAATACAATCTTTGCAAAAGTAGTTTTAAAAATTCACTAAACAAGTGGATGACTGAAGCCATCAAAAATCAACAAAAGCAAAGCCAGAGAGTAAGGAGGAGAATCTAATTTCTAAAATTACCACACAATAATATTCAAAATGTCCACAATTCGACAAAAAATACAGGGTACACAAAGAATTAGGAAAGTATAGTTCATTCACAGGAAAAATACGAATTAACAGAAATAATTCCTGAGGAATTCTAGATATTGAATTTAGTAAAGGTGTTAAATCAACTGTCTTTAAAATTCTCAAAGAGCTAAGAGAAAATATGAACAAATAACTAAGGGAAATTAGGAAAATAATGTGTCAACAAATAGATAATATCAAAAAGAGACAGAAATTATAAAAGGAATCAAATAGAAATACTGTTGCTGAAAAGCACGTTAACTGAAATTTTAAAAAAATTTACTAGAGCAACTCAACAGCAGATTTGAACAGGCAGAAGAAAGAATCAGCAAACTTGAAAATAAGAAAATAGAAATTACCCAGTCTGTGATGCAGAAAGAAAAAGAATAAAAGGAAATAAACATTGCCTAAAATACCTATGGGACAATGTCAAGCATAACATACACATTACAGGTGTTTCAGAAGGAAAGAGAGAAAGAAATAGGCAGAAAAAATATTTTAAAAATAATACTCAAAAACAAAATTTGATGAAAAACATAAATGTACATATACAAGAATCTCAATTAACTCAAAATAGGGAAAATTCAAAAAGATTCATACTGAGACACAATATAATCATATTGTTAAAAGCAAAACAATGGAAAAATACTGAAAGCAACAAGATGGAAGCAACTCATCACATACAAGGGATTGTTGAGAGTATTTTAAGAGCTGACTTTCTATCAGAAACCATGGAAAACATAATGGAAGGGGGTGGGTGCTTTTTTGACAAGTTAGGAAAAAAGCTTCTCAATCAAAAATTTTATGTGTGGAAAAATTTTTCTTTAAAAATGAAAGATAAGTTCAAACATTCCTCAGATAAATAAAAACTAAAGGAGTTTGATGTTAGTATATTTGTCTTACAAGAAATGCTAAAAAGAGTACTTCATGCTGAAAAGGAACAACATTAGAGAGTAACTTGAAGAAATAGAGGACATCAGTAAAATTAACTATATAGGTGAATACAAAGACAGTATTACTGTATTTTTGGTTCGTAACTCCACTTTCCATTTCCTACAATATTTAAAAGACAAATGCATAAAAATTATGTCTACAACAATATGCACACAAAGTATAAAGATGTAAGTTGTCACAACAGTAGCGAAAAGGATAGTAATGTATGATAAGAGAGATTTTTTACATTATTTTAACAAAGTTGGTATCAATTCAAATGAAGTTATTATACATTTAAGATGTTAATTGAAATCCTCATGGTAACTACTAAGAAAATATCTAAATAATATCCACATAGGAAATGAAAAGGTAACCAAAGTGGTACCCTGCAAAAACACAGTTAAACACAAAAAAAGACAATTTATGGAGAAAATAAGGAATAAAAAAACTATAAAACACTCAGGAAACAAACAATAACATGGCAGAAGTAAGTAATTCCTTATAAGTAATTACTTTAAATGTAAATGATGTAACTTCCCAATCGAAAGGCAGAGGTTGGCAGAATGGAATTTTTAAAAATTTAATTACGCATTATCTACAAGAAACTCAGGTTAGATCCAAAAAACAAATGAGGTGAAATTTAAAGGATGGAAAAATATATTTAATGTAAAAATAGTATATAAAGAGTTCTGGGTCACTATGCTAACATCAGACAAAACAGAATATTAGTAAAATAAATTTTACAAGAGACAAAGAAGGATGTGTCTGTGTGTGTGTACATCATATCATACTTCATAAATATATATCATTATTATTTTTCAACTAAAAACAAATATGGAGAAGATGCTTCAAAGAGAAGCCAATACACTTCAGCCAAAGACAAAGTTGTTGAAGTTTTATAAATAAATGCTTTCTGTTAAAATTGTCCTTAAATGCAAAATGAGAAAGAATACTTATAGAATTGAAAAACTGAAGGGTTTTTTACATAAAACTTTTTATTGTTTTGTACCTTTAATTGCAAAAGGCAACTGTTCCTGTACAATGATGCCCAAATATAAGAATGTAAAAGACTGCACAAACAAAACACAAATTGTGTTCACATTAGCTCAAACAAGAAAATAAAATAGTGTTTGCTTGACCACTCTGCTGATGAAGATATGAGAACTTTGAAAAGCAATATAATTTTTTCCAAAGGCATCACTTTCATGTCCTGTAATCTTTTAACATTCAGAAGGATTTCATATATTAATAAAATGATTAATTAACGGAGAATATATAACAATCACAAGCATTTGTACACTGAACCAAAGAGTCCCCAAAATTTGAAGTGATAACTATCGGAATTTAAGGGAGAAGTGGACAGTAATACAATAAGAGTTTAGAACGTCAATATCCCATACCCAGTAATGGATATAACATCTAGACAGAAGATCAATAAAGAAATAGAAGACTTGAACAAAACTATAAACCAATTACATCTAACAGATATGTAGAGAACCCTCCTGACAGACACATAAAGAACACTCAATCCAACAACAGCTGAATACATATTCTTCTCCAGGGCACATGGAACATTATCCAAAACAGGTCATATGTTAGGCCACAAGATAAGATTCAATAAATTAAAAAAATATTAAAATTACACATCATATAATCTTCAACCACAATAGAATGAAGCTAGAGTTTAATAACAGTAGGAAAACTGAAAAAAATCACAAATATGTAGAAATTAAACAACACACTCTTATATTACCAGTGGATGAAAGAAAAAAATCACAAAAGAAATTAGAAAACACAGATAAATAAAAATGAAAACACAACATACAAAAATTTATGGAATGTAACAAAAGCAGTGCTGAGGGAAATTTATAGCAGTTTGCACCAATATTAGAAAAGAAGAAAGTTCCTCAAATCAGTAGCCTAACATGACACTTCAAGAAACTATAAGGAGAAGAGCAAATTAAAGCCAGCAGAAGAAAGGAAATAATAAACATTAGATGGGAGACAAATAAAATAAAGAATAGACAAACAAGAGAATTAATAAAATGAAAACATGGTTCTTTGAAAATAATCAAGAAAATAGACAAACTTAGCTAGACTGACAAAGAAAAAAGAAGATTCAAAATACTAAAATCAGAAATGAAAGAGTGGACATTACTACCAACCTTACAGAAATAAAAATGGTCAAAAGAAAATGCTGGCGAGTCAAGATGGCAAACTAATTGAAGCCAGAAAGAGCTTCTCCCACTGAGATCAAGTAGACTAGCTCACTCCAAACAGACCCCCAGAAACAAGACATTGAGAGTGGACAGGCCAGACACGGTGGCTCACATCTGTACTCCCAGCACTTTGGGAGGCTGAGGCAGGCGGATCATTTAAGGTCAAAAGTTCCAAGAGTTCAAGACCATCTTGGCTAATGTGATGAAACTCCCTCTCTACCAAAAATACAAAATTTAGCCAGGCATGGTGGCGAGTGCCTGTAATCCCAGCTACTTGGGAAGCTGAGGCAGGAGAATCACTTGAACCCAGGAGAGGGAGGTTGCAGTGAGCCGAGATGATGCTGCTGAACTCCAGCCTGGCGGACAGAGTGCGACTCCCTCTCAAAAAAGAAAAAAAAAAAAGAGTGGACAGAGTGAGGATGCAGACACCAGACTGAAAGGAGAGGAAGCTGAGAACCCTGCACAGGTTTGCCAAGCACCAGGACTCATTCCTGGCCCCAAGTGGTCCCCAGGGAAGAGGTGAGTGAAGAAGGCATGGAGTGGCCCATTCTCACCATGGACCTCTGGGATCCTAGCTGTGGGAGATCCCGCAGCCCTCAGAGAAATCTGAGCTGGCAGGGAGAACTGCCCAGAGAGTTTGAAGAAACAGAACTCCAGCCTGCACAGAGCCCCAAGCATTTGGCATGGGAATGGCTTTCAGTGGAGCATAGCCATGTGTGCCTAGCCCCCAAGGCTCACCATCCTCCTCTAGGTGGCTGTAGCCCTTGTGAGCTTGGCTGCCAGATCTAAAGAGAGCAGGGCTGCCTTGCCCATGGGACAAGACCAGTGTGATGTGAGTGCCCCCCCAATCTGTTGGCCTCTCCCAGGGACCTTACCTGATGGCACCTGCTTGCAGCACAGCCTCAGCTTGCCAGCATACATTGCAATAGCTGTTTCACCTGCAGAACCCACCTAACCATTGGAGTACTTTTGCAGACAGACTGCCACCAGTGCACACCTGTCAGCAGCATTCCCTCACTGATGCACACCTGCCCACAGCCTTCCCCCAGTAGCATGAACCCACCCACCCTCAGCATTTACCCACCAGTGCACACTTGCCCATAGCCTCCCTCCGCTGCCTTCCCAGCACACACACATGCAGGGACCCACTGCCACCACCCACCACCAGCACGCAAGAGCATGGAGACCCCTACAGACTCACCAGTGCATGTGTGGGCACAGACCTGCCGTTACCTTGCTGGAGCGCTTTTGCCAGAGGCCTCCATTGGAGTGTTATTGCTAGTAGACTGGGAACATCTTGGCTCCTTCAGTCCAGCAGATGCTTACTTCCAAATGACTGCATGAGTTCCACAGTACTTGTTCTTAACTTGACTGAAATGGCTGAAATGACAGACATAAAATTAAGAATCTGGATGGCAAGGAAGCTCATTGAGATAAAGGAGAAGGTTGAAATACAATCCAAGAAACACAAGAAAATGGTCCAAGAGTTGAAAGACAACACAGCCAGATTAAGAAAGAAAAAAAAAACCAACTCAAGATGGATTAAACACTTAAATGTAAAACCTAAAACTATAAAACCCTGGAAGATAAATGGTGGGGAGGTGGTATGACCATGCAATGATAGCATAAGAAAATATTTGGTAGTGATACATCTGTCCCATACTCTAATTGTGGTAGTAGTAACATAAATCTATATACGCATTAAAATTTATAGAATTTTACTGTAAAATAAATCAGTTTTACTCTATGAAAATTTAAAAAGGAAAAAGTCTGTGCAATGCCACTAAAACAATACTTAGGGGAAATTTTATAGCATTACATATACATCAATATCAGAAGTAAAGAGTGGTCTCAACATTATGATTTCAGCATCCACCTTAAGAAAATGGAAAAAGAAGAGCAAATTAAACCTAAAGTAGGTAGAAAAAAAAATCACAACAAAAATCAGTGAAATAGAAAGCAGAAAATAGAGAAAAATCAATGAATCGAAAAGTTGGTTTCTTTGAGAAGTCAACAAAATTGATGAATCTCTACGCAGGTGATCAGGAAAGTAAGACAGAAGACAAATTATCAATGTTAAGAAAGAGAGAGATGGCATTATTATAGACTCTAGAGATTTTAATAAGAGAAGGGAATGTTATGAAGACCTTCATGCCAATAAATTACACAACTTACATTAAATGGAAAAAATCCTTGATAGGTACAAACTAACAAAGCTAACTCAAGATGAAATAGATAGCTTAAATAATTCCACATCTAATGAAGAAATTAAATTTATAGTTTAAAACTGTCTCACAAAGGAAACTACAGGCCCAGATGGCTTCACTGTTGAATTCTACCAAATATTTAAGCAAGAAATAATGTCATTCCTAAAAATTCTCCCAAAAGCTTGAAGGAAAATAACTGCTTCCCAACTCATGCTAATCCTAGGTTCAAAAATATTCTAGAACAGGACGAGGATGCCCACTTTCACCACTCTTATTCAATAGCAATCAGGCAAGAGAGAGAAAAAAAGGGCAACCAAATTGAAAAAGAAAAAGCCAGTTATCCCTGTTTGCTGATTATATCTAGAAAACCCTAAAGTCTCCACCAAAACACTCTTAGACTTGATAAATGAATTCAGTAAAGCTTCAGGATATAAAATCCACATACAAAAATCAGTAGCATTTCTATACACAAATAACAGTCAAGCCAAGAACCAAATCAAGAAGACAATTCCATTTACAATAGCCACAAAAAAATACCTAGTGATATATTTAACCATGGAGATGAAAGATCTCTACAAGGAAAACTACAAAACACTAATGAAAGAAATTGTAGATGACACAAACAAAAGGCAAAACATCCTATCCTCATGAATCTGAAGAATTAATATCATTAAAATGGCAAAACTGCCTCAAGCAATTGCTTTAGATTGCTACAGATTAAATGCAATCCCTTTCAAAATATCAATGTCATTTTTCGTAGAACTAAAAAAAAATCCTAAAATTTGCACGGAACCAAAAAAGAGCCCCAATAGCCAGAGTGAGCTTAAGAAAAAAGAACAAAGCTGGAGGCATCACATTACCTGACTCCAAATTATACTACAAGGCTACAGTAAATGAAAAAGCATGATAGTGGTATAAAAATAAACATGTAAATCAATGGAACAGAATAAAGAACCCAGAAATAAAGGCACATATTTAAAGCTAACAGATTTTTTACAAAGCCACAAGAACATATACTGGAGAAAGCACACTGGGTTCAATAAATGGTGCCGGGATAACTGGATTGCCATATGCAGAAGAATGAAACTGGACCCCTATCTGTCACCATATTAAAAAAAATCAACTCAATAATGATTAAAGACTTAAATGTAAAACCCAAAACTATAAAAATACTAGAAGAAGGCCTAGGGAAAACTCTCCTGGACTTTGATATAGGCAAAGAATTTATGCCTAATATCTCAAAAGCATAGGCAACAAAACCAAAAACAGACAAATGGGATTTAGTTACACTGAAAAGCTTCTGCACAGTAAAAGAAGTAATCAACAGGGTGAACAGAGACAACCTGTAGAATGAGAGAAAATATTAGCAAACTATGCATCTGACAGGAGTCTAATATTCAGAATTTACAAGGAACTACAATAACTAAAAATAAATAAATAAATAAATAATAATTCTATTAAAAAAGTGGGCTGGCCGGGCACATACGCCAGTAATCCCAGCACTTTGGGAGGCCGAGGCAGGAGGATTCCCTGAGGTCAGGAGTTCAAGACCAGCCTGGCTAACATGGCAAAACTCCATCTCTACTAAAAGTACAAAAATTAGCCAGGCGCGGTGGCAGGTGCCTGTAATTTCAGCTACTCAGGAGGCTGAGGCAGGAGAATCACTTGAACTCGGGAGGCAGAGGTTGTAGTGAGCGGAGATCATACCACTGCACTCCAGCCTGGGTGACAAGAGCAAGACTCTGTCAAAAAATAAAAAATAAAAAAAAAGGCTAAGGACATGATGAATAGTTATTTTTTAGTAGAAGACAGAAATGGCCAACAAGCATAGGAAAAATGGTCAACATCACTAATAATCAGAGAAATTAGAATTAAAACTGCTGTGAGATATCATCTTACACCAATCAGAATCGCTATTGTTAGAAAGACAAAAAATAACAGATGTTGGAGAGGATGTGGAGAAAAGGAAATGCTTATACGTTGTTGGTGAGAATGTAGAACCTCTATGGAAAACAATATGGATATTTCTCAAAGAAGCAAAAGTAAAACAACCAATCTCAGTACTGGGTATCTACCCAAAGAAAAAGGAACCATTCACAATAACAAAGATATGGAACCCAACCTAAGTGTTTATCAACAGATTACTGGATAAAGAAAATGTGGCACACACACATACACACAAAATAGAATACTATTCAGCCATAAAAAGAATGAAATCATGTCTTTTGCAGCAACATGGATGGAACTGAGGCCATTTTCTTAACTGAAACAACTCAGACACAGAAAGACTAATACTGCATGTTCTCACTTACAAGTGGAAGCTAAATAATGTATACACATGGACATAGAGAGTGGAATGATAGACAATGGATACTTGGAAGAGTTGGTGGATGGGAGAGGGTTGTATGATCAGAAATTACTCAACGGGTACAAGGGATTTTTTTCCGGTAATGGATACACTAAAAGCCCTGACTTCACCACTATGTAATATATCCATGAAACAAAATTACACTTGTACCCCACACATTTACACAAGTAAGAAATAATGTCTTGTTTATGTCATCAAAGGCATAATTCATAAAAGAAAAAAGGATGGTAAATTGGATTTCATCAAAATTAAGAACTTCTTCTTTTTAAAAGACATTGTTAAAAGAATGAAAAGGCAAACCATAGTCTGGAAGATAATATTAGCAAATCTGATAAAGCTCTTTTATCCAGAATTTGTATTCCACAAAACACTAAAAACTTAATAATAAGCAAAGAAGTTACCCAATGAACAAATGGGCCAAAGATTTGAACACATATTTCACCAAAGAAGGTATTTGGATGGCAGATAAGCACATGAAAAGGTGCTTAACATCATTCATCATTAGGAAATACAAATAAAAACTACAATGAGATAACACTTCACACACTAAGATGGCTATAATAAGATAGAAAATAATAAATGTTGGCAAGGATTTGAAGGAACTGGTATTTTTGTACATTTCTGGTAGGAATGTGAAATTTGACAATAGCTTTGGGAAATATTTTGGAAATTTATTTAAAAGTTAAACGTACACCTGCTATACTATCCAGCCATTCCACACTTATTTACCCAAGATAAATGAAAGCATATGTTCATACGACTTGCACACAAATGTTTATAGTAGCTTTATTTGTAATAGTCAAAAGCTGTAAGCAACCCAAATGTCCATCAACAGGTAAATGGATAAGCAAATTGTGATACATCCATACAATGAGATAACAGAAAAAAAGAATGTTTGATACACACAGCAGCATGAATGAATCTCACAATAATTAAGCTGGGTGAAAGGTGCTAGATTGAAAAACAAGAGTACCTATAGTATGATTCTATTTGTATGAACTACAGGAAATACAATATAATCTATTTTGATAGAAAGCAAATTGGTGTTTCTCTGGGATGAGGGAAGGGAAGTGATATAAAGAGGAAGATTACAAAGGGGCATGAAGAAACTTGATGATGAAGGATATGATAATATCTTGATTATGGTGACAGTTTCACAGGTATATATATATATATATATATAGGCATATGATAAGCTACATATATTTAAGGTGTACAGTTTCATAAGTTTTGATGTCAAAACTTATATATGTAGTTTAAAGATATGTGGTTTATTGTATGCCAATTACACATCAAAAAACTGTTAAAAGCAACATTAGGGAGATATGGTGTTTCATTTATCTGATTACCAATTTGTAACATGCTTGACAATGCTTAAGGCAAGTACAGATGTGGTCATATAGTCACTATCAGTTCACTACTGGTGATACCATGAAATGACACAAACATTCAAGAGAGTCAAGCTGGATACATGCATCACAGTTTAAATGTGCACAGCCATCTGAATCAGAAATTCCATGACTGGAAATATATTATAACTAAATAATGGACAAGTGTAAAAATGTGTACAGGATGAGGGCAATAGCATTGCTTCTAAAAGCAAGTAAATACATATTCAGCAGTAGGGTTATGGTGGAATAAATTATGCACAGCCACACAATGTATATAGTATTATGGACTAAAAATTATGCGTGCCTCCAGATACTCGGGTCACACAGGAAATAAAACTTGACTCTTAGAGAGAAAAGTTTACAATCACCAAAACTCTTATAAGTGCCTGAGTTCATTTTGGCTTCCAGGTCCTCAAACATACTGTTCCATTTGTATGCAACACTTTCCCTCACTCTTCTCCTAGCTAACTCCTACCAAACTTTGCGTCTCAATCTAGACCACTTACTTACTCATACATACCTTCCCTGACCACTAAAAATTAGGCTGATTCCCCTGATTCATGCTTGTATGCATCATTCAAGATTTTCCTAATCAAAGGCAGCACCTGTTATACCCACCTTTCTAAATTCCCTGTTTGCTCTAATAGACTGAGACCTCATCCTTAAAATCCCAATGAGTGGACCAGTGCCTAGCATATAATAAATGTTCAGTAAATTTGATTCTTAAATGAGTAAAGTATCTGGCACATAGTAGATGTTCAATTAGTGGTAGCTAGCCATTGTTATTGCTACAACTAGAGCTGGCAACCCGAGTGAAGAAGAATATTTGGAAAGGAGTCTGAGCTTGGAGCCAAAAGTTAGGTCCTAGAAACTGTCCCTGGAGGAACAAAGAGCTGAGAGTTTTCCCTTTCCTTCCCCCACAGGTTTTGTAATAATTTGGGAGTTTTGTTGTTTTCTTTTTTCCCTTCTGCTATACAATATGAACTATGTGATCACAGTTGACAATGCTGACAAATAAAAAAGAAAATCAAAGGCATTCAAAATTTCAATGCCAGCTTCCATTTCTTTAATAGCTCATATTTTGGCTGTAGAACCCTCATTCACTTAGAAGCACTTCTCTCAGTCTCCAGTACTGTGAGAAAATAAATTCCTGTTGCTTAAGCCTCCTAGTCTGTGATATTTTGTTGTGGCATCTCAAGCGGACTAAGACAATGTAGGAAAAGTGCCTGAAATGGGAAATCATGATTTAGAAGCATCTGATATCCATGGGACTGAATTAGGAAATTTTTCACTACTAGAAACAAAACTAAAGAGCTTTACTCACTTGAGTACAGTGTAACCTAAAATATTGCCTTACTAAAATAGAAAAGTCACCTGTTTTTCAGAGTTTTAAAAGTCAACTTCTAAATGATTTTCTGCATAGCATCTTACCAGGAGATTGCTACTTGAATACTGAAAGAAAATTGACTCTCTTTTAAATATGAAATGACTTTTAAATATATTTTACTATTTAACTATTTTAATCTTAAAATGCTTTCTAAACACTGTGCATTCTCATTTTCTTCTTAAGCCTTAAATGTTAGACTTGCTTATGTCTATGCATTCTCTCTAGGTAAGCTCATCCTCCTTCTTTCATTTGCCATCTGTGTGTTGGTGATTCCTTAATCTCTAAATGTACCCTGGATGTCTTGAGAAATCCCACACTCCTTTATTTAGCAGCCTGCCTAATGGGCTTCTCCAGTCAGATGTCCCAGGGTACCTCAAATGAAACCCAAACTGAACTCATAGTCATTTCCTCTCTAAAACCTGCTCCTCCTGTTTTATGTCTCAGGAAATGGTACTATCATCAAATTATCAATGGTCCAGAGGAAAAACAAATGCCCTTTGAACTCATCATGAACTACTCTCTTCCTTTTCTTTGTCATAGCAAGTTGATCACCAAGTCTAGTCTATTCCACCACATGAATATCTCTACCATCTGTCCACTTCTCTGCATCTCTGCTGCCATTAGTATACTCAGCTATAAAAGGATATTAAAAGGGGATATTAAAAGGGGATATTAACAAATTCACCATGAATTTGTTACCTGAGGTCCAGACATCTGTGTGCTAAAGAGAGCCATCAACAATCATAGACTAACATTACATTGCAGGGCACACTAAGCGCTGATGCTAACCAATGGTAAAAGTTTCTCAAGCCACAGTGTCCCTTCTAGGAAGGATAGTGGCTCATTTAGTCGTTGATTGCTGACAAGAAAAGGAATGTTGTAATAATGAAGTTGATTCCCTTTTGTAGCTTCCAGGTTATAAAGATTTTTATTAATCTTGAAGTGTTGACTTCTGACAGTTATGGAGGAGGTGGAGATGGCCTGTAGATGAGCTCCGGCCTCAGAGCCATTCAAGACTCTCAGTCCTCTGGAGGGGGAAGGGAGGTTTATGTCAGCTGGGATATCCGCCATTGCCTTGTCACACATCCCCACCCTTCACATACACCAGTCCCTACTCCTTCAGTCTACTCCCATACCCGACACTCGGCTTTGTCATAAGGGTATGGGATATGATATCAAACAAACCTGGGCTTGAACCCAGGTACAAAACTTAACACTGATGTTGAACAAGTATTTGTTTCTGTTATGTCCCAGATGCCTCATCTTTAGAATTACAGGAATAATAGTAACTATATTATAAATGGAATATGCAAAATGCCTGGCACAGACAAGCTGCTCAAGAAATGGTCGACATTTTTATTGATGTTCTGCCCCCATTCCTCTCCTGTGTCCATACTTCTTTTTTTTTTTTTTTTTTTTTTTTTTTTGAGACGGAGTCTCGCTCTGTCGCCCAGGCTGGAGTGCAGTGGCGGGATCTCGGCTCGCTGCAAGCTCCGCCTCCCGGGTTCACGCCATTCTCCTGCCTCAGCCTCCCGAGTAGCTGGGACTACAGGCGCCCGCCACTACGCCCGGCTAATTTTTTGTATTTTTAGTAGAGACGGGGTTTCACCGTTTTAGCCGGGATGGTCTCGATCTCCTGACCTCGTGATCCGCCCGCCTCGGCCTCCCAAAGTGCTGGGATTACAGGCGTGAGCCACCGCGCCCGGCCCATACTTCTAAGTAAGTAAGAAATCTCCATGCCAGGCTTCCACCTGCAAAAGAGAATGAGAATGCCCACTCTTCAGTAATGTTGTGAAGGTTCGATAAGATAAAGTATGCCAAATTTTGAACAGACAAGTGCTGAGTAGATGGTCTATCTCAGAGGGACTAGCGTCAGAACCTTCACACGGAACCAGAAGCAAGGATACAGGTGAGCAAGCAAATTCTGGTGCCCTAGGGGGCTCTCCTGCCTCAGCTTATGTGCACACAGCCATGCAAATGCACAGAGGGCTGAGTCTAAGGGTCTCCCCCGCTTGATCAGTATGGGCTCAAGAACTGGGAAAACCTCAGGCTGAAGGCCAAACACACTAATGGCTCCAACTGAGAGATGTTAAGGAAGGAAGATACAGTGCCTCATTTATTCATTTGTTCGTTCATTCATTTGATCCATCATGTCTTAATTTTGAGGATTTTCTATGGGCCAAACCCCATTGAGCTAGCAAGGCACACAACCCAGCACCTAAGGAATATAGACTAGTGATGGGAAACAAGTAAGAGCCTCCTCAGGAGGATCATCTTGTGACCAAGAGGCCCTTGGATGAGGAGAGGCTGGAGGTGAGGTAAAGAAGAAGAAGGTGCCTGCTGCATAAATCTACACAGACAACCCTGTAAGACAGGGAGGGTGGTGGTACTGGGAATAGCATTATTAATGACCCACAGAGAGAATGAACAATGTCTGCACCATCAGGGGAAGTGTATCAAAACTCCTGACTCCATCACCTGTCAGGGATTTGATACCAGGTCTGTTATTGTGCCAGTCACAGCCTCAGATGCCTCATATCTACATTGGGCATCCAAATGACAGTGACCACCTAGAGATAATGCACATGAAGAATGGCAGAACAAGTTATCTATTCTTGATATTATGAATATTAATAATATGGATTTCAGATATATGTTGAAGTAGGAAATGCAACCACTGTTCATTGCCTAAGAGTAAGTGATGCAGCGGGTAACACCTGGGGAAACTTTAATGTAATTGAGTACTTTAAAAACTTTTTTTGAGGATGCAGTTATCCCATGTCTGCCTCCAGATTCATTCCCATTCCTAAAGAGAAAGAATGAAGAACTGGTGGTGTTCCCATTAGGAAAATGTATGGGCATGTCCAAGAGGAGCAAAAAAAAGCTACTCTAAAGGCACCAGTGTTAGGCACTGAAGTCGCAGAAGAGCATGCAGCCTTATTTAATGCGTTGAATCATTTGGCACCTTTTGTTCAGATTACCTCTGATGTCACTTGGGGCATGTCGGCATCCTGAGATGCCAGAGGACCCCAGGATGCATTTCGAGAAGCATCATCATACCTGTGATGATGGGCTCAATTTGGGGTTCTAAGGACAATTGTCATTCTGAGAAGAGTCCATGGGAAACCGAGTATGGGTTTACTCATGCTTAAAGAGAGAATATTCTCCAAGACACAAATGTCATAGGCAATGTCTACTCTCCCACAATTCTGCAGGCAGGCTGCACCTTGCTTTGCTCTGTGACTGTGTGTTGTGGGAGGCCGAGCATTAGTATGGCTTAAGCAGTCATTTAAAATCCAATGATACTTCAGTAGGACAAGGCACCCAAGAGAAGCACAAGGCAGCTGACCTGCTTCTCCTCCTGTATTCTGAATCTCATCTCCTACCCAAGCCAGAACCTGGATGCCCCACTTAACCTGTTTTCTCTCCCTCACTGCCAAGATCCAAGAAATCCACAAGGCTTATTGTTGCTGTCTTCTAAATGTCTCTCATATTCATTTCCTTCTCTCCATCCTCACTCTATTTCAGGTCACCACTATCTGTAGCCTGGATGAGGGTCTTCCACTCTCCCTTTTCCCCTCCCACATAGTCTGTTTTTCTCCATACTGCAGCCAAAGAGATTTTGCTAAACCACAGATCTGATCTCCTCAGTTCCTTGCTGGAAAACATTCAGTGATGCCCCTTCCAGTGCCTTTGGGGTAATGTTCAACAAACCTTATACACTGCAGAATTACGTTGTCAGACAAGCCTCTGCTCTCTATTAAAGATTCAGGAAAAAGCCATAAATTATCTCTATTCTGACTGAAGTAAGAAGGAAGAATTTTAAATCATTCATTAAACATCCTGAAGATAAACTTGGGTCTCATACTCAGTTGGAAATATTACCCATTTGAGAAAATTCTAGTAAACTAACAACAGAACTTTTATTTCAGCATTGTTTTTAGAAGGTTAAATAAGTTGGAAATACAGTACGCCCTGCCAACAGGCAGATGCTTGAAGATATTATGGGAAATCAATTGCAAGGAATATCATTCAGCCATTAGAATGAAAGAATTAGAGGTATAAATTGAGGGGATTTCATTATTTATTAGGAAAAAGGTTAACCTGGAAATTCAATATGGAATGGTCTGATTTTTATAAATCAAACAAAGTAGAAAGTCGTGTGCTCTATCTAAACATATACATGCCAAAACATCAGTAACCCTACTCATTGATGCTGATCCTAGAGCAATGCATGCACATATTCACAGGGGACATGCACACAAATATTAATAAGAGTATTATTTTGTTTTGGAAAAATGGGAACTGCATAAGTGTGGGTCATTAGGAACAAGATAAACTGAAAATGATGAAATGTTAAAAACTAAAATAAATGAACTAGAGGTCCATGTATCTACATGGGTAAACATAAAAAATATAAACTTGAGCTGGAAAATCAAAGTGCTGAACAATGTATACAGTATAGTGTGCTTTAAATAAAGGAAGAGATCCCATGTTGTGTATCGGCATATAAGTAGGTGGCAAATATATACAAGTCTCCATGGGTATAATGATTGCTGACTTCATCATAGTGGAGCACAGTGGGGAAGGAGAGAGCAGAATGGGTCAGGGAAGACATAAAAGGAGTGTTTTACCATATCCAATATATAAAAGATAGACAGTAAGTAGGGCCTAATATTTAAATTTTACACAACTAGCCATTGGTGTTTATAATATTAATCTCTCTTCTTGTCCCCATGTTTGAGATTAATTCACAGCAAAAATATTTCATGCTAAAAACAAGCAAATAAGCTGCAAAAGTACTCCCACCACTTTTGCTTCATGAGGGTAGGAGTGTACATGCTATGGACTTCCATGCAAGATCCAAATTCCTGGAAACTGTAAAATACACCCATACTTGCACTGAAAAACATTTCAGAGCAATTATCAGTGGACTAGAAACTGTAAGAAGACTCAGAATGTGGGACAGCAGATGGAGCCAGACTACTGGTTGGAGTAAGCCGTGACCCAGAACGAGTGCAAAGGTAATCCCAAATGGAGGGCTGGCTCAAGAGTGCACTATGTCCTGGAGAGGTGCTTTCTTTCCTGAACCAAATTGGTCTATTGCTAGACTTACCCAATAGGAGGACTCGGTAGGCTCTAATTATAAAGAAAATTGCAGCCAGACAGGCATAAAGTATTCATTTGTTTCTTAAGAGTTCAGTAAGGAACACCTATAAAATATTTTCCATCATGCATTCCTTCAGCACGCATTTATTAAATGCCACACTCACACACCGCTTGGAAAACCTTGAGAGGCAAAGTCTGTGCTTACCATGTAATAAATGCTTTTCAGTTATTATCTCATTTAATTCTCACAACCTATGAGGCCAGTACTATAATTAACCCCACTTTACAGATGGGAAACAGCTTAAACTATTACCTTGAATGACATAAGAAAGATACAGAGTGCTAGCTATAGGGCTTTCCTCAATGGAGTAAAAAAGGACTCATTACCCTTTTGGACAGATCAAGACAAGCTTCAGGGAGAAACAAGTCTGTGAGCAGCCAGATGGAATTTAGCTAGTTGGAAAAGGCTGAGAAGGCAGGTCAGGCAGAGCAAACAGTGAGCAAAAGCAAGCAGTGGATAAAGTTCAGAGTATGCTCTGAAAGAAGCAAAATAAATCAGGTGTCCAGGAAGACTGGAGCCTAGAAACCTTAAAGCCAACCTGCACTCCGTCACCCCCTCCCCTACTTATATGGACATATAAGTAGGTAGCAAATATATACAAGTCTCCATGGGTATAATGATTGCTGACTTCATCATAGTGGAGCACAGTGGGGAAGGAGAGAGCAGAGTGGGTCAGGGAAGATGTAAAAGGAGTGTTTTACCATATCCAATATGTAAAAGATAGACAGTAAGTAGGACCTAATATTTAAATTTTATACAACTAGCCATTGGTGTTTATAATATTAATCTCTCTTCTTGTCCCCATGTTTGAGATTAATTCACTTCATCCATTCTGTCTGCAAAGCCCTTCAATGGTCACCTTTAAAATGCCTTTCTGCCTCTCCATCCCCATGGCAACAGCCTTAAGGCATACTTTAGTTCCCAGTGCTTTTTATTCTAATTGCTTCCTATGTGGTCTGCCAGGAGATAGTCCGCTCTTCTGAGAGACTGCACAAACACAATTCTTCTGATCCTGTCAGTGCCCTGCATTTTTATATACATATATATACATACATATATATGTGTACACACACATATGTGTATATATATACATATATATACATATATATGTGTGTACACACACACATATACACATATACATATACATATA
Organism: Homo sapiens; assembly: GCF_000001405.40. Lineage (NCBI taxonomy): Eukaryota > Metazoa > Chordata > Mammalia > Primates > Hominidae > Homo > Homo sapiens. The sequence goes on along the minus strand of NC_000023.11, from coordinate 55,523,342 downwards.
TGGCATGCATATATCTATCACATTTTAAAGACTCTGCACCTCTTTCACCCTGCTTGTTTCCGCAGTCCCATCTCCTCACATCACCCAGCATACCTGCCATAGCAATATTATTCAGTTCCTACACGGGACCACGAATTGATTAGTATACACATAAATGCCTTCGGAAACAGGGCGAGTGAATGAATGCTCTGTGTAAGCCAAGACAGGAAAAGAAGGCTGGGACAGCTGATTCCTTCCAAGAATACACCGTCCTGCCACGCCTGGCCTCCCAACCCCCCAACCACACACACAGCCCGCCTTCAGTGTGAACGGAGTAGATTCTCACTACTTCCTTAGACCTGAGAGCTATTATAGAATGCAAGGACTGGTTGCCATCCTCTTCTCAACTCCTTTCCCTGCACCCTCCTCCCTTGGCTGCCAGCCTCCCATTCTCAACTGCAGACCACCCACCTCCTCTGCAGGAGTCAGAGGTGGGAAGTACTGGAAGTGGGGCGGACAAAGTCATATGAGGGGAGCCCTGTGACGGGAGGCTGCTGGGAAGGAAGTCTGGAGGGCTGTAGGTAGGCGTGGTTAGTCAGGAAGCTGCAGCACGGAAACCAGCTACACAATGGGATAATGGTGGCATTTTACTGCCTGCGGTAGGGATCACATTGTCAGTGGCAGTAGAGGCGTTGGCCGTGGCCGGCCGCAGCTGTGGCTGCAGAGCTAGGGAAGGTGGAGGGGCTGAGGCAGGAGGCAGCAGTAGAGAAAGTAGAGACAGTAATGATAGAGGCAGTGGTGGCAGCAGTGGGAGTAATATCAGCTGAAGCGACCAGTTTCTAAGGCTGCACTGTAGTACGTTACTCCCTCCTGCCCTCCAGGCTACTATGGTTTGTATGTACCCATCTCTGACTTACATGCGTGAATCACATCCCCCATTCTCCCCCCACTTCCCCAACACCACTGGACACAAGCTCTGAGGATAGAATAGTGAGTCTCTTCGAAGCTCACAGGGTGTAGGAGAGAATGGAGGTGCCGGCAGTGATATACAGGGCCTGATGGCTTCACAAGGCCCAGGGACTTCCAGGACCTTCAGGGTCTTCTTTGGTCCAAGCACCTTGGGGATGTCAAACAACCTGGAGACTTAGAGTCCCTGTTCACTTTGCCCCAACACCTGGAGGGGCATGGGCTGGGTTCCTAACATATTGTGGAGGCTGAGTTCTTCACAAGGATTGAGTACTTCCTGGATGGGCCCAACAATCTGGAGGGATCCCACAGCTTAGCAGAGACTGTTTGGGGGACTTCAACCTCCTGGCTGGACCCAGCCACCTGGCAGAACCTGAGGACCTGGCAATGTCCAAGTGCCGCTATAAGTCCCAGCATTTGGCAAGGCCTGAGTACCTGGCAGGGCCCTCATCCCTCAGAGATCCAGAGCTGTTGGCTGGGCCCCAGCACCTGGCAGGCCCCTGACAATTGAAGCACCCAAGCACTTGGTAAAGCCCTAGCACCTCCAGAGGCTATGGTAATCCACAGGGCCAGAGGACATCTGAGACTCCTAGCACTATGCGGGTACCAAGCCCATCTTGGATCCCAAGCACCTCCTGGGGCCCCACTCCTTTAACGGGTCATAGCAACTCCCAAGTTTGCAGCAGCTCTCATGGCTGGAATAATTCTTATGACTGCTGCACTTCTCAGGGTCAGAGCACTCCTAGGAGACCCAGTGTCTCTGAGATTCCTAGTACTTCACAAGGCTTGGGTGCATCAGAAACTCCAAACACAAACACTTACTGGGACCTGAGCACTTTGGAGACCCCAAGCCCTTCGCAGGGCCTGAGTAACTGGGAGGCCCCAAGCACTTCCAGTATACCAAATGCATCCATAGCCTCCAGCATATCAAGGAGCCCAAGTACATCCAAGCAAGGTATATCAAGTGACCCCAGCATCTTAGAGGTTACCAGAACTTCTGAGGTCCCAAGAACCTTGAAATCTCAGATCACCTTAAAGTATCCTGGCATCTTGAGGGCTCCAAGAGTTTCTAAGGGCCTCAGGACCTCTGAGGTCCCTAGTGGTTCAAAATCCCTGAGCATTCTTGATATCCTAAGAACCTTAAAGGCTACCAGCATCTTCGAGGCTCCCTGTACCTCAAAGGACCCCAGAATCACTAGGGCTAGAAGCACCTTGAAAGGGCCCAGCACCACTGAGGTCCCAAATACCTTGAAGACCCTGAGCACTTTAAATGTTCCAAGCACCTCAGAGACAGTGAGTACCTCAAAGGCCTTAAACATGTCGAAGGTCTCAAGTATCTCACAGTCCTCCTTAGAAGACTCAAGCACCTCTAAGGCTACCACCACTTTAAAGACCCTCAGCTCCTCAGAGGCTCTAGGCGTGTCAAAAGTCTGGAGGGCCTTAAAGGGTCTAAGCACCTTCAAACCCTACAGAACCTTGAATTGCTTGATCATGTTCGAGGTTCCCAGTACTTCAGAGGCCCCTAAAATCTCAGAGAAACTCAGCACTTGAGGGATCCCTAGATCCTCAGTGGTTTCAGGCATCTCTCAGAATCAAAGAACCTCAAAGGCTTGGGGTACTTCAAGGGCCCAGAAAATGTCAAAGTCCCAAAGCACAATCAAACATGAGAATAATTTCAAAAAAGGTCTCCTAACTGTGATATTAGGCGTCGATTTCATGGTGCTCACTTGAGCTAAGGAAAGCCTCATCTGGGAGGTTCTGCAAAAGTTAGAAGTGAAACTGAAGGAGAAGTACAGAATATTTGGGTACCTGAAAAAGGTAATCACCAAGGAGTTTGTATAGCATGGGTACCTGGAGTATAAACTTGTGAACTATGACAATCCACTGGGGTATGCATTATTTTGGGGTCCCAAAGCCAACCAGAAAAACAGTAAGATGGAAATTTAAAATTTTGTGGCCAAAGTCTTTAACAGGGACCTCTGGGACTGGCCATCACAATACAGTGAAGCTATGAAACAGCTGAAGGCCAGAGACACAGCCAAATACAAAGCACTAACTGATGTCCAGGCCCAAACCCATTCCAGAGTTCCAGCCCCTGCCAGATCCTGTGCAAGTTCCAGTTCCAATTTCAGCTTCCTTCAAATGCTACCATCAGCAACTCCTCATGCAGCTAGTGAAGTATAAGTCACAGCTATCACTTGGTGAGGAGGGGCAACTAGAAGAGCCAGAGTGCCCCAGGACAATGGGTATTACTGATTTGGAAAGAAAGGAAATGAAGAGAAAACAAAATATTTGGTATTAGTGTTTGTGTTTCTGTGGGTAACATTATGATTTAGGTCTTATTTCAATATTGCTGCTTTTCCTCCCTTTAATTACCGGATGTTCACAAGTTATATTCATCATAAGATTTTGGTAAAAGAACACATTCTAAGTATTAATAAGTTTGTGAGGACTTGTTTTCCTGTTGCCTGTACAGGTTCCTCACAAGAGTTTTAACAGTTTTTTAAAACAAAAATCATTTTCATGATATTCTATTATATGAAATATATAGTACATAGGATTTCAATTGAGTGCACTTTAAATATTTGAATGGATTCTTCAGTAAAATAGCCAGGTCATAAAAGGGAAAAACATAAAATAAAACAAGCTCATCTGTATAATCCCCCTGCATTTTTGTGTATGTTATATAAAGACTTACGCGTTCCATGATTGTGCATTGTGACTACAGAACACAGAGAAAAATAAAAGCCTAACAACTAGTACGTCTTGCGCATTTTCTGACCACCTGTTATGTGAGGCACCAGTCTAGATTCTAGGGATACTCCCTAGTACACATCCTCCAGGTCCAAAGAATGTTCTAGATTATGTGGGAAAGAAAAATAGGTAAACTGGCAGTGCAGTAAATGCTGGGATAGAGAATGAGCCTGAAGTGCCATGAAAATGTAAAAAACCTTATGTGACCTGTCTTGGGGAGTGGGCCGGGGAAGGGAGCACCATAGGATGTGTGAAAATTCAAGAGACACTTAAATAAGTTTGGGGGGGACTGAAATATACGATCAGAATATATGATGAAAATATTATGTATTAGATATTTGATTGGATACTCCACCCAGCATAGGGGAGGGAGCACTGGCAAAAAGAAGAGGACATCACAGGGTGCCTGCCACGGAAGTAGAAAATACACAAAAATCATCTTGAGAGGAGGAGGGCAGAGAGAAGGGGTGGTTGCAGGGGAAAAGGTTGTCATGGGGTACTTCAGAAATAAAAAAAGATGAGACCGTCAGAAAATCTTGGTGAGGGGACAATCTGAGGTTTGGAAATAATAGAGAAGAAGGGGAGGGAGTAAAAATGGAGGCACTGAAGGTAGCGTGGACATTTGGAAATAAACTCTTCACCGAACTGTTAAGGTTATATGAAGGGGAAAGTGGAGAACAAGGAATGAGGCAAGGGAAGAAGTGAGCGGGGCAGACCCTCAAAGGGTGGGTGTTGTGGCTGACTTTAAACTAATGACAATAAAAATGGTTAATAATAACAACCCTGAAATAATTCGAGAAAAGGCTATAAAAAAGCAGAACTTCTGAGATACTGGATGAGCCAGAGAAAAGGCTCCACCTGTGGCATCTCCGAAAGGTAACCTTGCACTTCTCTCAGGAACTATGGTTCGTTAGGGTGCACACATTGTTTAAAAGTGTGTGTGTCCAAGGGGGCAAAGGGGCAATGGAGTAAGTCCGGATTGGTACCTGGCACGATGGCCCATGCTATACTAAGTCATGTGGGATCAGGCGCAAATCCTACCACCTTTTCTCCAAGAGCTAAGCACTGCATGAACTAGGTCCCCTGCTGGGGAGCACTAGTGACAAGTGCCCAACCTAGCCCTGTGGGGCTCATGGTAGCAGCTATAACACACAAAAGAGTGGTCAGGCTACCTTCTTCCTTCTTGACATCCAGGCTCACGCTGCTTCCAGCTGTGTGCAAAGTAACGTCACTAGGTGCAGGGTAGGCTAGCAAATGACCTTCTGGAGAAGGCCCAGGGACCCACTCTCCTCAGCTTGCAGGCCAAGGAGGCTTCAAACAAAAGTAGTAACTATGACCCCATCAGCAGCTCCAAATTCATTCAGCAAGCCAGAAAATGGTGAGCGCCTTCTGGGATTCAGACAGTGTGTTAGAAACTGGAGCTGCAGAAAATCAAAAGGCCTGTTCTTTGCCCTGGGAGGAGCTGTATTTATCAATACCACCTCCAGAGGTAAACAAGGTGGGAATCTGAGGTCCAGGTTCCTCGGTGACTTTCTCTTCTAGAGCCACAGAAGTGGCAAGAGAGAGATCCTAGACAAGACCCTATGTCCATTCCCTGCAAACCCACAGTGCTTTCCTCTAGGCCACCCTGCTGCCGGTCTCTGCCTGCTAGTGCACTCTCAAGGTCTCTGTCCTCAAAAGAAACACCACGTGAAGGCAGGGGAAGAGGTGTGAGTAACCCTGGCCGCGGCATCCAATCCTTCTGGGGACCAGGCCGGATTACATTCCTCCCCCGACCCGCCCTTTTACCCAAGGGGGCTTACAGCAGTCAGTCAGCCCCAGGTCAGTCAGCTAGTAAGTGGGAGAGCTGCAGAGTAAAAAGATTTGTTGAGCACCTGCCTGTCCCAGAGGCATGCCACATATTATCTCTGCCAGGCCGGTGTGATTACTGCCCATTTAACAGGATGCTCCTCCGGCTAGCTCAGGGGAAGAGGTAATGTCTTCCCCAACCCTGTCTGAATCCATGCTTTCTTCGGCTCTGGTGGCAAGTTATCATCCAATGGTCTAAAATGGTTCTTTGCAAGTACGGGCCAAGAAGCTTAATTCAGTCAGAGAACCAGCAGTATAAGAGGAGAAAGACTGGGAGAATACCTCCAGCTGCCCTGTCAGAGAGATGACTGCTGGAATCCTGAAGGCCTCAGGCAGGAGGCTCTGCAGGGGATTGGGAAACAAGGGATTGGGTGACAGGTGACCTGCCCTAGCGCAAGAAGGAAGCGATCAATGGGCCAGGCTTATTCTCTTGTGGCCTGGGGGTTCAGTCTCCCTAACACACTACAGGAGTACTGCAAAGAGTTAAACTTCCTTTGATTAGATAAAGGCTGAAGAAGGGCGGGACTTCCGGTGGCTGTGAAATGAAAGACAGGGGTGAGGGAGAGGCAGGGAAAGGGGCTTCTGGAAGGTGGAGAGAAAAAGAAAACATTCACCGTGCCATTTACAAAAATTCTTTGAGCTTTGCGGGGCATCCAGATGAGACATCCAGGTGCAAGCCTCTTGCTGAGTAAATCTGAAACCTAAACTGGCCCCACCCCAGCGGAGGTTCCACAAAGCAAGTGGGAAAGCTGCAGTTTTAGGTGCAAGGATGCCTCTGAAAAGCGATTGAGTTTCTGGGTCCTAGAACACTCCAGTTGTTAGGATAACTCAAGGATAGAGAGCCCCAAGCTGCCCAAAGCCTAGCAAACTTGGCAGCTGGCATTTACCGAGTGCCTAAATTGTTCCAGGCACTTTGATTGCTGTTTTCATGCATTGTCTCTAACTTTGCAGTAGTCCTGCAAGGGAGATGCCACCAGGCCAGGCCGAGTTTACAGAGGAGAAAACCCCAACTCAGATCTCACAAGCAAGTTGCCAGGATCAGCTGGCTGGTCACTGGCAGCCTTGCAGGTGGACCCAGGGCCTGCCAAGTCTGAAGCCCATGCTGCTATGCTACAGGGAAAGACTCCATCTCCAGGACAGCTGGGGCTGGGAAAGTCTTCTGTTTTCAAACTTGGACACATGGCAGGGTAGGAGTGACAGGGAACATGCCGGGGTCAGGTGAGGAGGTGTGGGAAAATAAAATTAATCTGCACTTTCAGGATTAGCTGTGGCAGTCTGTCCCTTTATTTGGAAGGGCTGGGGCCCTATTGCCAGGCATCTTTGAGGGATCATATGTGTGGAGTGAGCATTTCCTTCCAAGACAAGTGGACTTCCCCATCACGACACATTCCCCAGAAACTTAACTACCCAGCACCCTCCATCAGTCCTCAAAATCCTAGGTCCTGGCTTTCCCACGGTGGACCAAGCAAACAACAATGTTTCTGAGCCTGTGACATTGCTCCGATACTGTTGCCAATGCAGAAGATACTGGCAGACCTCTTCCCTTGAGCAGAGCAACCGGGATAAGATGCTGACAGACAGCAAACAGTGGGCATCTGCCCATGAAAAAAAGACAGGTTCCAGGGCATCCTCCTTGGGCCCAGTGTTGCGGCCTTGGCCCCAGCAGGCAAGTGCAGAGCAGACAATGGCCATGACCAAAGGGAGATTTGGATTCGGCCTGGGCTCACGTTGGCTCCTGTGAGGTGGGTAGCGGGCAGGATCCCCCCGACTCTTTTCTTTGGCAGAAAGGTAGAATTCTGGCCTTCTGGAGGAAATTATTTTGGAGTCGTGGTGGAGGTGGAGAAGGGTGATTCTTACGAAGATGTGCTGAGACCTGTACACAGATTCCTCCAGGGCTCGTGAGCCATGGAACAGTTAAATGTCAAAGAGCAGATGGAATTTCTTTGAAAATCCCTGTGAGGGCACTTTGTCAAAGGAGGGGCTCAGCTCAGCCAAGACTACATAGAAGAATAACTGGAGTAATCTGGGGCTCAGAGACTGGAGGAGAAGTGGACTCTAGGCTTGCACTGCTCATCATGCAACAGGCTTGCAAAGCTCACAAGGGTGATTTGGAGGGGAAGGCAGAGTCTATACACAGATAGTGAAAATCAGGCCCAGTTCTTGACTGGTCGACTTCCGCCCCAGTTCCTGTGGCAAATGACACCAGTGTTGCCAATGTTATCTCCACATGTGCAACGCATGAGAAGTGGTTGAGATTCCTCCTGTAACTTGGACCACGGAGGCCTGTGTAGTCTCAATAATAATGTAGCCTATATTATTTTGCATGTTGTGATTATCCAATGATTCATCCATTCACTCTTTCAACGAGTGCTTATTAAGGTCTACTACGTGCCAGTCTAGTCAACTGGGATTCATAGGTGAACAAATCTCAAGCACCCTGGCCCTCGTGAATGGTACATACAAGAGCAAGGAAACAGAAAATAAAATGCAAACCTTTTACATTACTAATTATATAGAAGGGTAGAAGGAGACAATCACTTTGGGTGGGGCAGGTGGTGGTGGTGGTGGTGGTAAGCTAACACACAGCAGGGTAGGGTGCATTCGGGTCGTTGAGAATGGGAGAAGAGAAAGGGAGTAGAGCATTCACTGCCATATGCAAGGGTACACAGGTAGGCTTCATTGGAGGGGTGACATTGGAGGAAAGAAATGAAGAAGGTGAGAGGGTTTGCCTTGCGGATATATAAAGAAAGTACTGTCCGGGCAGAAGGTCCAGCTGGTGCAAACGCTCTAAGGCCAGGGAGTGACTACCACGTTTGAGAAATGGCAGAGAGGCCAGCGTGGTTGCTGTAGAGTGAGCCAAAAGGACGAGAGCAGGAGATGAGGTCAGAGAGATTAACAGAATCCCACATTATGTAGGGCCTGGGAGGCCGTTTTAAGGACCTTAGCTCTTGCTTGGGGTGAAATGTGGGGGGAAGAAGGAGGGAAGCAGTGAGGGGTGGAACAGAGGAGTCATGTGATCTGACACACGTTTGGAAGGGATCACTTTGATTACTTACTATGCCGAGAATAGAGTGAATTCAGGCGAGGGTAGTGGGAGCGTGGAAACCAGGTAGGAAGCTACTGCTGCAAGCCAGGCTAGAGATAATGGTGGTTTGGACCATCCTGGTGTCTGTAGACATGGTGAGAACTGCACAGGTTCTGGAAACATTTTGAGGTAGACCCAACAGAATTCCTGATGGTTTGAATGTGGCATGTCAGCGAGGACCAAGGCTGACTCCAGGGTTTTTTTTTGCCTGAGCAACAAGTAGACTGGGATTGGTATCAATTCCAGTCTACTGGGGAGTGCTGCAGTGAGAATAGGCTTTGTAGGTGGGGAGGGGTTCAAAAATTCAGTTTTGTACACATTGAGTTAAGCTGTCTCTCTGACATCCATGTGAGTCAAGTAGGCAGTTGTATATACAAGTCAGGAATTTGGCTGAAAGATCTATACCTACATATATGTGGATGGCGCTTAAAAGCCACGAGACTACATGAGCTCCGCTAGGGAGGGAGAGCACACAGAGGAGGGCAGAAGGTCACGAACAGAGCCCTGCAGCATAAAGGGATCAGAAAGAAGAGGAGACACCAGCTGAGGAGATGGGGAAATTGGCACCAGTGACGCATGGAGGAAAACCAAGAGTGTCCTGGGAACTATGTGAATAAAAGTGTCTCAAGAGGCATCCAGCGGTCCACTCTGCTCAAACTGCTGATGTCAGGGGAAATAAGAAGAGGAGTGAGAATTAACCATTGCATTTAGCAGTGCGGAGGTTCCTGGTGACCTTAATAAGAGCAGCTTCTTTGGGGGACTGTGTGAAAAAGCCTGCTTGGGACAGCTTTAAGAGAGAATGGGAGGAGAGGAATCAATGAGTATGGACAAGTTTCACAAGGAGTTTTGCAGCAATGGGGAGCAGAGAAATCAGGCGGCATCTGGTGGGGAAAGAGGGAGTCAGGAAAAGGTTTACTTCAGGTGGAAGAAATACCATTGTGCTGAAGGCAAGCACCCGGTGGAGAGACATGAAATCAATAGCACAGGGGTGGCAGAGAGCATCCTTGGAGCAGCAGCTTTGAGTAGGCAGGAGGGCGCCGGGAACTTGTATCAAGGGGAGAGCTGGAGCATGCAGGAGGAGTTGCAAAATAGGGAGCTACTGGAGTGGGTAGATGTCAGCTAGGCATTCTGGCCCTCCTGAACTCTTCTAGCTGAGGTTAGGCACCTGCCTATTTGTTGATTCTGCATGTCTGTTGAGTATCTACTATGCATGAGGCACACTTGTGGGCACTTTACTAACATTTAACACTCCAAACAACCCGTTAGGTGGGTTGTGTCATAATACCATGCTACCTGTGAGAGGTCTGCCGCTCAAGGAGGTCAGCTGGACTGGCCAAGTTCACTTAGCAAACAATTGGAAGAGTAAAGCTTTGAGAGACAGCCTGCCTCTCCAGGTAGGCTTATAAAGCTCACATCTGCTGGCAAGTCAGAGTGTGGGATTACTCTTGCATCCTCTTACACTGGTAACAAGCCTGCCCACTGAACCACAGAAGCTTCTGATGACCACACGGAAGCCACAGTCTCTATGTCTGGGCACCTGCCTCAGTTTCCTGTGTGCCACTGCTACTTCAGTGTGCATGAGCTCGATTCTGAGTCTGAGGCTGAGTGGCAGGGCCTCTCTGTGACCTTGTCTTGCTTAAAACAGACCTCTCCTCTGAAGGCTGGCTCAGCTCCAAGTGGAACAGACACTCCAGAACTACAGAACTGCCCTTCCACTGACTTTTTAAACACCCTTACTACCCGAAGGCCTGCTTTCTCACCAAGTCAGAGAAGTAAGGGCCACTGAGCCCACTGAGCCTTGTGGACGATTATCATCTAGATTGATGGACACACACACACACACACACACACACACACACACACACTCCACATGAATGTGCATGTGATCTGTTCTCATTAGACCTCTCTCTCTCTGTGTGTGTGTGTATGTGTGTGTGTTTGTCTGTGTGTGTGTGTGTGTTTGTGTGTGTGTGTGAGAGAGAGAGAAAGAGAGAGAGAGAGACAGAGAGAGAGAGAGAGGGAGAGAGACCCTACTTCATTCTGTCCTCTTCCTGCTTTTGGCCAAACTTGCTAAGGAATGATCCTATCAAATGAGACCCCCAAAGAAATAAGCTTTATGGTGTGTGGAGCCCCTTCTGCAGGGTAAGCCTGGGTCCAGATATGGCTTTTGCAGGGTTGGGTCTCAGGGTACAGGGTCCAGGCCCATCCTGGGAAAGGAATAAACATTTTGCTGTTCTGAGCCAGTGAGAATGAGGCCAGAGACCACGAGAAGAAAGGAACAGAGAAGAGAATGGCCACTGGGGCCATCCAAGTCTTAAATTGGGAGGGCAGATTATTTTATAAATGAGCTTCTCTAAGGCACACACACCTATCTTCTGCCCACTCCAATAGCCCTGATGACCCAGAAACAGCAATCAAGGACTTTGCGTACCCACCTCCCTCCAGATGGACATTTAGTATCTTTTGACTCTGTTTTCTCTTCATACACTGCTTTAGATAACATGCTTGAATGTGTCTCCCTCTTTTCAGAGACGAGCTCCACCAAGATGCTTCAGAGCCCTGATGCAGTGACTTCCATAAAGGCTGCTGAACTGCTCTGAAGGCATCACTGGCCCACATGATGTGGGGAAGTGAAAAGCCCCACCACGGTTGGATTATCTGCACTTTGGAAATCCTGGTAAGTAGCCATTGATGTAAACTATGCATGTTGTGGGGAAGTATGCTGGTCCTGAAGCCAGAGTGTCTACTTGATCAATAGCTTGGGGACCTGGTCAAAGTTATCTCCCTTGGGCCACCTTCCGTTTACATCTCCAAATACATGAATAATGACTCCTGCTTTATATACATGCTGCAGAAAATACATCAGCTGAACTTCACGAAGCTCCAAACTGTTGCTTCTTGAGCTCTCTGTTATAAAGGAGAAGCATTTAATTTTTTTGTACATCAGTCACTCATGGATCAATACATTCCTGTAACACAAGGAAAGTGAACGAACGACTAGAAAGAAGAAAAATATAGCAAAGACATACAAAATACAAGCCCTGATTATTTCAACATCCAAATGACTCTCACTGCATGCTATAAAACTTCCTAAACATATATTCTTACGCTATAAAACTTCCTAAACTTATACTCTCAAATGCTGTACTTACCGCAGAGAGGTAACAAACTTTTGCGAAGCGGCAAGAGTCCATGGACTGCTTTCGTCAGTGATGCTCTGGCTCAGCAGCACCTGACCCATCACATTCATTGACTCGGTGGTTACTGTTGCAAGGGAGTTATTACAAAATATGGTTCTTATCATGAAGGAGCTTCAACAACAAGAAATTGCAACTAAAGAGTAGAAGAAATGCAAAAGGTTCAACTGCTGCCTGTCATGAGAGCTGTGAGCCCCTGAAGCAGCACAGGAGTTCAAAAAGCATATATCACAGTGTGCATGACTTCCGTTGGGCCTTGACGATCAAGAAAGGATGGAACTTATTTTGTAGTGTTTTGTATTCTGTGATTGCAGGAAAGGAGCTTGATCATTGCACACATTTCTGCAAGCCCTAGAAGAATAAGGTGGCTGGAAAATATTAAGCCTAATCCCAAGAATCAGAGTTTACCTGTGCTAACATTTATATGTACACCTTCAATGCATAGTCAGGAATATTATAATAATGATAATTATTATAATAACTATATATACATATATATACTTCTCTACACACCATATGTTTGCAAATATTTATACCAGTTTTCTGTACGCTGATGCAAACAATTACCTTGACTCAGAGCTCACACTACTGTGAGTTTGACTCAGAGCTCACACTGTTGACATCAACACGACGTTGATGAGATTCCCACAGTAGTTGTGTCTGGGAGTGCCCAAAGGGCGATACAAGTCACTAACAAGGGCAATCTGCACACTACAGGCAGCCCCCTGAGAGAGCCTCACTGTAGCCTCCACCCTTGTGATGTTGACATTACCCCTGATCAGCTCACAAAGCTGCCAGGACCCAGGTGCCCGAGCTGAGCTGCATTCTGCGTGGAGGTACATGGAATGGCCCCGTCCTCACCCCGTATCCAATCATGGACTCTGAAGCCGCTCTGCCAAACCCACACTGTCCCTCTCAGGAAGGCAAGCTCCTCACCACCTTCCTTCCAATCAAGTTCATCTGCAAACAAATCACCGTGTACAACACAGGTTTGCAGGCAGTATGGCTGAAGATTCACACATATTACTTAAATTCACATAGGAAGCATGTCAAATTGGCCCCATTTTACAGGTTACAAAACCAAAGTTCAAGGAGGTTTCTGATAAGAGATGGAATCTCAGTCCACTGACCTGGTAGCTTCCAACATCACGTATATGCACAGTTTAGTTTCTCTCTCTCTCTCTCTCTCTGTTTCCTTCTCTGTGTCTTGTCCCCCACTACACACACAGACTACTGAAAGAATCTTGGAAGGGGGCAACATGGTCCCCAGCCCTGAGGAGCAGTTACAGTGAGTGGGCGGCACCCACAACCTCCCGTGAGTCTTGGGCACAGAAGAACTCAGTCCTTGACCCCAGCCCGAATAGCTCCAAAGTCCAGAGTCATGGCCCCTGCTTCTCAGCTCTTTCTTTTCACTGCTCCCTCTTCCTGCAGTGAGGCCTCCCTGCCCCCTGACATGGCTATCTTAGAATGTAGCTGCAGGAGGAAAGCAGATGTATCTGTTGTTCTGCTCAACCAGTGGTCTCAGGAATCCCAGCTCAAGAGAAGACAAAACGCTCATGTGCAAGGCGGATGAAGGAACACAAACAACCTACATACCATAACAGGGAATAGAAGATTAGCATGCAAGGCAGTGGCCACATATCTGGGAGCAAGGAGAGAAATGAGGAGGGAGGCCAAGGGAATCCTGCCCTGTGATCCAGTGCTGCCCTCACACAAAGTTTTCCTCAGGACTCACAACGAGTCTCCCAGCAACCCCTTCCTCCTTCCAGCTCTGGAAAATAAGACTGCTTGCCCTAGCAAACCTCAGTCCATGGCATGCCAAGCTTTCATATGAGGCTTGGAACCTGTAATTCACAAATACGTAGACTGAAAACTCCTGAAGAATGTCAACACCAGACTCTGGCCATCCACAGGACTCAACCCAGGACTCTGCTGAAGCAGAGGAGAAATGGCCTCTCCCTCTCATCATCATGTGGTTAACAACCCCAAAGCCCTCTGCCCTTTCTCAGTAGACTCCGACAGGGCAGGGTACAGAATTTTGGAGGTTGGGAGGAGGACGCCCACATGGACCTTGTGGTCCAAGGGCCAGGAAAACCATAGTGCCCAGCATTCCCCAGACAGGCTCCTAATCAGAACACTTGTGTCTCTCCAGTCCTGGCAAGCAATGTGTGGATGTGTGATGAGGTTGTGTGAGACTAAGTCTAGGAGGTAGATTTTGAAAAGTGCCTCTGAATGATCAGTGTCAAGAAAATTGTCAGAAGTGGGCATGCCAGGAGAGTGGAAGGTGCTGGGCTTAGAGCAGGACCCAATTAGACCTTTATGCTAGGGTTTCCCTCACAGCAGCCCCACCGTCTGTTCCCATCAGCATTCGTGTTTTCACATGTATGCTGAAAATAGTCCGATGAGTGCAAGTGGCAGCAAAGTGGAGATGGGCAAGCAAGGGGGGAACTAGAGAAATGCACTGTATTTACCCTGCAAAGAACCTGTGGGCAGCAGTAGCCTTCCCCTTCTTCCGTACCCTACTGCGTACTGCACCCTACTGTTGCAGTAAGGAATCACCACCCACAAGCCATGTTCATGGCCTTTGGACACCACCAGTGGGAGCAGTCTCAGGGGCTGCCATGTCCCTGACCTAAATCAGAGAAGCAAGTTTGGACTGGTTGTGGCATGCTGCTTCTCCATATCAGCCCCTTATTCCCACCCCAGCCCTGGCAGACTATAGAGGGTGCTCAACTCGAAATGAGGATAGGGATAGAAAATGAGTATCTTTTCCTTTCCCATGTCATCAAGAGTGTGGACCTTGCTGCCAGGGAGATCTGTGCACAGTGAGCATAAGTAAGCCTTGGGCATATCAGACACTGTGGTGCTTGAGAAGGGAGGACCTGGCCCATTCATCCTGCGAGTGGTGGATTTAACCAGCAGGCCAGCACATAATGGTACTAATCCCCGGGCTGTGGAAGCACCATAGATTGCACTGAGGCAATTGTTCTTCATTCTTTGAAAAACTCTCCTTCTGTGACCAAAACAGGCACAGGACCATGCGGTGTGTGCCCGCGCACACACACACTCTTTTTTCTTCTCTCTCTCTCTCTCTCTCTCTCTCTCTCTCTCTCACCCTGCACACCGTGCTTTATGATCATCCATTTTCTCAGGCCTCATTGGGTTGGAGCTGCCTTTACTAGTTATGCCCTGAGAAACACGGATGGGATTTGGAATCAGAAGATATGGCTTCCTCCCTATCTCTTGGCTGTGTGATGCCTGCCAACAGCATGGCTAGGAAGATTAAATGAGGTACAGTGTGTGCAACTGCTTTGTAAAGCGCAAGGGGTGGCTAAGCAAATATGATACTTATCACTGCCAAATACAACAATAGATAAGCAAGTTCAATGGAGTTGGTCACGTTCCTACCAAGATAGGAAAAGATTGTCTATCCTGTCTGGTTTCTCTGAAAAATACAGCAAAGTCTGTGGCCAGCAAGTCGGTCCATGGTTCTATCCATTCACCATTATTTTGCTACAATGTAAGCTTCACGGGATCAGAATTCTGCCTGTTAGCACACTTTCTTCACTGATGTGCCCCTAAAGCCTAGGACAGTACCTTGTGCATATCAAACAGTCAAAATATGAAGTGTGTGGGTGAATGAATCTTTTTGATCATCTACTGGAAAGGACGTCAAGGGTAATGACTGTAAATATTTTCAAGTGGGCGAGGTACTCACACAAAAATATCAGCTGACAGCAGAATATTACATCACTCATCTTTAAGCGAAGGATACCAAGTTATTTTTAATGACAAAAAGCACTGAAGCTCAGGGATGGTGCGTAAAATGATCCTAAAGCCAGGGCTACATTCTGTGGTAGCACAGCTGGAAAACGCTGTGCTAGGTTGCTCTGGAGGTGATACAGAACCCTCCCCTGATCCTGGGGGCAGATTCCAGAATGGAGCAAGAATGTGAATCTTATCCATAGCTTATATATATATTGAGCACCTATTTTGTCCTGGGTATATAGTCATATCATTCATCTCAGCCTCACCACAACCCTAAGCGACAGGAATCATAGTCCTCCTTTTTCCAGATGAGTAAACTGGGAATCAGAGAAGTTAGGTAGCTTACACATTGCCATGTGAGACTCCTGTTAAGCGGCAGAAGTAGGATCTGAAACTGGTCTCTCCAAGTCCAAAATACACACTTTGCTTTTAAACATTAGATGGCATTGCCTTCCATTATCTGCGGGCTGGTCCAAAATGCTAATATGAGATACGTCCGTTTTTAGGTGAAGTTCTAAACCACTAGAGGGATATGGACACCATAAATTGAAAGGGAGCCACATGGATACAAACTATCTTGCTAACAGGAGCTCAAAATTTAATACAGCATACGGTATAGGTTGTTGTGGAAATACAAAGAAACTTGTTTGCTTTCCATAAATAATCCTACTTTCTGAGTACACAATCCAATGGTTACTACAGGTGAGCAGGGGTGACCAGTTACATTTCTCCAATGAATTAAACATTCTTCAGCCTCTTCCAGTCTGGCTACTCTCTTTCAAGCAATCATTGAGTCAATTCTAAGATCTATGGACACCTCCGTCTCCTTTTATAAAATCATGTCTGGGGATTGGAGGAAGGGGTGTGACATAAGCGATAGTAGAGAGGCTTTGCAGCGGCGGTCGGGGGGAGGTCCCCAGTTTGAGTGCTATGCTCTGGATTCTGCTGATACGTGTATACAACCTGTGTGTTCCTTTCTTAGTGAACCTTTTTTTTCCTCTTTCAAATATTGTGGATCCATATGAGATTTGGTTGCAACTCAGAGTTGAGACTTCAATGTGGGTGCTCAGTGCACATTTGCTGTGGCAATGGTCTCTGATCATTTTTCATCAGACATTGTACTGGATTGAATGATGTCCCCCCCCAAAATACATGTCCACCCTGAACCTCACAAGGTGACCTTATTTGGAGACAGTGTCTTCACAGATGTAATTCGTTAAGAGGAAGGCATACCCGATTGGGGTGGACCCGCAATCCAATATGACTGATGCCCTCATAAAAAAGAGTAGAGAATACACGGAGACACAGACACACGAGGAGGAGAACACCGTGTGAACATGAAGGCAGAGATTGGAGTGAGGTGTCTACAAGCCAAGGAACACGAAGATTGCCATAAGCACCAGAAGCTGGAAGAGACAAGGAAGGATCCTCCCCTGGAGGATTCAGAGGTAGCATGGTCCTGCCAATACCTTGCTTTCAGATTTCTAGCCCCCAGAACTGTGAGAGAATACATTTCTGTTGTATTCAGTAACGGAGTTTGTGGTAATTTGTCACAGCAGCACCGAAAAACAAATACACCAACAGTAATAAAAGATGTTGAGCCCACACCTGCAATATATGTATCTTTGTAAATTTACAAATTATGTACTGGAAACGCTGTATAAATATGGAATTCTCAGTATAAAACACACACACCAAAATTAGACTTTTAAAAGAAAGTAATAAAAATGAATATGCATAGACTTGCTAATGTTTCCTTCCCATGCCTCAATGGCTCTTCTTGCCATCTCTGCATGTGCACACCTCATTTTGTAGAACGAGGCGCTCCAAGATCTCCTCACCCTGATTAGGGTGGCCATGGAGTGCTTGCCAGAAAACATTCAGCTGCCTTCTGGACCCTTCCATCAGGCTGGTGAGACATTCTCAATCTCTTCTAAAGCAAATGGGAGCTGAGGAAAGTTCAGGAGTGCAGACGTGGGTCCAGTCTCTCCAAATCCACTCTGATTGACGTGTCTTCGCACAGACTGCAACAAATCTTTCCTCTTATAACAGTCAGAACGGCCCCAGTGTGGACAGCACATGGCCCCCTCTATATCTGGCTTTCTCATCCATCTAATGCCTCCACCTGTAGGATTTTTCACAAGATTGTTTCAGGTCACATATAGCTAAATAATTTCAATCTCTGTCTCTGTCTCTGTCTCTGCCTCCCTCTCTCTCTCCATGTATTCCACCCTCTTTCTGTCTCACTTCCGGGGAGGGGGGAAGCATTGTGTTTTACCTCTTTTGTCTAATTGCCAGAGACTTAATTCTCCGGTATAATGTTACCCTTTTCCTCAAGGGGATATCCTCTGGGGCCATCAGGGCTGTTGCAAGGCAAAACATTTATGGTAGAAGAATCAATAATACTCACATTTATTATTTCAATATAGCATCCCCGTTATACAGCTTTGCTTCTGGAAAGTACCCAATCCTGAAAGCAGCAGAGGGTGAAATCCTCACCCCCACCACCCCTGACCTCTGTCACCTGTACTGATATAACTTAGATGAGAAGCATCAAGGTGGGACTGCTCCTCTCTTGAATATAAAGCAAAAGGAGAGGCAGGGGGTGGGGGTGATCCTCACAGGTGAAGGTGATAGCTGATACCCTAGGCTCAAAATTCTACTGCTATTCCCTGGGGGACCCAGTAAGATCTGAATGGAGTGTTTCAAAGGGGCCTCTGTTTCAAAGGGGGCCTCACCCCTCTAAAAAGGGGCTGAGGGTTAGGCAGGCCTTTTTCTCCCAGAAGTGGGCAAAGGGACAACCCATCTAAGAACCTTTACCCTTGGGTAGGGGAGAACAACCTTTCCAAGGGATCCTGCCAGATCGACCACTCTCCTGGTGCACTAGTGGTAAGGAGAGAAAGTAACCCACTGCTCGAGTTCCCTAGACCGGTGTGTATGTTTTGGGTTCAAATATTGTTGGGGAGAGATGGCCTCTAATTGCCATGAACAGAATGTGGAGCATGTACCCCTTCCACAGTGACAATTAAAGTCTTTCTTTGTTTCTATTTACTTGCCCGTTTTTTCATTATAAAAATTTTATTCATGAAACATATTAAATTTTGAAAATGGAAAAAAGAAGAAGAGAGTCACCCAAAAGCTGCCCAGGCTCAACCCTGTGGCTCAAGGATCAAGAGAACCATGACTGCCTTTATCTTCCAGCCAGATTTGTAAACCGGGACCCGTTTGTTTCCCCAGTCCTGGCAAGAAGTGAGCAGGTTATATTTTCTTGAAAAAAGAAATGGCCCAGAAACAATGAGGGGAAAGTGGAATCTATCAAAAGACTCTAAGAGACACTGAAAATTACATGCAATGTGTGGAACTTTTCGGATCTTAATGGGGTCACATGAACTGGAAAAAATCTTTCATGAGACAATTGGGAAAATGGAAAAGGTACTGGAGAGTAGATGATGTTCGGTCAGTCTTAGTCTTTTCTAGGGTATGATATTGTATCCTGCTTATGTTAAAACAGGCCCTTACCTATTAAAGTCTATTTCTGGATGAAAAGATTTGATGTCTATACTTGGCTTCTCTGTACTCGGAAAAGAAAAATTAAAAGTATGATGGAGGATAGATGAAACAAGGATTGAAGAAAGTTAATGATTGTTGAAGTTGATGGCTCTTGAAATTAATGGGTACATGGAGTGCATTCTAACATGCTTTCTGCTTTTATGTGTTTGAAGTTTTCATAATAAAAAGTTAAAAATGACTTGCTTGCATTAGTGAGGGTAATGTGGGGGCAAGAGATTAGGAAGAAGAAAGAGTCATGTTCATGGAAACAATAGCAAGAGAAATATGAAAAATACCTGTGAACTACATATTCATAGACCTCATGCCAATTGTAGATTCTGACAGAAATAAGCCACCCTTGAACAAATGGTTCAGCAAATGGCTCTGCAACATGAAACAGTGTTTATTTTCCCAGAGAAAGAACATGGATGGAAGGCGTTGTCTTTTGGATTTCTTAATCAATCATAATTTACTTTTAAAAGGCACCGCTTTGCTGTTGTTGTTGAAGAACGAATGTACAAATTATTTATAAAATAACATGGACCCTTGGTAAGAATGTTGAAGGCGTCCTGCTTGAGATTTTCTTACCTATAAGAAACCAGGTGACAGAAGGTATGAACTGTCTCATATGTGAGCTTGGTAGAGAAAGTATTTGAGATCCAGAGAGACTTAGGAGTCAGAAGCATGGGCTCATGTCTTTACCAAAGTCAGCGCCATTTTCAAGACAATAGCAATATAACAAAGGAATCTTGCACTATTTAGAAACTTCTGTTTAGGGGATCCTCTGTCTCTGGGGATCCATTACACCGGGGCAGGAGGTGGCAATCTTACCAGAGTGCCCCACCAAATATCACACCCCTGTTCACTGCTGCACTAATGGTAAGGTACAGAGTGCTAAGTGAGAAAAGTTCAGAAAAGTGCGTGATTTTGTGTGTGTTTGGGGGGGGGATGCAGTAGTGTTTGTGCAAGTGTGTGTGAGTGTGTGTGTGTGTGTAAAGGCAAATCTTGTGGAGATAGGATGGCCTCTTACTGGAAAGGGGAGATGAGAAGTTGTCCCATTATACATTAACTACATTTTAAAACCAAATGTAGAGGAAAGTGATCTGAAAGAGGTTTTATCCTTATTTTTTTAATTTTTTTTGTCTTTTATAAAACACACCACATTAGCACATTATAATGATTTTTGGAAACAAAGAAACACAAAAGTCACCTATTATCTCACCATCACAAAGTCCCACCGTACGCATTGCAACATATGCAATCCCCCTCTTCTATGTATATTTTAGGTGGCTAAGATAATACCATAAATAGGTTTTATGTCTTGTATATCTTTTTACTTGACTTCATCTTGATTTGTGAACGTAGGCATGTGAGTCCTCATGAAGATATAAAAATTCAATCACATTTGCCCACACATTGAACAAATTGCAGTTTTCATAATGATACAATTAGATGTAATCAGAGCTGGCCCTGAAAATCGAGAGCATTTGATCTCCACAGGCCTGATTGGCTCTAACGGCAGATGGAAGGAGCCTCAAGTCTCTCAATCACTGTCAAACTGTGAGGTGGGGCCTGACAGGAGCAGTGGAGGAAAAGGTGGTTTAAGGTCGTCACCCAACACAGGAGTCATTTGCCCTTTCTACCATGCAGCTCACACAAAGTGGATCAACCACTGCTCCTGGGCACACAAACTGGTTTCTAAAAAAACAGAGCTGCAGTAGGGCAAATCCCAGTGGAGAATCAGGAAAGCAACTGAGAGCTGAAGAGAATCTACCCTGGTGTCCAGAACGCCTTCCACCCCTAAAAGAGGGCCGGCAGAGGAAAGAAACCTGGAGAGCACACACAAATGAGGATGGTATTCACAATAACTTACAAAGGTTATGGTAATATCAATCAGTACATAAATCAGCATATCAATGAAATATTGAAACGGGTTCTTTATATCCCCTCAATAAGTGATTTCTGACAAAACTATGTAACACAGGATTAAATTTGTAGCTTAACAGCTGATTTCTCTTAAAATGCCTATACATTGCTTGATAGAATTTCCAAACTCCGTTTTTTTGTTGTTTTTGTTTGTTTGTTTGTTATTGTTTTTGTTTTTGTTATTTGAGAACGAGTCTCGATCTGTCACCCAGGCTGGAATGCAGTGGCGCAGACCCGGCTCATGGCAACCTCTGCCTCCTGAGTTCAAGCGATTCTCCTGCCTCAGCCTCCCAAGTAGCTGGGATTACAGGCATGTGCCACCACACCCGGCTAATTTTTTGTAGTTTTGTAGTAGAGACAGGGTTTCACCATGTTGGCCAGGCTGGTCTCGAACTCCTGACCTCAGGTGATCCACCTGCTCGGCCTCCCAAAGTGCTAGGATTACAGGCGTGAGTCACCACGCCCGGCCAGAACTTCCAAACTCTTTTGCAGCTGCAGTGATATAAGGAGCTGACTGGGTCCAGGGATTCTTCACACTTTCATTATTTCAATTTCTAGCTTTTCAGAATGTTGCTTCTTTCTGCAGGTTACTTGAAGTAAGATGGTAAACACAGTTTATTGAGAAAAGACTTTCGAATATTTGCTTTATATCCTTTATGGCACCAGCCAGAGATAATTGAACATGATGACTTGTCACCAAAGTAAAACATCTGCAAAATTATCTGAATCGTTGGCTAAAATTTCAGACTTTCTTCCTAGCATTCCATGGTCAACGCCTTTCAAATTCGAATACATGTTCATCTGAGTGTTTTTGCATTAACCTCATTCTCTCAACCCATTCTTATGGCTACACACAGCATGTACGCGTAAGGTTTGGTACATGATTTCAGATGAGATTTCTCCCAAATTTCACATTTTAGATAAATTTCATTAGGCTTTCCACTGAAATAGTTGAAGTTGACTCTCCTGACATGAGCACTGAGATTCCTGTGTCCTGGAAACCTCTCTGAGGGACATGCAAAGACACAGGTTTCATAGATGGGTGTAGAAATTTGGGGTGGGAGGAGGGACAGGCTTCTTACAGGTGGCCCCCAATATAGGGGCTGAAAGTAACCCTGTTTTTAGTGTGAAATGGACACCGCACAGATTATCCACTTTCCATGTTTCCATAGTTGTTGTTGTTGTTGTTGTTGTTTTCTTTTTCTTTTTCTTTTTTTTTTGAGATAGAATCTCGTACCGTCGCCGGAGCTGGAATGCAATGGCCTGATCTCGGCTCACTGCAACCTCCACCTGCCGGATTCACGCGATTCTCCTGCCTCAGCCTCCTGAGTAGCTGGGATTACAGGGCCCCGCCACCACGCCCGGATAATTTTTTGTATTTTTGGTAGAGATGAGGTTTCACTATGTTGGCCAGGCTGGTCTCGAACTCCTGACCTCGTGATTCGCCCGCCTCGGCCTCCCAAAGTGCTGGGATTACAGGTGTGAGCCACCGTGCCCGGCCTCCATGGTTTCTTTTATCCCCTCACTGCTGATATTGGCAACTATGATTTGGGGCCCCCAATAATGGATTATACATGGTGACATTCTGATGTGAATTTAGTGCACAACTTAAGCATGTTGTATTCCTGAGCATTAGCACTCTGTCTGTGGATCGACAGTTGTGACCTGAATTGCGATAGTGCTGGTTTAACTTTTAACGTTGTGAATTCAGTGAATTCACTGTACATTGTGAGTACAGATCTAAGAATTCACATCATGAAAACGAGAATGATGACAATACCACTGCCAGCATGACCAAAAAAAAAAAAAAAAAAAAAAAAGACAGACAAATTATTGTGTTATTTTAGTGACGGATGGAAGAACACATAAGACTGGATTAGGGAGGTAAATGACAAAACCAGAAAACACTACGCAAAATGCAGAAATAACCTGGGGTCAGGTATGGTGGAGAAGGGGATGTGAAAGCAACCAAAAGACTCCCAAAAAAGTCACCAATGTCCCATTGAAAACGGAGCCTGCTGAATTATTGTGGGCATACCACACTGACCCCACACACATTGTGCTTCCATTTCCTTGATTGCTCTATGAAGCTGAGTGAAGTTACATTCAGAGTTTGCAACAAACATGTTCTGTACATGAATAAGAGAAAGTTTGATCACAGATGTGCTGGGACCTTAGAATGCGTGTAGAGCTTATTCTGTCAGATCTTACCAACTATCATGCTTTCTAGAGTGTATCAAGTGATGTGTCCATCCAATGGCAATGACCAAAACATCTCCCCCAAGCTCTTATGTAATTCGATTTGGAAAATGCAGTTGCAAATAGTCTTCTTGATTCCTGTGAAGATTTTAATGAAACCGCAGACACATAGAGCAAAAGATTGCTGATACCTTTCCAAATACAAACTCAGCTTTGCTCATCGATCTGCATAGTGGAAAGACAGAGCAAATGTACAATTTGGCAGAATCCATCCAGCCTACAAACTTCCTATCAAAGAAAATGAAAAGCTCTTACCTGTTAAATGTGCTGCACACCATGTACTCAACACTGATTTGAGAAGAAAAGTGTGATTTGCTTACCTGTGATTTTGAGACCTATATAGTGAAGGTTTGTTGCCACTTTTTAGTTTCCTCAAACATGCAGAAGTAATGAGGTTTGACAGAGACATGAGACTATAAGATGTCTGTCATTGCTGCCAACCATGGAAAAGATGTTAAGATGTCCAGCTGCCCATAAAATCATATTTTCAAAGTGTGAGACACGAAGAATATCTTTCTCTTATTTGGAAATATGCTGAAGATAGGAATAAAGAAAAGGATTACAGTAAAATGGAGACGAGAGATACAGTAAAGCAGAAATGTATATGCCATTTCTCCAAAACTGTGCGAAGGTCCTTGAAGAGGCCATAAAGAGCTTAAGAACCTATCAACTGACTGCCCCTGAATTGTTCCATGTTATGTGCAGGTTGCAATGAAAACTGACATGGCAAAAAAAAAAAAAAAAAAAAAAAAAAAAAAAGACACTTTTTTTTTTTTTTTGGCAAAAAGACTGCTTGAGAAATCAAGAGAAAAAAAGGTCACTAGCAAAAGGCTTCCACATCAAACAGGACTTTCTCAACTTCTTTGCTAATAATTTAACTTATAGGAAATCCAACTTCAACAATGCAAGTTCAAATTACCCTTGATCTTTAAAAACCTTTTTCCCGAGAAAGAGCGATGTAACATACAATGACATCCAGTGTGCTTCAGAGTGTTTAAGAATTATGGACACTTTAGCCATGAACAGTCTATAGGAGGAATCATTGATACAAAGGACCCGATTGACTGACAAAGCAAGCCTTATGTATAGAAAGGAAATGCACATTTCTGGAAACCTGGAAATCAATTTCTACAATCTAAAACCTACTGTAGGTAGAAGTAAAATCCATGCTCAAACGCTTTTGTTGAGAGGATATTTAGTTCAATGTCATTACATTGGACTGATGCCAGGAGGCAATCTAATGTGGCCTTGGGAAGAGGAGAACTGGATATGTCTAAGTAAATTATAAGTCTGGTTGAGTGCTGATTAGCCACTGCACAAAAGAAAAGAAAAAAGGAAGTTCTAACATGGCGGGCAGTTCAGAGAAGAGTTATGACAGAAAAAATAAAAATATCTTACTATGTTGGTGACAGAATGAAACCAGCCAGTGGGTTTTTTTTTTTTTAATGTAGGTAAGTATCTGTGTGGTTATTACTGCTGTTTCTGCATATGCCTTTTAAAAAGTCTTCTGGTTGTGTATGATAAAAAGTAATGATATAGCCAACAAAATTTTAAAATCCAATAAGAATTTTTCTAAAAACAGTTACCATAAATTGCCGTGTCAAAAGACAGAAAGGAACATTATGCTATACCGTTATATTTTTCACATCTATTGTGTAAATAGTCCATTTATTTACTACTATTTGCCACTGTAAACTAGTCCCGTTGTCACCTTGTTTAAACAATGGCATTTATGAAACCAAAGAAAGAAATACGGAATGATATGTAATTGTAAGTGAACTCTTATTTTTCTTATTTTATGTTAAAGGAATAATGCATACATGTACTACTAATTATGACACAATGCTTTCTTGTCTCCAATGGATATATCCAAGGTTGATGTTCCCAAATTTTGGTCACCCCAACCTTCATTTTGTGATTTGTAAGATTTCTAGAAGGTTGCCCTCTCATTTCAGTAGACAGGTATCACAGGCGAGACTGAATTTTAATGGCAAAGACACAGCCATCATTTTATTTCTTTATGAAGTTCCATGAATATTTCATGGCCCAAGTGATTTTTCATTATACAGAAGATATTCCTCAAAATTCTGATATTTTCTGAGCATTTTTTCATTTGCTCTTTGAACACCGGGATAAAGTATTTTTGAATTTTCTGATTTCACATGCATGATGGCATGGGACTGATATATGCTGATCGTTTAATTTCTTCATCATCAATGACAGGACATTTTACTTATTTGAAGCACGAGCATAACAGAACACAATTGTCGGTCTTTGAAATGTCTGTGTTTAGCAATTTCAACTTTTAGATCTGACATTTGAGGGCCATTTGCATCCAACATTGAAATCACTTGCAAACACAGTACACTCTAGTTGGAGAGAGGGATGTTGTGTCTGAGTGTGGAGGTTCAATCCTGACTCTACTATCTATTAGCTGTATGACATTATTTCACCTCATCTGTAAGATGAGGATGGTAATAGTAAGCACCTCTTGCAACTATTTTTTCACTTAGTCGACAGACCATTCTGAAGGTTCGCTATGCTTCTAATAGGAACCAAGGATATTGCAATAAGCAAAAAAGAAAAACTGCCTTCCCTTGGGCCACTTTGATCCTATTGGAGGAGACATCACATGCACATATATTATAAAGTGGGAAATAAAGTCAAATAAAATGAATAAAGGGAAATAAAATGCCCTTTATTCCCTGAGATGGTGGGTTGGGGAAGGCCTCTCTGGGTGATATTTAAGCAGAAACCTGAATGAAGGCAAGGCAAGTCATAGGGAAAGACAGTTCCAGGCAGAGGAATGTGTGAAAAGATCCTGAGAGGAAACTAAGCTAATGCTTTGAGAGGGAGCAAAGAGCTTACATATATTTCGCCTTCACTATGTGTCAGGCTCTGCCCTATGCACTTGCTATTTCTGTAGCTATTGAATTCTGTCCACATCTCTCAAAGATAGGTGGTACTAGTATAATCAGCCTGGTTTTTACCAATGAAGGATTCAAGAAACATTGGGGAAGCTCTGCGGGACATTGGTCTGGGCAAAGTAATAATTCTTGAGTAATAACCCACAAGCGCAGGCAACCAACGCAAAAATGAACAAATGCGATCGCATCTAGTTAAATAGCTTCTGCACAGCAAAGGATACAATCAACAAAGTGAAGCGACAGCCCACAGAATGGGAGAAAACATTTGCAAACTGTCCATCTGACAAAGGATGAATAACCAGAATATCTAAGGAGCTCAAATGACTCAATACAAAAAAGTCTAATAATCTGATTAAAATATGGGCAAAAGATCTGAATAGACATTTCTCAAAAGAAGACGTGCAAATGGCAAACAAGTATGTGAAAAGGTGCTCAACGTCACTGACCATCAGAGAAATGCAGATCAAAACTACAATGAGACATCATCTCATCCCAGTTAAAATGGCTTTTATTCAAAAGGCAGGCAATAAGGAACGCTTGCGAGGGTGTGGAGAAAAGGGAACCCTCGAGCACTGGAGGGTGTGGAGAAAAGGTAACCCTCGAGCACTGTTGGTGGGAATGTGAATTAATACAGCCACCATGGAGAACAGTTTGGAGGTTCCTTGAACAACTAAAATTAGAACTATCATATGATCCAGCAATCCCACTGCTAGGTATATACCCAAAAGAAAGGAAATCACTATATTGAAGAGAGATCTGCACTCCCATCTTTATTGCAGCTCTATTCACAATAGCCAAGATTGGGAAGCAACCTAAGTGTCCATCAACAGACAAATGGATAAAGAAAATGTGGTACATATGCACAGTGGAGTACTATTCTGCCGGAAAAAGAATGAGATCCTCTCACTTGCAACAACATGGATGGAACTGCAGGACATTATGTTAAGTGAAGTAGAATGATGGTAACCAGATGCTGGGAAAGGCGGGGGCTAGGGGAAGTGGACATGGTTAATGAGTACAAAAATATGGTTAGGTAGAAAGAATAAGATCTGGTATTTCGGGCTGACTTATTTATTTATTTTTTTGAGACAGAGTCTCACTCCGTCACCCAGGCTGCAGTGCAGTGTCACGATCTCGCCCCTCACTGCAACTTCCGCCTCCTGCGTTCAAGCGATTCTCATGCCTCAGCCTCCCGAGTAGCTGGAAATTACAGGCCTGCGCCACCACACCAGGCTAATTTTTGTATTTTTAGTAGAGACGGGGTTTCGCCATGATGGCCAGGCTGGTCTCGAGCTCCTGGCCTCAAGTGATCCGTCCGCCTTGGCCTCCCAAAGTGCTGGGCTTACAGGCGTGAGCCACCGCGCCTGGCCCAGATCTGGTATTCGATACCACAACAGGGTGATTACGGTCAACAATAATTAATTGTACATTTAAAAAGAACTAAAAGTATAATTGGAATGTTTGTAACACAAATAAATGATCAACGTTAGAGGTGATGGATACCCCATTTATCCTGATGTGATTATTACACGTCGTATGCCTGTATCAAAATATCTCTTGTACCCCATAAATACATACAGCTACTATGTACCCATAAAAGTTAAAAATAAAAATTTAACATTTCTGTTCTTTAAAAATTATCATAAAGAGAATGAGAAGATGACCAAAGACTGGGAGAAAATATCTGCAAATCATATACCTTATAGAGCACTTTTATCCTTTCATTCCTAGTTTTCTAATATTTTTGTTAAGTTTTAGTTAGGAATGTAGATTAAATTCGGAAAAATACTTTTTTTTCTGAATCTGTTGAGATGATCACTTTGTTCTGTTAATGTCATGAATGAATTAGATTCATTCCTGAATGTTGAACTAGCCTTGTAATTTTTAATGAATATCACTTCATCGTTATATAATATCCTTTTATAGCTTGCTTGATTCAATTTGCTAATATTTTATTGAGAATTTTTGGATCTTGGTTCATGAGGGACATTGGTCTTTTCTGGTAATAAAAGACCAATGTCTTTTATTGGTCTTTTCTGGTAATAAAAGACCAATGTCTTTTATTGGTCTTTTATCTGTGTCAGGTTTGGCTCTTTCTTCTTTGACTCGTGGGTAATTTAGAAATGTGATTTTTTAAGCACCATATAATGGAGACTTTTCTATGTATCTAAATATTATTGATTTCTAATCGGTTGTGAACAGAGGATGTACTCTGTATGATTTTCTTCCTTCGGAATTAGTTAAAACTTGTGTTATGGTCCTAGAATATAGTGTATCTTAGGGTTGGCAAAGTACGCCCTGTGAGCTGGCAGCTTGTTATTGTCAGTTAAGGGTTTTTTTTCTTTTTAATACGGTCACACCCATTTATTTATACATTATTTATGGATGCTTTTATACTAAAACGTCAGAGTTGAGTAGTTTACAAAACCTAAAATATTTACTATTTTTCTAAGAAAAAGTTTCTCAGTTCCTGTATCTTACTGAATACTAAGCACATTTCAAAAGATGTGTACAGTCAGCCCTCCATATCTGCAGGTTACACATTTGTGGATTCAACCGTCAATTGAAAATACTTTAAAACATAAAACAGAAACAAAAATGACAATACAATAATAAAAAGTAATAATACAAATTAAAAAAAATACAGCATAACCATATTCACATAATCGTATTAGGTATTATAAGTTGTCTAGAGATGATTTAAAGTACACGAGCGTATGTGCATAGGTTATATGCAAACACTATATACCATTTTATGTAAGAGACCTGAGCATCCAAGGATCTTGGTATTCACGGGAGTCCTGGAACCAATCCCCTGCAGATACTGAAGGAAGACTGTATTTTATGGTGTACATTAGTGGTGTATTTCATAACTATCGATTACCACAAGTTGGTTCACAGTGTTGTTTAGTCTTCTATATCTTTATTGACTTATGGCCTTTTGTTTTATGAATTATTGAAAGAGCAGTGTTAAAATATCCAACTGTGATTGTGGGTTTTCTATTTTTTTCTTTAATTCTGTCAGTTTTAAGTGTTAACACATTTATGATTTTGAAATAATGCTCTTTGTTTTTGTATCTCTCCTTCTTCATAAATAGGGCATACCAAAGTTTTGTGAGAAAAAAGAAAGAGAAAAGAGCACACGATATGCACTTAATAAATGGTCTGTAATTCTTTGGCCCACTAAGCAGGCAAAGTGCTCAGGGCATCGTAAAGCAAGCCTAGTCAGAGAGAGGTCTGTGCATGTGTGTGGGGAAAAGAGCTGCGCCTTTATTTTCACCCACCTCTAACTTACAGTGATCATGTCCTAAAACTATGAGCCTAGGCATGAAACTCCATTGATAGTAGTACTACATGTGACTGTGTCGCCAACAAAAATTTCGGTATCACATTACACTTCTTTCACATTTCTCAGAGTATCACCTATGCTCAGCACTACTTTGAAACTATGGTAGTTATTATACCCATCTTGTGATAGTTATGTAAGGTTTAATTAAAAAAAAAATTTCCTCACATCACAATATCTTTCTAAAAGTACAAAATGCCATCTCCATACAATGCATTTTTATAATCCCGTGTGTTTAGTTATATATATTTATGTTAAAAATATCATTGTCTTAAGGGATCCACCGGCTGTACCAGGATATCAAAGGGATCCAAGGCACCAAAAGGCTGAGGATCCCTACTGTGATGGTTAATATTAGGTGTCAACTTGATTGGACTGAATTGAAGGACGCCTAGATAGCTGATAAAGTATTGTTTCTGGGTGCATCTGTGAGGGTGTTGTCAGAGGAGACTGACGTTTGAGTCCGTGGACCGGGAGAGGAAGACTCATCCTCAATGTGGATGGGCACCATCCAATTGGCTGCCCGCACGGGTAAGGCAGGGCAGATGGAAGTAGGTGGGACAAGCTGGCTTGCTGAGTCTTCTGGCTTTCATCCTTCTCCCGTGCGGGATGCTTCCTTCTGTTCCTCCTGCCCTCGGACATCAGACTCCAGGTTCTTTAGCCTTTGGGCTCTTGGACTTACACCAGTGGTTTGCAGGCGGGCTCTTGGGCCTCGGGACACAGACTGAAGACTACACTGTTGGCTTCCCTACGTTTGAGGCTTTTGGACTCAGACTGAGTCACTACTGGCTGCTTTCTTCCCCAGCTTGCAGACGGCCTATCATGGGACTTCGCCTTGTGATCATTTGAGCCAATTCTCCCTGATAAACTCCTTTTCATATGTATACATATACGTGTGTGTGTGTGTGTGTGTGTGTGTGTGTGTGTGTGTGTGTGTGTAGGATACATATATCCTATTAGTTCTGTCCCTCTGGAGAACCCCAACTAAAACACCTACTCTAGGGGATGTTTTGAAATGAACATCCAAGGGCAAAGGGAAGGCAATGGACTGACAGGCCGCATGTTTTCACATATGTAATCTCATGTGCACGGACAATACAGAGGCTTCTGTGGTTGAAGTGCTGGAGCCCACAAAAGCAGAAAATGAAGCTGAGGTTGGACCTACTCAGGGGTGGGGGTGGGGGGGAGTTGGAGTAAGTTGGGCAGTTTCCATTTTAACCAAGAGACCACAGGGAGTCACCATGGGTCTGTGGGCAGGAGAGGGCACACTCCAGTGGTGTCTGAGGCTGTTGCTTCAGAAGGTTGGAGGCAGACCAGCTACGAGCTGGAGCACAGGAAGAAAAGGAACAGAAGAGGGGATCCATCCAGTGAGGGGACAGGGGCAGGAGGCTGGGCAGACAAATGTGGGCCCCAAAGGACTGGAACCCAGTCCATGGCACCCTCCCTGCAGCCCTAGTCAGGGGCAGGTAATGGCTCCAAGTCTGCCCTTTGGGATGCTGGCCTCTGAGAAGCGAGGTCATTGAGGGGAAGAGGCCCAGATTGGGAGAAAGAAG
Organism: Homo sapiens; assembly: GCF_000001405.40. NCBI lineage: Eukaryota > Metazoa > Chordata > Mammalia > Primates > Hominidae > Homo > Homo sapiens. The sequence continues at coordinate 55,492,185 of NC_000023.11, read as the reverse complement.
GCTGTGTGAGGCTTCAGGGGTCCAGTTTTCAAGGTACTGAGCGAGCCACCAGGAGCACAGAGGCAGGCTTTTTCCCAATCCTGCTCTTTCATACACCACCCCACTCCCAAAGGACCCTGCCACACCTGCCACAGCTAGAATCTGTAAGAGACGCCAACATAACACAGGCCTGGGAAACCAGCTCCATCAGACATGGCTCCTGCTACCAAGGCCAGAGTGCCTTGACCTGGGCTTCTTTACACATTATCCCACAGTAGTGGTTCTCAAAGTACCATCTCCACGCCAGCAGCATCCGCATCAGCTGGTACAGCGTTAGAAACCTAAATTATTGGGCCTCACCCAACCCACTGAACTGGGAACTTTGGGAGTGGGGTCTAGCAGTCTGTTAAGTCCACCAGAAGGTTAGACGCAGCTTCATTTTGGAGGAACCAGTGAACTCCAGAAAGGCCTAAACCATGCAGACCCATTCATTTTCATTTTGACAGTAGTGACCCATCACGCTGTCCTGAGGTTTTCCTACAGGACAATTGTCAATGAAGAAATCGTTTGTTTGGTCACGATAGCGTGTGGGCTGATTTAAAGGCGTGTCTAGCTCAATAACAACTGTTTTCAGAAACTTTTTGAAGCACTGTAACAATCCCACCTCCCAAATATTAAGTTGTTGATTACGAGTGGTTTTTAGGCCTTTATTAACTAACATTAATCTTCACAGCACATTCCTATGCATTTCCCGATGTGGACCTCAGGCAGGGACTCTGGCTTACTTGCTTTTGTGCCCAGTTTTGTTTGGCTGTATATTCATAGTGCCCAGTGCAGCAGTAGGTGCTCTTTACATATCTGCTGAATAAACCAATCTAGGTAGGGCTGGCATTCTCATGATTCTGATTTTGCACAGGAGAAAGCGAAGGCTCAGAAGACAGAAGTATTTATAAATTGTGCCCTGCCTCCCTGCCTGCATAAAGGGTGCAGGGCTGTCTCAGAGCAGCTGGGATCCAAGCCACAGGTGGCACAGCTAGCAAATGACTGACTCAGCATTTCCTTCTAGGGCTGCTAACCCAGAGTGGAGCAACTCTTTGCTTAGCTGTGGCTGAGAAAATGCCCTTCCCTAGGGGAGAAAAAGCACGTTTTCCTGCACAAGCCAGTCTATAATTCCAAAGCACTTTCCCTCCGGGTGCTAGTATGTGACTGAGATATGGTCGAATCTAAACCAAGTCACAAAATCAGTGATATCCATTGTGCGGAGGTATCCACTAGATGCCACTGCCAAGTTAAGAGAGCTGAATCCTAATCGTGAGGTTTTGAGGGGAGGTGTGTGACTTTCTCAGAGAGATTAAATGTAGCATTAAACATCCGCTGTAATAAACCGTAATTTTCTTGGGATTGGACCGGAAGGGCAACAAGCCCTGGAGATAGCTTTCCTCCGGGTTGTCGCCTTGGATGCCGGATCTGTCAAAGAAAAGGAAAAGTCTCCTGGCGTATGGACTTCAGGACACAAACAGTTGTATCTTGTGCTTCTCCCAGCACAATCTAGCGCTATAATGCACCTATGGCATCTTTGTTGAATACATGCTCCTGTATATGGACTGCCTAGGATGGATGATCGGGTGAACTGAGCCATAACTTTGAGAGAGCTTTGAAAGAGAAAGGCATTCTCTTCTCCTCTACTCTGCATCAGGAGTTGTTCTCTATGCTGATTTTCAGGAGCGGACTGAAAAAAGAGGTGTGACAGATAAAGCTCGCCAAAAAGGTCTTTTACTTGATATATACTATGACTCAGTGTTCACATTGGGCTAGGGTTATTATTTCAATTTCTCTTTAAAAATTGACACAACTAAGGCTCAGAGAAGTTAAGTGTTTTATCCGAGGTCACACAGCAAGCATGTGCCTGGGCTCAGGTCTCTCTGAGCCTGAGCCCTTGCTTATGCTTCCTCCCCTGCACATTCTGGGATAATCTCTCTCTCTTTCTCTCTCTCTCTCTCCCTCCCTCCCTCCGTCAACTCCCAGAGACCAGGCTCTGACAGGATCCTGAGGGATTCCTGCCAGAGGGTTGCCATCTCTGGAAGCCCCCACCCCCACGCCGGGTGAATCTTTTTTTCTGTGGAGTGCGGGCCTGGAGCTAGGTGAGGCCTGAGCCTCCATTTCAGGGGCTTTCTGTAGAATCTGTTGCTGCTGTTGCCTCCAGCAGAGTCTGTTTCAGGAAGAGGTTTGCCTGCCTGCGCGGGACAGCGGTGCCATTCATCACTGCAGGAGGGCAGAATCCGGGGTTGGGGGCCGCACGTCGAGAGGGGAGGGGCCAGGGGGCGGCCCCCTTGTGACCAGCCCTGAGGAGAGGTCAGGAGAGAAGGCTGGCTGAGGAGCGCCTGGACAGCAGCAGTTGCTGACGTTCTATATCACGCGCCTGGGGCCCAAGGTAACCCAGACCTTTAAACAAACTGCCGGGCTGGGGGTGTTGCGGGGGCAGGAGAGGGAAAAGGGAGCGGAGACTTCGGGGGTCGCGCGAGGATAGTGGTGGCCATAGAGGTGGCAAATGCGTGAAGGGAGGGAGTAGTAATCCGAATTCTAGGAGAAATCATAGGAATTGAAGTCGCAGAAGCAAGAAAAGGGGTGTGAGAGCACAAGCGCGAAAAAGCGTGAGAGGGCGCAAGAGCTGGGTGGACCGAAAGTGCGCTGAGGGGCAACGGCTTAGAGTGGAACACACCGGGTCACAGAAGTATAGGTTAGGTAGAAACAGAGGGACACTTTCTTCCTGTGAGTTCATTTTCCAAAAGTGCGTCCTTTCAGCCATTTTGGAGAGAAAATGTTGACCCAAGTGTTTTTTAGGATACAGGGAAAGAACGTCAGAGGAAGCTGCACCAAAGCGAGGCTGCGCAGGGCGCAAAAAAGCAGTCAGAGGGTGGCGCCTTTTTTAAAGAAGTTTCCATCCTTTCTGTCCTAAAGCTCAGGCCGTTCCCCACCCCCACCGCTCGCTAGCCTTCTGTTCCCAGTCCCCTGGCATGATCTGATCGCCTTTGAAGCAGGTAACCGCCTCGGTCTCCCCATCAGCTCCAGGGGCCTCTCAGTTGAGTGGGTGGAGCCGACAGAAGCCGCGGGCTGAGCTCAAGGGCCGATGGGAGGGGTCCTGGGGGCGCTAACTGCGCACCGCGGCCATGACGCTGGGCAGATCATTCACAGAAGTCTCTGTCTCCTTTCATCTACAGTCGCAGCTGTTTTCCAGACGCCTTGCTCCTCAGGTCGGGGAGTGATCTGATGGCCCAGGTTCGAGAAACTTCTTTGCCCTCCGGCTCTGGGGTCCGCTGGATCTCCGGAGGTGGGGGAGGAGCCTCTCCTGAGGAGGCGGTTGAGAAGGCGGGGAAAATGGAGGAGGCGGCGGCGGGGGCTACGAAGGCGTCTTCGAGACGTGAAGCCGAGGAGATGAAGCTGGAGCCATTACAAGAGCGTGAGCCCGCGCCGGAGGAGAACTTGACGTGGAGCAGCAGCGGCGGCGACGAGAAGGTGCTCCCTTCAATCCCCCTTCGCTGTCACAGCAGCTCCTCGCCCGTTTGCCCGCGCCGCAAGCCCCGCCCTCGGCCCCAGCCCCGGGCCCGCTCCCGCAGCCAGCCTGGGCTCTCGGCCCCACCCCCGCCTCCAGCCCGGCCCCCGCCCCCGCCGCCACCCCCGCCCCCACCCGCACCGCGGCCCAGGGCCTGGCGTGGATCCCGGCGCAGATCCCGGCCTGGGTCCAGGCCTCAGACACGGAGAAGCTGCTCTGGTGACCTAGACGGGTCGGGGGATCCTGGCGGCTTAGGGGACTGGTTGCTGGAGGTCGAGTTTGGTCAGGGTCCCACAGGCTGCTCTCATGTGGAGAGCTTTAAAGTAGGTAAGAACTGGCAGAAGAACCTGAGGTTGATCTACCAGCGTTTCGTTTGGAGTGGGACCCCAGAGACTAGGAAACGTAAAGCAAAGTCATGCATCTGTCACGTATGTAGTACCCATATGAACAGACTCCACTCTTGTCTCTCCTGTGTCTTTTTTGGCTGCTTCACTGAGAAACATATTCACAAACATGCAGAAACAAAGCAGCACCATTTAGCTGTAGACCTTTATCATGGGGTCATATATTGCTTCATGTGTAAGGATTATGTATATGACAAAGACATAGAACAGATTGCCAAAGAAACAAAAGAAAAAATTTTGAGATTATTAACTTCCACCTCAACAGATGTTTCTCATCAACAGTTTATGACATCAGGGTTTGAAGACAAGCAATCAACCTGTGAGACAAAGGAACAGGAGCCAAAATTGGTGAAACCCAAGAAAAAGAGAAGAAAAAAGTCAGTCTATACTGTAGGCCTGAGAGGGCTAATCAATCTTGGGAACACTTGTTTTATGAATTGTATTGTCCAGGCACTTACCCATATTCCTCTACTGAAAGATTTCTTCCTCTCTGACAAGCACAAATGTATAATGACAAGCCCCAGCTTGTGTCTGGTCTGTGAAATGTCTTCGCTTTTTCATGCTATGTACTCTGGGAGCCGAACTCCTCACATTCCCTATAAGTTACTGCATCTGATATGGATCCATGCAGAACATTTAGCAGGGTACAGGCAGCAGGATGCCCATGAGTTCCTTATTGCAATATTAGACGTGCTACATAGACACAGCAAAGATGATAGTGGTGGGCAGGAGGCCAATAACCCCAACTGCTGTAACTGCATCATAGACCAAATCTTTACAGGTGGCCTGCAATCAGATGTCACATGTCAAGCCTGCCATAGTGTTTCTACCACCATAGACCCATGCTGGGACATCAGTTTGGACTTGCCTGGCTCTTGTGCCACATTCGATTCCCAGAACCCAGAGAGGGCTGACAGCACAGTGAGCAGGGATGACCACATACCAGGAATCCCCTCACTTACAGACTGTCTACAGTGGTTTACAAGGCCAGAGCACCTAGGAAGCAGTGCCAAAATCAAATGCAATAGTTGCCAAAGCTACCAGGAGTCTACTAAACAGCTCACAATGAAAAAATTACCCATTGTGGCTTGTTTTCATCTCAAGCGGTTTGAGCATGTAGGCAAACAGAGGCGAAAGATTAATACCTTTATCTCCTTTCCCTTGGAGCTGGACATGACTCCGTTTTTGGCCTCTACTAAAGAGAGCAGAATGAAAGAAGGCCAGCCACCAACAGATTGTGTGCCCAATGAGAATAAGTATTCCTTGTTTGCAGTGATTAATCACCATGGAACTTTGGAAAGTGGCCACTATACCAGCTTCATCCGGCAACAAAAGGACCAGTGGTTCAGCTGTGATGATGCCATCATCACCAAGGCTACCATTGAGGACTTACTCTACAGTGAAGGGTATTTACTGTTCTATCACAAACAGGGTCTAGAGAAAGACTAGTCTTACCAGACCACTTACTGAAAAAAAAGTAAATGATTAGGCAAGGATTTTGAAGTGACACACAGACCTACTTGGAATGGACAATGACAGTAACACCTATGTGACAGCTAGTATCTTGATATAAAGAACCTATTTTAGCATGGCCCATGGGTCTGTCGGAAGAAAAAAATGAATACTAACCAGTGACCATTCAACCTTAAGAAATGGGGAGAGGGAGAAGAGGTTGAAAATGGTCACATAAAGCATAATGAAATGAAAAGAATGCTTTAGGTGGGGACAACGGGAGTAGAAGTGTTCTGATGCTACTCTATGTCATTTGTTTTTACAGAAATATCTTGTGAAGTCAGGGAGTATTCCTTTATCAGCAAAAACTTCACAATTGGTGTTCCAGCTGTGGCTGACCAGCTAAATAGTTTGAAAGAAAAATAATATTTTAAAATAAAGTTTAAAGAGCTTTAAAAGAAAAACATTTAAAAAGGAAAAAATCATTTTTAAGATTTTAAAAGAAAAAAACTTTTAAATGTTGAAAAAAATTTAAGTTGTTATTTTTAAAAGAAATATTTTAAAAGTTAAAAATAATTTTTTAATTTAAAGAAGTTTCAGAATTTTAAAAATTAAAAGCAAAGAAAATTAAATTCTTAAAGTTTAAAAATGTAAAATAAATTAAGGAACAAGGTTAAAAATGAAAGTTTACCAAAAAAAGGAAGAAAATACTGTTAAAAATTAAAGTTAGAAACAAAGGAACATCTTAAAAGTTTCAAATGAAGGAAAATAATATAAATAGATATTTCAAAATTAAAGCATAAAATATACGTATTTAAAAAGTGTTAACAAAATTACTACTATAATGATTAAGAAATAAATTTTCAAAAATACAGAATGGAATGCAATTCAGATTTTAGAGAAAAGTTTTAAAAGAGGCAAGTTTAGAATAATTCAAGACAAAAAGACAAAATGTGTTTAAAGACAAAAATTGAAAAAATACAGGAAGAAAATAGAGACTTGTAAAATAAAAAGAACCTTAGATAAGTTCAAGAGATTTAAATGAAAACTTTAAATATTTAAATAAAGATTTAAAAATTTAAGCTTTTAAAAAGAAAAACAGTTACATAAAAATTGACCAGTGAAAAAATGTGAAAGATTCAAGTAGAAAAAATTATTAAAATTAAAAGTTTAAGAAGTTCTATTTTTTTATTTAAGCATATTAAAATACAGACGGGTATGAAAGAAATAAATGGAGGAGACAGGAATAACGACAGCGGTGTGTGAGTATATATATATATATATATTTTTTTTTTTGAGCTTTATGTTGATATATCAATATACGTTGGAAAAGGAAATAGACATTTTAATCATTATCTTACCATCCAATTGTGAAATGGCTGCAAGGCCTAAACACTAACTAACCCACCTTCCCCTCTTGAGATTCCATGCCCCATCTCATATCCTGAAGGAAGTCAAATTACTTCCTAGGCAGAATCAATTCATCTGAGAAAAATGAAAACATTAGGGACTTTCCCATTTAGAACTGCATTATTCATACAAATTCTTAGCTTCTGAAAAGGGGCTCTTGATAATTTGGTGGCTTAGAGAAGTTAGATCACAGCTGTGAAGCTCTGGCTTTGGTATTTGAGCCCCATGGCCTGATTGAGGAAGTGGCAGGGACCCATATCTGAGGCCTTCCCACCTTCCTTTTTCCCTCTTCCCCCTCCAAGGAGAAACAAGACCTTTAATTTCCACAGTAGAGCAATGGGTTTGTGCTTGCAGTCCTTCTGCTCATTCTTTATTCCCTCTTTATTTCCTTTTTTTGTCACTCATGCCTAGTTCCCTGAACCCCTTACTTACCTGGCCTTACCTACATCTCTGAGCCCCAGCCTGCAGGGCTCCTTCTTTGACTATTCACCTGGTGGCTTTTACTCCTCCTTCAAGACCCAACTCACAGATGACTTCTCTGGAGTCTTCCCTGAATGCTCTAGGCAGGTATAAATGAGAAAATTGTTCCTCTCTTCCCCTCTTTATTCCTCTCACTGTGCCTCCAAAGTACTTTGTCCATACCTCGGTGATAGTACTTATTCTACTGTGATTTTATTGTAGCTTTGTGATTGTCTGCCCCTCTGCACTGAGCATCTAAGAACAGGGGGCCAAGCCTTATTCATTTCTGTGTTAATAAATATTTGTTAAATGTGAAGATGAGTTCAGTTATTTGCTCTATTCACCTTGTCAGTAATGTTTTCTCACCCCTTCATCCATCAGGCTGCCATTAAATGCCCAGTGCTATACTACAGTGTGATCAGTATTGTATTTTACCCCAAAGCAGGATATGAAAAGCACTCAGCTGCAGGGGCTGGCTTAAGAAAGGTGCTCAGTGAGAAATAGCCAGGTGTGTGGAGGGAGGCCCAGGTACAATGCAGAGAAAAGAGCACAGGCCTGGAAGTTGGCAGTCATGGAAGACTGGGTGGGGATGAGGAGCAGCAGCTGAAGGTGAGGCTGAGCTCTCTGGCATGTGTGTGGCCACACTGCCCCTCATCACAGTGTTCCTCAGCAGCAGTGTCTCACAACTGTGTACCACACCTCTCTAGGGTTTACCACATTAGTTTACCTTCCCCGTGAGACAGTAGTACCTCATCACTGCACAGTGTTCTTCATCACACTGCACATCATCACTCTACTACAAGGGAGTGATGTCTGGTAACAGTGTTTATTGAAGAGCTGTAGTTTATTTTTCTGCTCGGCACCCTCATTTTCCCGCCATTCTTTGTGGACCTATTGGGGCTACTGATCACTTTTCCCTGCCTCTGTCACCCCTCCCCAAGTGGGCACATCACTCAGGCTGGGCCAGATTAGAGTTCTCAATTCCCCTGTCCCTCTACCAGTACCCCTCCCACAGGAGCATTTCTTCTGAGGGTGGGCATAGGGCCCAAGTAGGGCCAATCAGAGTCTGTTGCTAAATTGAAGGTATGTGGACACTGGAAGAAAAAACGTGTCTCCCTCCTGATCCCACCCCCAAGCTGTAGTCACTATGCTATGATAACCTGATTCTGGGACTTTGAGAGGTCAATATCTATAACACAAAGAGAAAACCAGAAAGAACTGGAGATTGGGAGAAAGAGCCCAGGGAACATCGTTTGAACCTTGTGGATCCAGCTGTGCCAGAAGCGCCAAAGTTCCCAGCTATCTGAGCCAATAGAGTCCTTTGTTTTGCTTAAGCTAGTTGTCAGTTGGGATCCTGTCATTTGCAGCCAAGGGTCTTGAACATACTAACCAAGCTATATGATTAGTGGAGCATCAGTTCCTAAGACCACAAAGCATGAGAGAGAAAAGGGAAGGAGGAGTGACCTTGGATGAACTTCATCATATAAAATTAAGAAACTATAGTGGGTCCCTGTACATCTTTAAGAAGCAAGTTTCAGCTCAGCCACTGACCTGTGCTAGACTTCAAACCTTACTCACAGTAATGAAATGCTTATTCCAAATAAAAGGGAAAAAAAGCAATAATGTTATATGAGTACTGATTTAAATCAGGCACTGTGTTAACTGCTTTACCTTTATTATCTCACTTGGTCCTGGGTCCTCATAGTTCTGGGAGACAATCATTACTGAACATATTTCGCAAACTGGGAAAGTGAAAATCAGAATAGAAAAGTGATTTGCTTAAGTTCACTCTACTGTTCTAATCAGTGAAGCCAGTATTCAAATGCAGGTCCCCAAAGCCCATGCATGTCCCATCATAATCCAGTATAGATAATTCAAATATATATATTTTTGCTTTTCCTGATTTTGCTATGGAAGACAGGATAAACCAGCGTGGTACAGAAGGCAGCTTCTGACAAATCTGGATGCAGGTAACCTGCAAGGAGAGAGTAACCTATCTACTACACAAAGTTGCCCATGCTACAGGGGTATTTGTTTCTGTGGAAATGGCTGATTCAGATAGATCAGGCTAAATGACTTTCCTAAGGATAATCATGATGGATGAAGCCAAAATATTACCCCCAATATAAGACATATAGCCTCACTCAATGCTATATGCCAGGCTGAGCCCCAAGACGTGACTGTAAGATCTCATGTTTTTGCGGTCTGTAAAACCATCAGCTCTTTAGCCATACAAGACTTCTTTTCTAACTTCAACACCATAGCCATCACTTTGAGTGTCACTTTTATCACCCCTCTCCCTCAGATCTTCCCAAAATGCCCACAACACCAGCTCCTCCAACGAGCCCGGGGAGGGACTTACCTATTGGGACCTTACCCAAGTGGTCCAATACTGATTTGTAATGTACAGCTTCTGTTGTTTCTGAATTACTTTCATTTCCTTTACCTTGATTCTCTTCCAAACACACAGTAGTGGCTACTCCAGGCTAGGGCCGGACCTATGTGTTTATAAATCCCACAGGCCTACCACAGTTTATGGCAGGTACTTAACATGCTAGCTGAATGAATATATGAATGAATAAATGAAGACATTCCGTTCTACACTCTAAGCCTCAGCTTCAGCAGGTGACTTCATGTCCTATTTTTCTGAAATCAAAAATCTCATAAGAATGCCTGATTTACCCACATCTACACACTTAAGTTTCCATCCATCCTCCATGCCTTCACTGTCATTTCAAAGGAAAAGGAATACTGCTTCTTTTCTGAAGCTTCACCCACTAGCCTCCTTCTTCTCGTCCATTCCTAACAGTCAGAGGGCCTTACTCCTACACACTTCCCTCTATTCTAGTAACAGCCATGTTTTTGCTAGACAGATAAAATCCAGCAACTAGACATCCTAGATTTTCTATGGTAGTTCCTCAAAAATGTTGTCCCATCATCTCTGTAAGAGATAAAAAAAGTATTCCAAATCCCAATACTTCTCCTGAGTGTATATTATCCCCAGAAGAAACCCAAGAGTCTGTTTTAAAATCCAGATTTGGGGATCATGTTTAAAAGAAAAATACATTACCTTTGCTCCCCTTCCTTTTACTGCCAAACTCTTTCACATGTGTTTTTTTCATACATTATTTTCACTTACCTCCTGCTCCATCTTTAGTTCCCTGCATTCTGGTTTCTGCTTGCACCACTCTGTTGAAACTACTTTTGCTTAAGTTAAAATGACTTATTTTTTCAAAATTCCTTATTTTACTACTTTATTCCATTTAGTAAAGAGATATATGATATTTGCAGATAACGGAACAACAATCACAGAATATTTGAAGTTAAAGCTTTCCCAAAAAATCCAGATCATAATGTTGCCATGTTGGCTACCGTTTAGGAGCAGTTTCCCCTTCCCTTATACCAGGAGGGTATGCCAAATCTGAGAAAGGGACTGCAGCTAGAGGTGGAGCAAGTGGAGTTGAGGAAGGGATTGCACAGAAAATCAAATTTTTAAAAACTGTATCATGTTTTAAATGTATCAGAGAAGTTGGTATCTAAGGACAGGTGTAGAAAATCCTTTTTGTATGCAGATGAGGCCTTATCCAGAATCTAACCATGCCCTAAATTGATCTGTTTTTAAAAGAGTCCCCTTAAAGACACACCTGTATTCTATATGCAAACTTACAATTTGAACCCTCTTTCTCACCAACCCTTTAATAGAGAATTAAACTGACTGGCCTATGATTTCTACTTATTTATGATGAGGTACCTGTGGTGAGGCCTAACTAGGAAGAAGATGACTGAGGCACCAGAAAGACTTGAGCTGAAATCACATCCCAGATTTGCCATTTATTAACTGGCAACACTGGGCCAGTAACAGAGTCTTGTGCACAGCCCTCCAAGGATTGTAGAGGAGACTAAAACTAACAGTCTTTGTAAAGCATTTGGTGGATAGCAAAATGCTTGCTATCTACATATGGTTGAAGCTAAAAAGAAAAAATAGTCATATCTCTTGTCCCACGTGTCAGTGTCCAAATACTCTCTTTGACCCACACATGTCCATAGCAGATAAGAAGTGCTAGCTCTCTGGAAGCATATTTTCCAGCACATTACATGGGATTGTTACCTGAGCAAATACTCATCAGGCAGGGCTCTCCCAGTGGGGTGTGTCTTACTGTTGGCTATACTTGATAAAGAATATGAGACTCAGAGAACTTGATTATTTTTTCCAAAATAAATAGTAACTAAGACACAGAGCTGGGTCACAAAGACTGGATGTTAACCACCAGGCTGTGCTGCATCGACAGAAGCTGTCCTGGTCTAGACCAACCTCTAAGGATCTATCCTCCACCCTGGTTTTGTTCTCCTCTACACCCAGGTCAAGTGTTGCCTCCTCCAAGAGGCCTTCTCATATCTCATATCTCCCAAATCAAGAGAGAAGGAGCACTCAGAGCACAGAAGCACTACCAAGGCAGTTTCCACAGATTATAAAAGGGGTCATGTCACTCAGATTAGACTGCAGTTCCAACGCCTGACCCTTCTATCCCTGCCCCTTTGTCAGTAGGGATAGGGCTACATAAAGAGGCCTCCACAAAGAAAACAGGTGTCCGGTAAAAAAGGAGCTAAAAAAACTTCCAAACCTCAGTCACATACTAGCACCCGGAGGGAAAGTGCTTTGGAATTGTAGACTGGCTTGTGCAGGAAAACGTGCTTTTTCTCCCCTAGGGAAGGGCATTTTGTCAGCCACAGCTAAGCAAAGAGTTGCTCCACTCTGGGTTAGCAGACCTAGAAGGAAATGCTGAGTCAGTCAAGAGCCCAAAGGCTAAAGAACCTGGAGTCTGATGTCCGAGGGCAGGAGGAACAGAAGGAAGCATCCCGCACGGGAGAAGGATGAAAGCCAGAAGACTCAGCAAGCCAGCTTGTCCCACCTACTTCCATCTGCCCTGCCTTACCCGTGCGGGCAGCCAATTGGATGGTGCCCATCCACATTGAGGATGAGTCTTCCTCTCCCGGTCCACGGACTCAAACGTCAGTCTCCTCTGACAACACCCTCACAGATGCACCCAGAAACAATACTTTATCAGCTATCTAGGCGTCCTTCAATTCAGTCCAATCAAGTTGACACCTAATATTAACCATCACAGTAGGGATCCTCAGCCTTTTGGTGCCTTGGATCCCTTTGATATCCTGGTACAGCCGGTGGATCCCTTAAGACAATGATATTTTTAACATAAATATATATAACTAAACACACGGGATTATAAAAATGCATTGTATGGAGATGGCATTTTGTACTTTTAGAAAGATATTGTGATGTGAGGAAATTTTTTTTTTAATTAAACCTTACATAACTATCACAAGATGGGTATAATAACTACCATAGTTTCAAAGTAGTGCTGAGCATAGGTGATACTCTGAGAAATGTGAAAGAAGTGTAATGTGATACCGAAATTTTTGTTGGCGACACAGTCACATGTAGTACTACTATCAATGGAGTTTCATGCCTAGGCTCATAGTTTTAGGACATGATCACTGTAAGTTAGAGGTGGGTGAAAATAAAGGTGCAGCTCTTTTCCCCACACACATGCACAGACCTCTCTCTGACTAGGCTTGCTTTACGATGCCCTGAGCACTTTGCCTGCTTAGTGGGCCAAAGAATTACAGACCATTTATTAAGTGCATATCGTGTGCTCTTTTCTCTTTCTTTTTTCTCACAAAACTTTGGTATGCCCTATTTATGAAGAAGGAGAGATACAAAAACAAAGAGCATTATTTCAAAATCATAAATGTGTTAACACTTAAAACTGACAGAATTAAAGAAAAAAATAGAAAACCCACAATCACAGTTGGATATTTTAACACTGCTCTTTCAATAATTCATAAAACAAAAGGCCATAAGTCAATAAAGATATAGAAGACTAAACAACACTGTGAACCAACTTGTGGTAATCGATAGTTATGAAATACACCACTAATGTACACCATAAAATACAGTCTTCCTTCAGTATCTGCAGGGGATTGGTTCCAGGACTCCCGTGAATACCAAGATCCTTGGATGCTCAGGTCTCTTACATAAAATGGTATATAGTGTTTGCATATAACCTATGCACATACGCTCGTGTACTTTAAATCATCTCTAGACAACTTATAATACCTAATACGATTATGTGAATATGGTTATGCTGTATTTTTTTTAATTTGTATTATTACTTTTTATTATTGTATTGTCATTTTTGTTTCTGTTTTATGTTTTAAAGTATTTTCAATTGACGGTTGAATCCACAAATGTGTAACCTGCAGATATGGAGGGCTGACTGTACACATCTTTTGAAATGTGCTTAGTATTCAGTAAGATACAGGAACTGAGAAACTTTTTCTTAGAAAAATAGTAAATATTTTAGGTTTTGTAAACTACTCAACTCTGACGTTTTAGTATAAAAGCATCCATAAATAATGTATAAATAAATGGGTGTGACCGTATTAAAAAGAAAAAAAACCCTTAACTGACAATAACAAGCTGCCAGCTCACAGGGCGTACTTTGCCAACCCTAAGATACACTATATTCTAGGACCATAACACAAGTTTTAACTAATTCCGAAGGAAGAAAATCATACAGAGTACATCCTCTGTTCACAACCGATTAGAAATCAATAATATTTAGATACATAGAAAAGTCTCCATTATATGGTGCTTAAAAAATCACATTTCTAAATTACCCACGAGTCAAAGAAGAAAGAGCCAAACCTGACACAGATAAAAGACCAATAAAAGACATTGGTCTTTTATTACCAGAAAAGACCAATAAAAGACATTGGTCTTTTATTACCAGAAAAGACCAATGTCCCTCATGAACCAAGATCCAAAAATTCTCAATAAAATATTAGCAAATTGAATCAAGCAAGCTATAAAAGGATATTATATAACGATGAAGTGATATTCATTAAAAATTACAAGGCTAGTTCAACATTCAGGAATGAATCTAATTCATTCATGACATTAACAGAACAAAGTGATCATCTCAACAGATTCAGAAAAAAAAGTATTTTTCCGAATTTAATCTACATTCCTAACTAAAACTTAACAAAAATATTAGAAAACTAGGAATGAAAGGATAAAAGTGCTCTATAAGGTATATGATTTGCAGATATTTTCTCCCAGTCTTTGGTCATCTTCTCATTCTCTTTATGATAATTTTTAAAGAACAGAAATGTTAAATTTTTATTTTTAACTTTTATGGGTACATAGTAGCTGTATGTATTTATGGGGTACAAGAGATATTTTGATACAGGCATACGACGTGTAATAATCACATCAGGATAAATGGGGTATCCATCACCTCTAACGTTGATCATTTATTTGTGTTACAAACATTCCAATTATACTTTTAGTTCTTTTTAAATGTACAATTAATTATTGTTGACCGTAATCACCCTGTTGTGGTATCGAATACCAGATCTGGGCCAGGCGCGGTGGCTCACGCCTGTAAGCCCAGCACTTTGGGAGGCCAAGGCGGACGGATCACTTGAGGCCAGGAGCTCGAGACCAGCCTGGCCATCATGGCGAAACCCCGTCTCTACTAAAAATACAAAAATTAGCCTGGTGTGGTGGCGCAGGCCTGTAATTTCCAGCTACTCGGGAGGCTGAGGCATGAGAATCGCTTGAACGCAGGAGGCGGAAGTTGCAGTGAGGGGCGAGATCGTGACACTGCACTGCAGCCTGGGTGACGGAGTGAGACTCTGTCTCAAAAAAATAAATAAATAAGTCAGCCCGAAATACCAGATCTTATTCTTTCTACCTAACCATATTTTTGTACTCATTAACCATGTCCACTTCCCCTAGCCCCCGCCTTTCCCAGCATCTGGTTACCATCATTCTACTTCACTTAACATAATGTCCTGCAGTTCCATCCATGTTGTTGCAAGTGAGAGGATCTCATTCTTTTTCCGGCAGAATAGTACTCCACTGTGCATATGTACCACATTTTCTTTATCCATTTGTCTGTTGATGGACACTTAGGTTGCTTCCCAATCTTGGCTATTGTGAATAGAGCTGCAATAAAGATGGGAGTGCAGATCTCTCTTCAATATAGTGATTTCCTTTCTTTTGGGTATATACCTAGCAGTGGGATTGCTGGATCATATGATAGTTCTAATTTTAGTTGTTCAAGGAACCTCCAAACTGTTCTCCATGGTGGCTGTATTAATTCACATTCCCACCAACAGTGCTCGAGGGTTACCTTTTCTCCACACCCTCCAGTGCTCGAGGGTTCCCTTTTCTCCACACCCTCGCAAGCGTTCCTTATTGCCTGCCTTTTGAATAAAAGCCATTTTAACTGGGATGAGATGATGTCTCATTGTAGTTTTGATCTGCATTTCTCTGATGGTCAGTGACGTTGAGCACCTTTTCACATACTTGTTTGCCATTTGCACGTCTTCTTTTGAGAAATGTCTATTCAGATCTTTTGCCCATATTTTAATCAGATTATTAGACTTTTTTGTATTGAGTCATTTGAGCTCCTTAGATATTCTGGTTATTCATCCTTTGTCAGATGGACAGTTTGCAAATGTTTTCTCCCATTCTGTGGGCTGTCGCTTCACTTTGTTGATTGTATCCTTTGCTGTGCAGAAGCTATTTAACTAGATGCGATCGCATTTGTTCATTTTTGCGTTGGTTGCCTGCGCTTGTGGGTTATTACTCAAGAATTATTACTTTGCCCAGACCAATGTCCCGCAGAGCTTCCCCAATGTTTCTTGAATCCTTCATTGGTAAAAACCAGGCTGATTATACTAGTACCACCTATCTTTGAGAGATGTGGACAGAATTCAATAGCTACAGAAATAGCAAGTGCATAGGGCAGAGCCTGACACATAGTGAAGGCGAAATATATGTAAGCTCTTTGCTCCCTCTCAAAGCATTAGCTTAGTTTCCTCTCAGGATCTTTTCACACATTCCTCTGCCTGGAACTGTCTTTCCCTATGACTTGCCTTGCCTTCATTCAGGTTTCTGCTTAAATATCACCCAGAGAGGCCTTCCCCAACCCACCATCTCAGGGAATAAAGGGCATTTTATTTCCCTTTATTCATTTTATTTGACTTTATTTCCCACTTTATAATATATGTGCATGTGATGTCTCCTCCAATAGGATCAAAGTGGCCCAAGGGAAGGCAGTTTTTCTTTTTTGCTTATTGCAATATCCTTGGTTCCTATTAGAAGCATAGCGAACCTTCAGAATGGTCTGTCGACTAAGTGAAAAAATAGTTGCAAGAGGTGCTTACTATTACCATCCTCATCTTACAGATGAGGTGAAATAATGTCATACAGCTAATAGATAGTAGAGTCAGGATTGAACCTCCACACTCAGACACAACATCCCTCTCTCCAACTAGAGTGTACTGTGTTTGCAAGTGATTTCAATGTTGGATGCAAATGGCCCTCAAATGTCAGATCTAAAAGTTGAAATTGCTAAACACAGACATTTCAAAGACCGACAATTGTGTTCTGTTATGCTCGTGCTTCAAATAAGTAAAATGTCCTGTCATTGATGATGAAGAAATTAAACGATCAGCATATATCAGTCCCATGCCATCATGCATGTGAAATCAGAAAATTCAAAAATACTTTATCCCGGTGTTCAAAGAGCAAATGAAAAAATGCTCAGAAAATATCAGAATTTTGAGGAATATCTTCTGTATAATGAAAAATCACTTGGGCCATGAAATATTCATGGAACTTCATAAAGAAATAAAATGATGGCTGTGTCTTTGCCATTAAAATTCAGTCTCGCCTGTGATACCTGTCTACTGAAATGAGAGGGCAACCTTCTAGAAATCTTACAAATCACAAAATGAAGGTTGGGGTGACCAAAATTTGGGAACATCAACCTTGGATATATCCATTGGAGACAAGAAAGCATTGTGTCATAATTAGTAGTACATGTATGCATTATTCCTTTAACATAAAATAAGAAAAATAAGAGTTCACTTACAATTACATATCATTCCGTATTTCTTTCTTTGGTTTCATAAATGCCATTGTTTAAACAAGGTGACAACGGGACTAGTTTACAGTGGCAAATAGTAGTAAATAAATGGACTATTTACACAATAGATGTGAAAAATATAACGGTATAGCATAATGTTCCTTTCTGTCTTTTGACACGGCAATTTATGGTAACTGTTTTTAGAAAAATTCTTATTGGATTTTAAAATTTTGTTGGCTATATCATTACTTTTTATCATACACAACCAGAAGACTTTTTAAAAGGCATATGCAGAAACAGCAGTAATAACCACACAGATACTTACCTACATTAAAAAAAAAAAAACCCACTGGCTGGTTTCATTCTGTCACCAACATAGTAAGATATTTTTATTTTTTCTGTCATAACTCTTCTCTGAACTGCCCGCCATGTTAGAACTTCCTTTTTTCTTTTCTTTTGTGCAGTGGCTAATCAGCACTCAACCAGACTTATAATTTACTTAGACATATCCAGTTCTCCTCTTCCCAAGGCCACATTAGATTGCCTCCTGGCATCAGTCCAATGTAATGACATTGAACTAAATATCCTCTCAACAAAAGCGTTTGAGCATGGATTTTACTTCTACCTACAGTAGGTTTTAGATTGTAGAAATTGATTTCCAGGTTTCCAGAAATGTGCATTTCCTTTCTATACATAAGGCTTGCTTTGTCAGTCAATCGGGTCCTTTGTATCAATGATTCCTCCTATAGACTGTTCATGGCTAAAGTGTCCATAATTCTTAAACACTCTGAAGCACACTGGATGTCATTGTATGTTACATCGCTCTTTCTCGGGAAAAAGGTTTTTAAAGATCAAGGGTAATTTGAACTTGCATTGTTGAAGTTGGATTTCCTATAAGTTAAATTATTAGCAAAGAAGTTGAGAAAGTCCTGTTTGATGTGGAAGCCTTTTGCTAGTGACCTTTTTTTCTCTTGATTTCTCAAGCAGTCTTTTTGCCAAAAAAAAAAAAAAAGTGTCTTTTTTTTTTTTTTTTTTTTTTTTTTTTTTTGCCATGTCAGTTTTCATTGCAACCTGCACATAACATGGAACAATTCAGGGGCAGTCAGTTGATAGGTTCTTAAGCTCTTTATGGCCTCTTCAAGGACCTTCGCACAGTTTTGGAGAAATGGCATATACATTTCTGCTTTACTGTATCTCTCGTCTCCATTTTACTGTAATCCTTTTCTTTATTCCTATCTTCAGCATATTTCCAAATAAGAGAAAGATATTCTTCGTGTCTCACACTTTGAAAATATGATTTTATGGGCAGCTGGACATCTTAACATCTTTTCCATGGTTGGCAGCAATGACAGACATCTTATAGTCTCATGTCTCTGTCAAACCTCATTACTTCTGCATGTTTGAGGAAACTAAAAAGTGGCAACAAACCTTCACTATATAGGTCTCAAAATCACAGGTAAGCAAATCACACTTTTCTTCTCAAATCAGTGTTGAGTACATGGTGTGCAGCACATTTAACAGGTAAGAGCTTTTCATTTTCTTTGATAGGAAGTTTGTAGGCTGGATGGATTCTGCCAAATTGTACATTTGCTCTGTCTTTCCACTATGCAGATCGATGAGCAAAGCTGAGTTTGTATTTGGAAAGGTATCAGCAATCTTTTGCTCTATGTGTCTGCGGTTTCATTAAAATCTTCACAGGAATCAAGAAGACTATTTGCAACTGCATTTTCCAAATCGAATTACATAAGAGCTTGGGGGAGATGTTTTGGTCATTGCCATTGGATGGACACATCACTTGATACACTCTAGAAAGCATGATAGTTGGTAAGATCTGACAGAATAAGCTCTACACGCATTCTAAGGTCCCAGCACATCTGTGATCAAACTTTCTCTTATTCATGTACAGAACATGTTTGTTGCAAACTCTGAATGTAACTTCACTCAGCTTCATAGAGCAATCAAGGAAATGGAAGCACAATGTGTGTGGGGTCAGTGTGGTATGCCCACAATAATTCAGCAGGCTCCGTTTTCAATGGGACATTGGTGACTTTTTTGGGAGTCTTTTGGTTGCTTTCACATCCCCTTCTCCACCATACCTGACCCCAGGTTATTTCTGCATTTTGCGTAGTGTTTTCTGGTTTTGTCATTTACCTCCCTAATCCAGTCTTATGTGTTCTTCCATCCGTCACTAAAATAACACAATAATTTGTCTGTCTTTTTTTTTTTTTTTTTTTTTTTTGGTCATGCTGGCAGTGGTATTGTCATCATTCTCGTTTTCATGATGTGAATTCTTAGATCTGTACTCACAATGTACAGTGAATTCACTGAATTCACAACGTTAAAAGTTAAACCAGCACTATCGCAATTCAGGTCACAACTGTCGATCCACAGACAGAGTGCTAATGCTCAGGAATACAACATGCTTAAGTTGTGCACTAAATTCACATCAGAATGTCACCATGTATAATCCATTATTGGGGGCCCCAAATCATAGTTGCCAATATCAGCAGTGAGGGGATAAAAGAAACCATGGAGGCCGGGCACGGTGGCTCACACCTGTAATCCCAGCACTTTGGGAGGCCGAGGCGGGCGAATCACGAGGTCAGGAGTTCGAGACCAGCCTGGCCAACATAGTGAAACCTCATCTCTACCAAAAATACAAAAAATTATCCGGGCGTGGTGGCGGGGCCCTGTAATCCCAGCTACTCAGGAGGCTGAGGCAGGAGAATCGCGTGAATCCGGCAGGTGGAGGTTGCAGTGAGCCGAGATCAGGCCATTGCATTCCAGCTCCGGCGACGGTACGAGATTCTATCTCAAAAAAAAAAGAAAAAGAAAAAGAAAACAACAACAACAACAACAACAACTATGGAAACATGGAAAGTGGATAATCTGTGCGGTGTCCATTTCACACTAAAAACAGGGTTACTTTCAGCCCCTATATTGGGGGCCACCTGTAAGAAGCCTGTCCCTCCTCCCACCCCAAATTTCTACACCCATCTATGAAACCTGTGTCTTTGCATGTCCCTCAGAGAGGTTTCCAGGACACAGGAATCTCAGTGCTCATGTCAGGAGAGTCAACTTCAACTATTTCAGTGGAAAGCCTAATGAAATTTATCTAAAATGTGAAATTTGGGAGAAATCTCATCTGAAATCATGTACCAAACCTTACGCGTACATGCTGTGTGTAGCCATAAGAATGGGTTGAGAGAATGAGGTTAATGCAAAAACACTCAGATGAACATGTATTCGAATTTGAAAGGCGTTGACCATGGAATGCTAGGAAGAAAGTCTGAAATTTTAGCCAACGATTCAGATAATTTTGCAGATGTTTTACTTTGGTGACAAGTCATCATGTTCAATTATCTCTGGCTGGTGCCATAAAGGATATAAAGCAAATATTCGAAAGTCTTTTCTCAATAAACTGTGTTTACCATCTTACTTCAAGTAACCTGCAGAAAGAAGCAACATTCTGAAAAGCTAGAAATTGAAATAATGAAAGTGTGAAGAATCCCTGGACCCAGTCAGCTCCTTATATCACTGCAGCTGCAAAAGAGTTTGGAAGTTCTGGCCGGGCGTGGTGACTCACGCCTGTAATCCTAGCACTTTGGGAGGCCGAGCAGGTGGATCACCTGAGGTCAGGAGTTCGAGACCAGCCTGGCCAACATGGTGAAACCCTGTCTCTACTACAAAACTACAAAAAATTAGCCGGGTGTGGTGGCACATGCCTGTAATCCCAGCTACTTGGGAGGCTGAGGCAGGAGAATCGCTTGAACTCAGGAGGCAGAGGTTGCCATGAGCCGGGTCTGCGCCACTGCATTCCAGCCTGGGTGACAGATCGAGACTCGTTCTCAAATAACAAAAACAAAAACAATAACAAACAAACAAACAAAAACAACAAAAAAACGGAGTTTGGAAATTCTATCAAGCAATGTATAGGCATTTTAAGAGAAATCAGCTGTTAAGCTACAAATTTAATCCTGTGTTACATAGTTTTGTCAGAAATCACTTATTGAGGGGATATAAAGAACCCGTTTCAATATTTCATTGATATGCTGATTTATGTACTGATTGATATTACCATAACCTTTGTAAGTTATTGTGAATACCATCCTCATTTGTGTGTGCTCTCCAGGTTTCTTTCCTCTGCCGGCCCTCTTTTAGGGGTGGAAGGCGTTCTGGACACCAGGGTAGATTCTCTTCAGCTCTCAGTTGCTTTCCTGATTCTCCACTGGGATTTGCCCTACTGCAGCTCTGTTTTTTTAGAAACCAGTTTGTGTGCCCAGGAGCAGTGGTTGATCCACTTTGTGTGAGCTGCATGGTAGAAAGGGCAAATGACTCCTGTGTTGGGTGACGACCTTAAACCACCTTTTCCTCCACTGCTCCTGTCAGGCCCCACCTCACAGTTTGACAGTGATTGAGAGACTTGAGGCTCCTTCCATCTGCCGTTAGAGCCAATCAGGCCTGTGGAGATCAAATGCTCTCGATTTTCAGGGCCAGCTCTGATTACATCTAATTGTATCATTATGAAAACTGCAATTTGTTCAATGTGTGGGCAAATGTGATTGAATTTTTATATCTTCATGAGGACTCACATGCCTACGTTCACAAATCAAGATGAAGTCAAGTAAAAAGATATACAAGACATAAAACCTATTTATGGTATTATCTTAGCCACCTAAAATATACATAGAAGAGGGGGATTGCATATGTTGCAATGCGTATGGTGGGAATTTGTGATGGTGAGATAATAGGTGACTTTTGTGTTTCTTTGTTTCCAAAAATCATTATAATGTGCTAATGTGGTGTGTTTTATAAAAGACAAAAAAAATTAAAAAAATAAGGATAAAACCTCTTTCAGATCACTTTCCTCTACATTTGGTTTTAAAATGTAGTTAATGTATAATGGGACAACTTCTCATCTCCCCTTTCCAGTAAGAGGCCATCCTATCTCCACAAGATTTGCCTTTACACACACACACACACTCACACACACTTGCACAAACACTACTGCATCCCCCCCCCAAACACACACAAAATCACGCACTTTTCTGAACTTTTCTCACTTAGCACTCTGTACCTTACCATTAGTGCAGCAGTGAACAGGGGTGTGATATTTGGTGGGGCACTCTGGTAAGATTGCCACCTCCTGCCCCGGTGTAATGGATCCCCAGAGACAGAGGATCCCCTAAACAGAAGTTTCTAAATAGTGCAAGATTCCTTTGTTATATTGCTATTGTCTTGAAAATGGCGCTGACTTTGGTAAAGACATGAGCCCATGCTTCTGACTCCTAAGTCTCTCTGGATCTCAAATACTTTCTCTACCAAGCTCACATATGAGACAGTTCATACCTTCTGTCACCTGGTTTCTTATAGGTAAGAAAATCTCAAGCAGGACGCCTTCAACATTCTTACCAAGGGTCCATGTTATTTTATAAATAATTTGTACATTCGTTCTTCAACAACAACAGCAAAGCGGTGCCTTTTAAAAGTAAATTATGATTGATTAAGAAATCCAAAAGACAACGCCTTCCATCCATGTTCTTTCTCTGGGAAAATAAACACTGTTTCATGTTGCAGAGCCATTTGCTGAACCATTTGTTCAAGGGTGGCTTATTTCTGTCAGAATCTACAATTGGCATGAGGTCTATGAATATGTAGTTCACAGGTATTTTTCATATTTCTCTTGCTATTGTTTCCATGAACATGACTCTTTCTTCTTCCTAATCTCTTGCCCCCACATTACCCTCACTAATGCAAGCAAGTCATTTTTAACTTTTTATTATGAAAACTTCAAACACATAAAAGCAGAAAGCATGTTAGAATGCACTCCATGTACCCATTAATTTCAAGAGCCATCAACTTCAACAATCATTAACTTTCTTCAATCCTTGTTTCATCTATCCTCCATCATACTTTTAATTTTTCTTTTCCGAGTACAGAGAAGCCAAGTATAGACATCAAATCTTTTCATCCAGAAATAGACTTTAATAGGTAAGGGCCTGTTTTAACATAAGCAGGATACAATATCATACCCTAGAAAAGACTAAGACTGACCGAACATCATCTACTCTCCAGTACCTTTTCCATTTTCCCAATTGTCTCATGAAAGATTTTTTCCAGTTCATGTGACCCCATTAAGATCCGAAAAGTTCCACACATTGCATGTAATTTTCAGTGTCTCTTAGAGTCTTTTGATAGATTCCACTTTCCCCTCATTGTTTCTGGGCCATTTCTTTTTTCAAGAAAATATAACCTGCTCACTTCTTGCCAGGACTGGGGAAACAAACGGGTCCCGGTTTACAAATCTGGCTGGAAGATAAAGGCAGTCATGGTTCTCTTGATCCTTGAGCCACAGGGTTGAGCCTGGGCAGCTTTTGGGTGACTCTCTTCTTCTTTTTTCCATTTTCAAAATTTAATATGTTTCATGAATAAAATTTTTATAATGAAAAAACGGGCAAGTAAATAGAAACAAAGAAAGACTTTAATTGTCACTGTGGAAGGGGTACATGCTCCACATTCTGTTCATGGCAATTAGAGGCCATCTCTCCCCAACAATATTTGAACCCAAAACATACACACCGGTCTAGGGAACTCGAGCAGTGGGTTACTTTCTCTCCTTACCACTAGTGCACCAGGAGAGTGGTCGATCTGGCAGGATCCCTTGGAAAGGTTGTTCTCCCCTACCCAAGGGTAAAGGTTCTTAGATGGGTTGTCCCTTTGCCCACTTCTGGGAGAAAAAGGCCTGCCTAACCCTCAGCCCCTTTTTAGAGGGGTGAGGCCCCCTTTGAAACAGAGGCCCCTTTGAAACACTCCATTCAGATCTTACTGGGTCCCCCAGGGAATAGCAGTAGAATTTTGAGCCTAGGGTATCAGCTATCACCTTCACCTGTGAGGATCACCCCCACCCCCTGCCTCTCCTTTTGCTTTATATTCAAGAGAGGAGCAGTCCCACCTTGATGCTTCTCATCTAAGTTATATCAGTACAGGTGACAGAGGTCAGGGGTGGTGGGGGTGAGGATTTCACCCTCTGCTGCTTTCAGGATTGGGTACTTTCCAGAAGCAAAGCTGTATAACGGGGATGCTATATTGAAATAATAAATGTGAGTATTATTGATTCTTCTACCATAAATGTTTTGCCTTGCAACAGCCCTGATGGCCCCAGAGGATATCCCCTTGAGGAAAAGGGTAACATTATACCGGAGAATTAAGTCTCTGGCAATTAGACAAAAGAGGTAAAACACAATGCTTCCCCCCTCCCCGGAAGTGAGACAGAAAGAGGGTGGAATACATGGAGAGAGAGAGGGAGGCAGAGACAGAGACAGAGACAGAGAT
Source organism: Homo sapiens (assembly GCF_000001405.40). Taxonomy (NCBI): domain Eukaryota; kingdom Metazoa; phylum Chordata; class Mammalia; order Primates; family Hominidae; genus Homo; species Homo sapiens. The sequence continues at coordinate 55,467,637 of NC_000023.11, read as the reverse complement.
TGAAATTATTTAGCTATATGTGACCTGAAACAATCTTGTGAAAAATCCTACAGGTGGAGGCATTAGATGGATGAGAAAGCCAGATATAGAGGGGGCCATGTGCTGTCCACACTGGGGCCGTTCTGACTGTTATAAGAGGAAAGATTTGTTGCAGTCTGTGCGAAGACACGTCAATCAGAGTGGATTTGGAGAGACTGGACCCACGTCTGCACTCCTGAACTTTCCTCAGCTCCCATTTGCTTTAGAAGAGATTGAGAATGTCTCACCAGCCTGATGGAAGGGTCCAGAAGGCAGCTGAATGTTTTCTGGCAAGCACTCCATGGCCACCCTAATCAGGGTGAGGAGATCTTGGAGCGCCTCGTTCTACAAAATGAGGTGTGCACATGCAGAGATGGCAAGAAGAGCCATTGAGGCATGGGAAGGAAACATTAGCAAGTCTATGCATATTCATTTTTATTACTTTCTTTTAAAAGTCTAATTTTGGTGTGTGTGTTTTATACTGAGAATTCCATATTTATACAGCGTTTCCAGTACATAATTTGTAAATTTACAAAGATACATATATTGCAGGTGTGGGCTCAACATCTTTTATTACTGTTGGTGTATTTGTTTTTCGGTGCTGCTGTGACAAATTACCACAAACTCCGTTACTGAATACAACAGAAATGTATTCTCTCACAGTTCTGGGGGCTAGAAATCTGAAAGCAAGGTATTGGCAGGACCATGCTACCTCTGAATCCTCCAGGGGAGGATCCTTCCTTGTCTCTTCCAGCTTCTGGTGCTTATGGCAATCTTCGTGTTCCTTGGCTTGTAGACACCTCACTCCAATCTCTGCCTTCATGTTCACACGGTGTTCTCCTCCTCGTGTGTCTGTGTCTCCGTGTATTCTCTACTCTTTTTTATGAGGGCATCAGTCATATTGGATTGCGGGTCCACCCCAATCGGGTATGCCTTCCTCTTAACGAATTACATCTGTGAAGACACTGTCTCCAAATAAGGTCACCTTGTGAGGTTCAGGGTGGACATGTATTTTGGGGGGGGGACATCATTCAATCCAGTACAATGTCTGATGAAAAATGATCAGAGACCATTGCCACAGCAAATGTGCACTGAGCACCCACATTGAAGTCTCAACTCTGAGTTGCAACCAAATCTCATATGGATCCACAATATTTGAAAGAGGAAAAAAAAGGTTCACTAAGAAAGGAACACACAGGTTGTATACACGTATCAGCAGAATCCAGAGCATAGCACTCAAACTGGGGACCTCCCCCCGACCGCCGCTGCAAAGCCTCTCTACTATCGCTTATGTCACACCCCTTCCTCCAATCCCCAGACATGATTTTATAAAAGGAGACGGAGGTGTCCATAGATCTTAGAATTGACTCAATGATTGCTTGAAAGAGAGTAGCCAGACTGGAAGAGGCTGAAGAATGTTTAATTCATTGGAGAAATGTAACTGGTCACCCCTGCTCACCTGTAGTAACCATTGGATTGTGTACTCAGAAAGTAGGATTATTTATGGAAAGCAAACAAGTTTCTTTGTATTTCCACAACAACCTATACCGTATGCTGTATTAAATTTTGAGCTCCTGTTAGCAAGATAGTTTGTATCCATGTGGCTCCCTTTCAATTTATGGTGTCCATATCCCTCTAGTGGTTTAGAACTTCACCTAAAAACGGACGTATCTCATATTAGCATTTTGGACCAGCCCGCAGATAATGGAAGGCAATGCCATCTAATGTTTAAAAGCAAAGTGTGTATTTTGGACTTGGAGAGACCAGTTTCAGATCCTACTTCTGCCGCTTAACAGGAGTCTCACATGGCAATGTGTAAGCTACCTAACTTCTCTGATTCCCAGTTTACTCATCTGGAAAAAGGAGGACTATGATTCCTGTCGCTTAGGGTTGTGGTGAGGCTGAGATGAATGATATGACTATATACCCAGGACAAAATAGGTGCTCAATATATATATAAGCTATGGATAAGATTCACATTCTTGCTCCATTCTGGAATCTGCCCCCAGGATCAGGGGAGGGTTCTGTATCACCTCCAGAGCAACCTAGCACAGCGTTTTCCAGCTGTGCTACCACAGAATGTAGCCCTGGCTTTAGGATCATTTTACGCACCATCCCTGAGCTTCAGTGCTTTTTGTCATTAAAAATAACTTGGTATCCTTCGCTTAAAGATGAGTGATGTAATATTCTGCTGTCAGCTGATATTTTTGTGTGAGTACCTCGCCCACTTGAAAATATTTACAGTCATTACCCTTGACGTCCTTTCCAGTAGATGATCAAAAAGATTCATTCACCCACACACTTCATATTTTGACTGTTTGATATGCACAAGGTACTGTCCTAGGCTTTAGGGGCACATCAGTGAAGAAAGTGTGCTAACAGGCAGAATTCTGATCCCGTGAAGCTTACATTGTAGCAAAATAATGGTGAATGGATAGAACCATGGACCGACTTGCTGGCCACAGACTTTGCTGTATTTTTCAGAGAAACCAGACAGGATAGACAATCTTTTCCTATCTTGGTAGGAACGTGACCAACTCCATTGAACTTGCTTATCTATTGTTGTATTTGGCAGTGATAAGTATCATATTTGCTTAGCCACCCCTTGCGCTTTACAAAGCAGTTGCACACACTGTACCTCATTTAATCTTCCTAGCCATGCTGTTGGCAGGCATCACACAGCCAAGAGATAGGGAGGAAGCCATATCTTCTGATTCCAAATCCCATCCGTGTTTCTCAGGGCATAACTAGTAAAGGCAGCTCCAACCCAATGAGGCCTGAGAAAATGGATGATCATAAAGCACGGTGTGCAGGGTGAGAGAGAGAGAGAGAGAGAGAGAGAGAGAGAGAGAGAAGAAAAAAGAGTGTGTGTGTGCGCGGGCACACACCGCATGGTCCTGTGCCTGTTTTGGTCACAGAAGGAGAGTTTTTCAAAGAATGAAGAACAATTGCCTCAGTGCAATCTATGGTGCTTCCACAGCCCGGGGATTAGTACCATTATGTGCTGGCCTGCTGGTTAAATCCACCACTCGCAGGATGAATGGGCCAGGTCCTCCCTTCTCAAGCACCACAGTGTCTGATATGCCCAAGGCTTACTTATGCTCACTGTGCACAGATCTCCCTGGCAGCAAGGTCCACACTCTTGATGACATGGGAAAGGAAAAGATACTCATTTTCTATCCCTATCCTCATTTCGAGTTGAGCACCCTCTATAGTCTGCCAGGGCTGGGGTGGGAATAAGGGGCTGATATGGAGAAGCAGCATGCCACAACCAGTCCAAACTTGCTTCTCTGATTTAGGTCAGGGACATGGCAGCCCCTGAGACTGCTCCCACTGGTGGTGTCCAAAGGCCATGAACATGGCTTGTGGGTGGTGATTCCTTACTGCAACAGTAGGGTGCAGTACGCAGTAGGGTACGGAAGAAGGGGAAGGCTACTGCTGCCCACAGGTTCTTTGCAGGGTAAATACAGTGCATTTCTCTAGTTCCCCCCTTGCTTGCCCATCTCCACTTTGCTGCCACTTGCACTCATCGGACTATTTTCAGCATACATGTGAAAACACGAATGCTGATGGGAACAGACGGTGGGGCTGCTGTGAGGGAAACCCTAGCATAAAGGTCTAATTGGGTCCTGCTCTAAGCCCAGCACCTTCCACTCTCCTGGCATGCCCACTTCTGACAATTTTCTTGACACTGATCATTCAGAGGCACTTTTCAAAATCTACCTCCTAGACTTAGTCTCACACAACCTCATCACACATCCACACATTGCTTGCCAGGACTGGAGAGACACAAGTGTTCTGATTAGGAGCCTGTCTGGGGAATGCTGGGCACTATGGTTTTCCTGGCCCTTGGACCACAAGGTCCATGTGGGCGTCCTCCTCCCAACCTCCAAAATTCTGTACCCTGCCCTGTCGGAGTCTACTGAGAAAGGGCAGAGGGCTTTGGGGTTGTTAACCACATGATGATGAGAGGGAGAGGCCATTTCTCCTCTGCTTCAGCAGAGTCCTGGGTTGAGTCCTGTGGATGGCCAGAGTCTGGTGTTGACATTCTTCAGGAGTTTTCAGTCTACGTATTTGTGAATTACAGGTTCCAAGCCTCATATGAAAGCTTGGCATGCCATGGACTGAGGTTTGCTAGGGCAAGCAGTCTTATTTTCCAGAGCTGGAAGGAGGAAGGGGTTGCTGGGAGACTCGTTGTGAGTCCTGAGGAAAACTTTGTGTGAGGGCAGCACTGGATCACAGGGCAGGATTCCCTTGGCCTCCCTCCTCATTTCTCTCCTTGCTCCCAGATATGTGGCCACTGCCTTGCATGCTAATCTTCTATTCCCTGTTATGGTATGTAGGTTGTTTGTGTTCCTTCATCCGCCTTGCACATGAGCGTTTTGTCTTCTCTTGAGCTGGGATTCCTGAGACCACTGGTTGAGCAGAACAACAGATACATCTGCTTTCCTCCTGCAGCTACATTCTAAGATAGCCATGTCAGGGGGCAGGGAGGCCTCACTGCAGGAAGAGGGAGCAGTGAAAAGAAAGAGCTGAGAAGCAGGGGCCATGACTCTGGACTTTGGAGCTATTCGGGCTGGGGTCAAGGACTGAGTTCTTCTGTGCCCAAGACTCACGGGAGGTTGTGGGTGCCGCCCACTCACTGTAACTGCTCCTCAGGGCTGGGGACCATGTTGCCCCCTTCCAAGATTCTTTCAGTAGTCTGTGTGTGTAGTGGGGGACAAGACACAGAGAAGGAAACAGAGAGAGAGAGAGAGAGAGAAACTAAACTGTGCATATACGTGATGTTGGAAGCTACCAGGTCAGTGGACTGAGATTCCATCTCTTATCAGAAACCTCCTTGAACTTTGGTTTTGTAACCTGTAAAATGGGGCCAATTTGACATGCTTCCTATGTGAATTTAAGTAATATGTGTGAATCTTCAGCCATACTGCCTGCAAACCTGTGTTGTACACGGTGATTTGTTTGCAGATGAACTTGATTGGAAGGAAGGTGGTGAGGAGCTTGCCTTCCTGAGAGGGACAGTGTGGGTTTGGCAGAGCGGCTTCAGAGTCCATGATTGGATACGGGGTGAGGACGGGGCCATTCCATGTACCTCCACGCAGAATGCAGCTCAGCTCGGGCACCTGGGTCCTGGCAGCTTTGTGAGCTGATCAGGGGTAATGTCAACATCACAAGGGTGGAGGCTACAGTGAGGCTCTCTCAGGGGGCTGCCTGTAGTGTGCAGATTGCCCTTGTTAGTGACTTGTATCGCCCTTTGGGCACTCCCAGACACAACTACTGTGGGAATCTCATCAACGTCGTGTTGATGTCAACAGTGTGAGCTCTGAGTCAAACTCACAGTAGTGTGAGCTCTGAGTCAAGGTAATTGTTTGCATCAGCGTACAGAAAACTGGTATAAATATTTGCAAACATATGGTGTGTAGAGAAGTATATATATGTATATATAGTTATTATAATAATTATCATTATTATAATATTCCTGACTATGCATTGAAGGTGTACATATAAATGTTAGCACAGGTAAACTCTGATTCTTGGGATTAGGCTTAATATTTTCCAGCCACCTTATTCTTCTAGGGCTTGCAGAAATGTGTGCAATGATCAAGCTCCTTTCCTGCAATCACAGAATACAAAACACTACAAAATAAGTTCCATCCTTTCTTGATCGTCAAGGCCCAACGGAAGTCATGCACACTGTGATATATGCTTTTTGAACTCCTGTGCTGCTTCAGGGGCTCACAGCTCTCATGACAGGCAGCAGTTGAACCTTTTGCATTTCTTCTACTCTTTAGTTGCAATTTCTTGTTGTTGAAGCTCCTTCATGATAAGAACCATATTTTGTAATAACTCCCTTGCAACAGTAACCACCGAGTCAATGAATGTGATGGGTCAGGTGCTGCTGAGCCAGAGCATCACTGACGAAAGCAGTCCATGGACTCTTGCCGCTTCGCAAAAGTTTGTTACCTCTCTGCGGTAAGTACAGCATTTGAGAGTATAAGTTTAGGAAGTTTTATAGCGTAAGAATATATGTTTAGGAAGTTTTATAGCATGCAGTGAGAGTCATTTGGATGTTGAAATAATCAGGGCTTGTATTTTGTATGTCTTTGCTATATTTTTCTTCTTTCTAGTCGTTCGTTCACTTTCCTTGTGTTACAGGAATGTATTGATCCATGAGTGACTGATGTACAAAAAAATTAAATGCTTCTCCTTTATAACAGAGAGCTCAAGAAGCAACAGTTTGGAGCTTCGTGAAGTTCAGCTGATGTATTTTCTGCAGCATGTATATAAAGCAGGAGTCATTATTCATGTATTTGGAGATGTAAACGGAAGGTGGCCCAAGGGAGATAACTTTGACCAGGTCCCCAAGCTATTGATCAAGTAGACACTCTGGCTTCAGGACCAGCATACTTCCCCACAACATGCATAGTTTACATCAATGGCTACTTACCAGGATTTCCAAAGTGCAGATAATCCAACCGTGGTGGGGCTTTTCACTTCCCCACATCATGTGGGCCAGTGATGCCTTCAGAGCAGTTCAGCAGCCTTTATGGAAGTCACTGCATCAGGGCTCTGAAGCATCTTGGTGGAGCTCGTCTCTGAAAAGAGGGAGACACATTCAAGCATGTTATCTAAAGCAGTGTATGAAGAGAAAACAGAGTCAAAAGATACTAAATGTCCATCTGGAGGGAGGTGGGTACGCAAAGTCCTTGATTGCTGTTTCTGGGTCATCAGGGCTATTGGAGTGGGCAGAAGATAGGTGTGTGTGCCTTAGAGAAGCTCATTTATAAAATAATCTGCCCTCCCAATTTAAGACTTGGATGGCCCCAGTGGCCATTCTCTTCTCTGTTCCTTTCTTCTCGTGGTCTCTGGCCTCATTCTCACTGGCTCAGAACAGCAAAATGTTTATTCCTTTCCCAGGATGGGCCTGGACCCTGTACCCTGAGACCCAACCCTGCAAAAGCCATATCTGGACCCAGGCTTACCCTGCAGAAGGGGCTCCACACACCATAAAGCTTATTTCTTTGGGGGTCTCATTTGATAGGATCATTCCTTAGCAAGTTTGGCCAAAAGCAGGAAGAGGACAGAATGAAGTAGGGTCTCTCTCCCTCTCTCTCTCTCTCTGTCTCTCTCTCTCTCTTTCTCTCTCTCTCACACACACACACAAACACACACACACACACAGACAAACACACACACATACACACACACACAGAGAGAGAGAGGTCTAATGAGAACAGATCACATGCACATTCATGTGGAGTGTGTGTGTGTGTGTGTGTGTGTGTGTGTGTGTGTGTCCATCAATCTAGATGATAATCGTCCACAAGGCTCAGTGGGCTCAGTGGCCCTTACTTCTCTGACTTGGTGAGAAAGCAGGCCTTCGGGTAGTAAGGGTGTTTAAAAAGTCAGTGGAAGGGCAGTTCTGTAGTTCTGGAGTGTCTGTTCCACTTGGAGCTGAGCCAGCCTTCAGAGGAGAGGTCTGTTTTAAGCAAGACAAGGTCACAGAGAGGCCCTGCCACTCAGCCTCAGACTCAGAATCGAGCTCATGCACACTGAAGTAGCAGTGGCACACAGGAAACTGAGGCAGGTGCCCAGACATAGAGACTGTGGCTTCCGTGTGGTCATCAGAAGCTTCTGTGGTTCAGTGGGCAGGCTTGTTACCAGTGTAAGAGGATGCAAGAGTAATCCCACACTCTGACTTGCCAGCAGATGTGAGCTTTATAAGCCTACCTGGAGAGGCAGGCTGTCTCTCAAAGCTTTACTCTTCCAATTGTTTGCTAAGTGAACTTGGCCAGTCCAGCTGACCTCCTTGAGCGGCAGACCTCTCACAGGTAGCATGGTATTATGACACAACCCACCTAACGGGTTGTTTGGAGTGTTAAATGTTAGTAAAGTGCCCACAAGTGTGCCTCATGCATAGTAGATACTCAACAGACATGCAGAATCAACAAATAGGCAGGTGCCTAACCTCAGCTAGAAGAGTTCAGGAGGGCCAGAATGCCTAGCTGACATCTACCCACTCCAGTAGCTCCCTATTTTGCAACTCCTCCTGCATGCTCCAGCTCTCCCCTTGATACAAGTTCCCGGCGCCCTCCTGCCTACTCAAAGCTGCTGCTCCAAGGATGCTCTCTGCCACCCCTGTGCTATTGATTTCATGTCTCTCCACCGGGTGCTTGCCTTCAGCACAATGGTATTTCTTCCACCTGAAGTAAACCTTTTCCTGACTCCCTCTTTCCCCACCAGATGCCGCCTGATTTCTCTGCTCCCCATTGCTGCAAAACTCCTTGTGAAACTTGTCCATACTCATTGATTCCTCTCCTCCCATTCTCTCTTAAAGCTGTCCCAAGCAGGCTTTTTCACACAGTCCCCCAAAGAAGCTGCTCTTATTAAGGTCACCAGGAACCTCCGCACTGCTAAATGCAATGGTTAATTCTCACTCCTCTTCTTATTTCCCCTGACATCAGCAGTTTGAGCAGAGTGGACCGCTGGATGCCTCTTGAGACACTTTTATTCACATAGTTCCCAGGACACTCTTGGTTTTCCTCCATGCGTCACTGGTGCCAATTTCCCCATCTCCTCAGCTGGTGTCTCCTCTTCTTTCTGATCCCTTTATGCTGCAGGGCTCTGTTCGTGACCTTCTGCCCTCCTCTGTGTGCTCTCCCTCCCTAGCGGAGCTCATGTAGTCTCGTGGCTTTTAAGCGCCATCCACATATATGTAGGTATAGATCTTTCAGCCAAATTCCTGACTTGTATATACAACTGCCTACTTGACTCACATGGATGTCAGAGAGACAGCTTAACTCAATGTGTACAAAACTGAATTTTTGAACCCCTCCCCACCTACAAAGCCTATTCTCACTGCAGCACTCCCCAGTAGACTGGAATTGATACCAATCCCAGTCTACTTGTTGCTCAGGCAAAAAAAAACCCTGGAGTCAGCCTTGGTCCTCGCTGACATGCCACATTCAAACCATCAGGAATTCTGTTGGGTCTACCTCAAAATGTTTCCAGAACCTGTGCAGTTCTCACCATGTCTACAGACACCAGGATGGTCCAAACCACCATTATCTCTAGCCTGGCTTGCAGCAGTAGCTTCCTACCTGGTTTCCACGCTCCCACTACCCTCGCCTGAATTCACTCTATTCTCGGCATAGTAAGTAATCAAAGTGATCCCTTCCAAACGTGTGTCAGATCACATGACTCCTCTGTTCCACCCCTCACTGCTTCCCTCCTTCTTCCCCCCACATTTCACCCCAAGCAAGAGCTAAGGTCCTTAAAACGGCCTCCCAGGCCCTACATAATGTGGGATTCTGTTAATCTCTCTGACCTCATCTCCTGCTCTCGTCCTTTTGGCTCACTCTACAGCAACCACGCTGGCCTCTCTGCCATTTCTCAAACGTGGTAGTCACTCCCTGGCCTTAGAGCGTTTGCACCAGCTGGACCTTCTGCCCGGACAGTACTTTCTTTATATATCCGCAAGGCAAACCCTCTCACCTTCTTCATTTCTTTCCTCCAATGTCACCCCTCCAATGAAGCCTACCTGTGTACCCTTGCATATGGCAGTGAATGCTCTACTCCCTTTCTCTTCTCCCATTCTCAACGACCCGAATGCACCCTACCCTGCTGTGTGTTAGCTTACCACCACCACCACCACCACCTGCCCCACCCAAAGTGATTGTCTCCTTCTACCCTTCTATATAATTAGTAATGTAAAAGGTTTGCATTTTATTTTCTGTTTCCTTGCTCTTGTATGTACCATTCACGAGGGCCAGGGTGCTTGAGATTTGTTCACCTATGAATCCCAGTTGACTAGACTGGCACGTAGTAGACCTTAATAAGCACTCGTTGAAAGAGTGAATGGATGAATCATTGGATAATCACAACATGCAAAATAATATAGGCTACATTATTATTGAGACTACACAGGCCTCCGTGGTCCAAGTTACAGGAGGAATCTCAACCACTTCTCATGCGTTGCACATGTGGAGATAACATTGGCAACACTGGTGTCATTTGCCACAGGAACTGGGGCGGAAGTCGACCAGTCAAGAACTGGGCCTGATTTTCACTATCTGTGTATAGACTCTGCCTTCCCCTCCAAATCACCCTTGTGAGCTTTGCAAGCCTGTTGCATGATGAGCAGTGCAAGCCTAGAGCCCACTTCTCCTCCAGTCTCTGAGCCCCAGATTACTCCAGTTATTCTTCTATGTAGTCTTGGCTGAGCTGAGCCCCTCCTTTGACAAAGTGCCCTCACAGGGATTTTCAAAGAAATTCCATCTGCTCTTTGACATTTAACTGTTCCATGGCTCACGAGCCCTGGAGGAATCTGTGTACAGGTCTCAGCACATCTTCGTAAGAATCACCCTTCTCCACCTCCACCACGACTCCAAAATAATTTCCTCCAGAAGGCCAGAATTCTACCTTTCTGCCAAAGAAAAGAGTCGGGGGGATCCTGCCCGCTACCCACCTCACAGGAGCCAACGTGAGCCCAGGCCGAATCCAAATCTCCCTTTGGTCATGGCCATTGTCTGCTCTGCACTTGCCTGCTGGGGCCAAGGCCGCAACACTGGGCCCAAGGAGGATGCCCTGGAACCTGTCTTTTTTTCATGGGCAGATGCCCACTGTTTGCTGTCTGTCAGCATCTTATCCCGGTTGCTCTGCTCAAGGGAAGAGGTCTGCCAGTATCTTCTGCATTGGCAACAGTATCGGAGCAATGTCACAGGCTCAGAAACATTGTTGTTTGCTTGGTCCACCGTGGGAAAGCCAGGACCTAGGATTTTGAGGACTGATGGAGGGTGCTGGGTAGTTAAGTTTCTGGGGAATGTGTCGTGATGGGGAAGTCCACTTGTCTTGGAAGGAAATGCTCACTCCACACATATGATCCCTCAAAGATGCCTGGCAATAGGGCCCCAGCCCTTCCAAATAAAGGGACAGACTGCCACAGCTAATCCTGAAAGTGCAGATTAATTTTATTTTCCCACACCTCCTCACCTGACCCCGGCATGTTCCCTGTCACTCCTACCCTGCCATGTGTCCAAGTTTGAAAACAGAAGACTTTCCCAGCCCCAGCTGTCCTGGAGATGGAGTCTTTCCCTGTAGCATAGCAGCATGGGCTTCAGACTTGGCAGGCCCTGGGTCCACCTGCAAGGCTGCCAGTGACCAGCCAGCTGATCCTGGCAACTTGCTTGTGAGATCTGAGTTGGGGTTTTCTCCTCTGTAAACTCGGCCTGGCCTGGTGGCATCTCCCTTGCAGGACTACTGCAAAGTTAGAGACAATGCATGAAAACAGCAATCAAAGTGCCTGGAACAATTTAGGCACTCGGTAAATGCCAGCTGCCAAGTTTGCTAGGCTTTGGGCAGCTTGGGGCTCTCTATCCTTGAGTTATCCTAACAACTGGAGTGTTCTAGGACCCAGAAACTCAATCGCTTTTCAGAGGCATCCTTGCACCTAAAACTGCAGCTTTCCCACTTGCTTTGTGGAACCTCCGCTGGGGTGGGGCCAGTTTAGGTTTCAGATTTACTCAGCAAGAGGCTTGCACCTGGATGTCTCATCTGGATGCCCCGCAAAGCTCAAAGAATTTTTGTAAATGGCACGGTGAATGTTTTCTTTTTCTCTCCACCTTCCAGAAGCCCCTTTCCCTGCCTCTCCCTCACCCCTGTCTTTCATTTCACAGCCACCGGAAGTCCCGCCCTTCTTCAGCCTTTATCTAATCAAAGGAAGTTTAACTCTTTGCAGTACTCCTGTAGTGTGTTAGGGAGACTGAACCCCCAGGCCACAAGAGAATAAGCCTGGCCCATTGATCGCTTCCTTCTTGCGCTAGGGCAGGTCACCTGTCACCCAATCCCTTGTTTCCCAATCCCCTGCAGAGCCTCCTGCCTGAGGCCTTCAGGATTCCAGCAGTCATCTCTCTGACAGGGCAGCTGGAGGTATTCTCCCAGTCTTTCTCCTCTTATACTGCTGGTTCTCTGACTGAATTAAGCTTCTTGGCCCGTACTTGCAAAGAACCATTTTAGACCATTGGATGATAACTTGCCACCAGAGCCGAAGAAAGCATGGATTCAGACAGGGTTGGGGAAGACATTACCTCTTCCCCTGAGCTAGCCGGAGGAGCATCCTGTTAAATGGGCAGTAATCACACCGGCCTGGCAGAGATAATATGTGGCATGCCTCTGGGACAGGCAGGTGCTCAACAAATCTTTTTACTCTGCAGCTCTCCCACTTACTAGCTGACTGACCTGGGGCTGACTGACTGCTGTAAGCCCCCTTGGGTAAAAGGGCGGGTCGGGGGAGGAATGTAATCCGGCCTGGTCCCCAGAAGGATTGGATGCCGCGGCCAGGGTTACTCACACCTCTTCCCCTGCCTTCACGTGGTGTTTCTTTTGAGGACAGAGACCTTGAGAGTGCACTAGCAGGCAGAGACCGGCAGCAGGGTGGCCTAGAGGAAAGCACTGTGGGTTTGCAGGGAATGGACATAGGGTCTTGTCTAGGATCTCTCTCTTGCCACTTCTGTGGCTCTAGAAGAGAAAGTCACCGAGGAACCTGGACCTCAGATTCCCACCTTGTTTACCTCTGGAGGTGGTATTGATAAATACAGCTCCTCCCAGGGCAAAGAACAGGCCTTTTGATTTTCTGCAGCTCCAGTTTCTAACACACTGTCTGAATCCCAGAAGGCGCTCACCATTTTCTGGCTTGCTGAATGAATTTGGAGCTGCTGATGGGGTCATAGTTACTACTTTTGTTTGAAGCCTCCTTGGCCTGCAAGCTGAGGAGAGTGGGTCCCTGGGCCTTCTCCAGAAGGTCATTTGCTAGCCTACCCTGCACCTAGTGACGTTACTTTGCACACAGCTGGAAGCAGCGTGAGCCTGGATGTCAAGAAGGAAGAAGGTAGCCTGACCACTCTTTTGTGTGTTATAGCTGCTACCATGAGCCCCACAGGGCTAGGTTGGGCACTTGTCACTAGTGCTCCCCAGCAGGGGACCTAGTTCATGCAGTGCTTAGCTCTTGGAGAAAAGGTGGTAGGATTTGCGCCTGATCCCACATGACTTAGTATAGCATGGGCCATCGTGCCAGGTACCAATCCGGACTTACTCCATTGCCCCTTTGCCCCCTTGGACACACACACTTTTAAACAATGTGTGCACCCTAACGAACCATAGTTCCTGAGAGAAGTGCAAGGTTACCTTTCGGAGATGCCACAGGTGGAGCCTTTTCTCTGGCTCATCCAGTATCTCAGAAGTTCTGCTTTTTTATAGCCTTTTCTCGAATTATTTCAGGGTTGTTATTATTAACCATTTTTATTGTCATTAGTTTAAAGTCAGCCACAACACCCACCCTTTGAGGGTCTGCCCCGCTCACTTCTTCCCTTGCCTCATTCCTTGTTCTCCACTTTCCCCTTCATATAACCTTAACAGTTCGGTGAAGAGTTTATTTCCAAATGTCCACGCTACCTTCAGTGCCTCCATTTTTACTCCCTCCCCTTCTTCTCTATTATTTCCAAACCTCAGATTGTCCCCTCACCAAGATTTTCTGACGGTCTCATCTTTTTTTATTTCTGAAGTACCCCATGACAACCTTTTCCCCTGCAACCACCCCTTCTCTCTGCCCTCCTCCTCTCAAGATGATTTTTGTGTATTTTCTACTTCCGTGGCAGGCACCCTGTGATGTCCTCTTCTTTTTGCCAGTGCTCCCTCCCCTATGCTGGGTGGAGTATCCAATCAAATATCTAATACATAATATTTTCATCATATATTCTGATCGTATATTTCAGTCCCCCCCAAACTTATTTAAGTGTCTCTTGAATTTTCACACATCCTATGGTGCTCCCTTCCCCGGCCCACTCCCCAAGACAGGTCACATAAGGTTTTTTACATTTTCATGGCACTTCAGGCTCGTTCTCTATCCCAGCATTTACTGCACTGCCAGTTTACCTATTTTTCTTTCCCACATAATCTAGAACATTCTTTGGACCTGGAGGATGTGTACTAGGGAGTATCCCTAGAATCTAGACTGGTGCCTCACATAACAGGTGGTCAGAAAATGCGCAAGATGTACTATTCGTTAGGCTTTTATTTTTCTCTATGTTCTGCAGTAACTAAGGAAAATCATGGTAAATGTCAATCTTCACACAACAGCAGACACAAAGGGTTTCAGAAACGTCAGATATGAAGAAATCCTCCATCCTTCTTCAACATTTTACTGGGTATTTCAACTTCAAAAGAACAGCTTATTTCTATAAGTGCTGTACAAGATCATAGATTATGATGGAACGACTTCATTTTAGAACGTTAGCAAAACTGTTATACTAAATGTCAATGACAGGAAACAAAGAAAAAAATTTGTTCAATTATATTTTTAAACATATTGTTATTCTCAACAAACGGAATTTTAAAACGAATACAATTTTCCATTATCAAAAGCAAACACTCTATTTCGCAGTTGAACAATGATCACTGATCACAAATATCAAATACAGTGTCCCCCGCCCCCAATCGACATCATTTTCAACTTAGGACCCTGGCATCTACTCCTTGGGGTACCTGTGACTCTCTTTTACACCCCCAAGGGTCTGCCTCAGATCTACTTAAGGGGCGGAATAACCCCTAGCACCTGAATTGAGGATAGCCTCAACCTCTGCATCATCGTCCGAATCCCAGTCATAATTACAAGGCCAGTCTTTAGAGCATCGGTTACGAACCCTTGCCACAAAATGCATGACTTTCAGTTTGCTCGATTCCACGTGTGCTCGGGGCCCCCAGAAGAACTCATACTCCACCGGACTGCTACGGGGCACCGGTTTATAAATCAGGTACCCTCTGCGCACAAACTCTTCTGTGACGATCTTCTTCGGATCTCCAAAGATGCTGTGCTGACGTCCAGGCTGCATTCCTAACTTCCCCAGCACTTTCCAGACCAGAGCTTCCTTGGCGCTGTTGCCCATGATGAAGATGAGCGCTAATATAGACATCAGGAGACTTTTCTTGGTGCCCTGAAAATTGCTCCGGGGCACTGAAGGCTTTTGTGCTTGGGCAGTGCTCGAGGCTTCTTCAGGGGTGGTAGAGGCCTCCTCTGGAGTGCTCGGGTCTTCCTCGGGGCCGCTCAGGTCGTCTTCGGGGGTGCTCGCTACCACAGAGGCGGCCATAGGGGTCTCGGAGGCCTCTGAGGCCTGGATTTTGCGATTGTTGCGGTTCTCTTCTGCGGCTCTCGCATTACGGCGGCGCCGACTCTTTCGTCCCCGAGGCATGTCTCCTGCTAGAGGCTCAAAGCTTACAGCAGTCCTAGGGAAGGATGCTTGTAGCCTCTTCAGGAAGCAACAGCTTTATACCGTAAGAAGCTGCTGCCGCTGAAGCTACCAATGTCAATAGAGTCTTTGTAGCAATAAACAAGCCGTTCTCAGCTACAAAGGGTAGTTCCCACGCCAGCTGACTTGCGCGAGCAGCCGCCGCCAGCACTTGCCGCAGCTGCAAGCCCGCGAGAAAGCTCAGCAAAATTGGCCCCGCCTCTCCTGCCACGCACACTCCTAGCACCAAAGAGGAAGTAGGCTGGTCCTCCACAGGGACTTCCGCTAGCAGATAGGAAAAGGGGCAGGCAGCGACAGGGGTGGGACAAGGGCAGAAATGACAGCTAGAGATTGGAGGGGCCTGGAGTTTGCAGAAGAGAAAAAAATAGCTTAAAGTTTCTGTATTTTCAGCCTACTACAAACATTCCAAGATTGGCTCGACGGTCTAGGGAAGGAGTGCGTCGGCTCCATTCCCACTGACGACGGGCTGTGTGTGTGTTGGGGGTTGGGAGGCCAGGGGTGGCGGGAGGGTGTATTCTTGGAAGGAGTCAGCTGTCTCCAGCCTTCCTTTCCTGTCTTGGCTTACACAGCGCGTTCATTCACTCGCCCTGTTTTCAGAAGGCATTTGTGTGTATACTAATCAATTTGTGGTCCCATGTAGGACCCGGATAATATTGTTATGGCAGATGTGCTGGATGATGTGAGGAGATGGGACTGCAGAAACAAGCAGGGTGAAAGAGGTGCAGAGCCTTTAAAATGTGGTAGATATATGCACGATATATATACTGCCCTGCTTTTATACATACATACATACATACCTATATCGTGCATATATCTACCACATTATGTTTATATACAGTGCATATATCTACCACACATATATGTATGTATGTATGTATGAAAGCAGGGCAGTGACAGGATCAGAGGAATTGCATTTGTGCAGCCTCTCAGAAAAGCAAACTGTTTCCTGGCAGACCACATAGGAAGCAATTGGAATAAGAAGCACTGGGAACTAAAGTATGCCTTAAGGCTGTTGCCATGGGGATGGAGAGGCAGAAAGACATTTTAAAGGTGACCGTTGAAGGGCTTTGCAGACAGAATGGATGAAGTGGGGAATGTGGAGGGGATGATGGAGTTCAGATTGGCTCCAAGGTTTCTAGGCTCCAGTCTTCCTGGACTCCTGATTTATTTTGCTTCTTTCAGAGCATACTCTGAACTTTATCCACTGCTTGCTTTTGCTCACTGTTTGCTCTGCCTGACCTGTCTTCTCAGCCTTCTCCAACTATCTAAATTCCATTTGACTGCTCACAGACCTGTTTCTCCCTGAAGCTTGTCTTGATCTGCCCAAAAGGGTAATGAGTCCATTTTTACTCCATTGAGGAAAGCCCTATAACTAGCACTCTATATCTTTCTTATGTCATTCAAGGTATTAGTTTAAGCAAGTCACTTCTCTCTAAGCCTGTTTTCCCATCTATAAAGTGGGGCTAAAGTACAGCCCTCATAGGGTTGTGAGAATTAAATGAGATAAAAAATGAAAAGCATTTATTACATGGTAAGCACAGATTTTGCCTCTCAAGGTTTTCCAAGCGGTGTGTGAGTGTGGCATTTAATAAATGCGTGCTGAAGGAATTCATGATGGAAAAGATTTTATAGGTGTTCTTAACTGAACTCTTAAGAAACAAATGAATACTTTATGCCTGTCTTGCTGAAATTTTCTTTATAATTAGAGCCCACCGAGACCTCCTGTTGGGTAAGTTAGCAATAAATCAATTTGGTCAAGCAAAGAAAGCACCTCTCCAGGACACAGAGCACTCTTGAGCCAGCCCTCCGTTTGGGATAACCTTTGCACGCGTTCTGGGACATGACCTACTCAAAACAGTAGTCTGGCTCCATCTGCTGTCCCACATTCTGAGAATTCTCGCAGTTTCTGGTCCATTGATAATTGCTCTGAATTGTTTTTCAGTACAGGTATGAACTTATTTTACTGTTTCCAGGAATTTGGGTCTTGCATGGAAGTCTATAGCATGTACAATCCTACCCTCATGAAACAAAAATGGGAGGATTACTTTTGCAGTTTATTTGCTTGTTTTTAGCATGAATTTTTTTTTACTGCGACTTAATCTCAAACGTAGGGCAAAGAAGAGAGATTAATATTATAAACACCAATAGCTAGCTGTATAAAATTTAAATATTAGGCCCTACTTACTGTTTATCTTTTATATATTGGATATGGCAAAACCCTCCTATTACGTCTTCCCTGACCCACTCTGCTCTCTCCTTCCCCACTGTGCTCCTCTATAATGAAGTCAGCAATTATGCCCATGGAGACTTGTATATATTTGCTACCTACTTCTGTGTCTGTACACAATATAGAATCTCTTCCTTTATTTAAAGCACGTCTTCATAATGTATACATTGATCAACACTTTGGTTTTCCAGCTCAACTTTATATTTTTTATGTTTACCCATGTAAATACATGGAACTCTAGTTCATTTATTTTAATTTTGTACATTTCATCATTTTCAATTTATCCTGTTCCTAATGATCCACGCCTATGCAGTTCCCATTTTTCCAAAACAAAATAATACTCTTATTAATATTTGTGCGCATGTTCCCTATGAACATGTGCATGCATTTCTCTAGGATCAACATCAACGAGTAGGGTTGCTGATGTGTTGGCATGTATATGTTTAGATAGAACACATGGCTTTCCACTTTGTTTCATTTATAAAAATCAAACCATTCCATATTGAATTTCCAGGCAAACCTTTTTCCTAATTAATAATGAAATCTCCTCAATTTATACCTCTAATTCTTTCATTCTAGTGGCTGAATGTTATTCCTTGCAATGGATTTACCATAATCTCTTCAAGTGTCTGCCTGTTGGCTGGGCGTACTGTATTTCCAACTTATTTAATTTTCTTTTTCTATTATTATTATACTTTAAGTTCTAGGGTACATGTGCACAACGTGCAACTTTGTTACATAGGTATACATGTGCCATGTTGATTTGCTGCACCCATTAACTCGTCATTTACATTGGGTATTTCTCCTAATGCTATCCCTCCCCCTACCCTCCACCCCACGACAGGCCCCAGGGTGTGATGTTCCCCTCCCTGTGTCCAAGTGTTCTCATTGTTCAATTCCCACCTATGAGGGAGAACATACAGTGTTTGGTTTTCTGTCCTTGTGATAGTTTGCTCAGAATGTTGGTTTCTAGCTTCATCCATGTCCCTACAAACGACATGAAATCATCCTTTTTTATGGCTGTATAGTATTCCATGGTGTATATGTGTCACATTTTCTTAACCCAGTCTATCATTGATAGACAGTTGGGTTGGTTCCAAGTCCTTGCTATTGTGAACAGTGCCACAATAAACATATGTGTGCATGTGTCTTTATAGTAGAATGATTTATAATCCTTTGGGTATACACCCAGTAATGGGATCACTGGGTCAAATGGTATTTCTAGTTCTAGATCCTTGAGGAATTGCCACACTGTCTTCCACAATGGTTGAACTAATTTACACTCCCACCAGCAGTGTAAAAGCTTTCTTATTTCTCCACATCCTCTCCAGCATCTGTTGTTTCCTGACTTTTTAATGATTGCCATTCTAACTGGTGTGAGATGGTATCTCATTGTGGTTTTGATTTGCATTTCTCTGATAACCAGTGATGATGAGCATTTTTTCATGTGTCTGTTGGCTGCATAAATGTCTTCTTTTGAGAAGTGTCTGTTCATATCCCTTGCCCACTTTTTGATGGGGTTGTTTGTTTTGTTGAAAATTTGTTTAAGTTCTTTGTAGATTCTTGATATTAGCCCTTTGTCAGATGGGTAGATAGTAAAAATTTTCTCCCATTCTGTAGGTTGCCTGTTCACTCTGATGGTAGTTTGTTTTGCTGTGCATAAGATCTTTAGTTTAATTAGATCCATTTGTCTATTTTGGCTTTTGTTGCCATTGCTTTTGATGTTTTAGTCATGAAGTCCTTGCCCATGCCTATGTCCTGAATGGTAATGCCTAGGTTTTCTTCTAGGATTTTTATGGTTTCAGGTCTAACATTTAAGTCTTTCACCCATCTTGAATTAATTTTTGTATAAGGTGTAATGAAGGGATCCAGTTTCAGCTTTCTACATATGGCTAGCCAGTTTTCCCAGCACCATATATTAAATAGGGAATGCTTTCCCCATTACTTGTTTTTGTCAGGTTTGTCAAAGATCAGATGGTTGTAGATTTGTGGTATTATTTCTGAGGGCTCTGTTCTGTTCCACTGGACTGTATCTCTGTTTTGGTACCAGTACCATGCTGTTTTGGTTACTGTAGCCTTGTACTATAAAGTCAGGTAGCATGATGCCTCCAGCTTTGTTCTTTTTGCTTAGGATTGTCTTGGCAATGTGGGGTCTTTTTTGGTTCCATATGAACTTTAAAGTAGTTTTTTCCAATTCTGTGAAGAAAGTCATTGGTAGCTTGATGGGGATGGCACTGAATCTATAAATTACCTTGGGCAGTATGGCCATTTTCACGATATTGATTCTTCCTACCCATGAGCATGGAATGTTCTTCCATTTGTTTGTATCCTCTTTTATTTCATTGAGCAGTGGTTTACAGTTCTCCTTGAAGAGGTCCTTCACTTCCCTTGTAAGTTGGATTTCTAGGTATTTTATTCTCTTTGTAGCAATTGTGAATGGGAGTTCACTCATAATTTGGCTCTCTGTTTGTCTGTTGTTGGTGTATAGAAATGCTTGTGATTGTTGCAAATTGATTTTGTAACCTGAGACTATGCTGAAGTTGTTTATCAGCTTAAGGAGATTTTGGGCCGAGACAATGGGGTTTTCTAAATATACAATCATGTCATCTGCAAACAGGGACAATTTGACTTCCTCTTTTCCTAAGGGAATACTCTTTATTTCTTTCTCTTGCCTGATTGCCCTGGCCAGAACTTCCAATACTATGTTGAGTAGGAGTGGTGAGAGGGGGCATCCTTGTCTTGTGCCGGTTTTCAGAGGGGATGCTTCCAGTTTTTGCCCATTCAGTATGATATTGGCTATGGGTTTGTCATAAATAGCCTTTATTATTTTGGGACATGTTCCATTGATACCTAGTTTATTGAGAGTTTTTAGCATGAAGGGCTGTTGAATTTTGTCGAAGGCCTTTTCTGCATCTATTGAGATAATCATGTGTTTTTTTGTCATTGGTTCTGTTTATGTGATGGATTATGTTTATTGATTTGTGTATGTTGAACCAGCCTTGCATCCCAGGGATGAAGCCAACTTGATCATGGTGGCTAAGCTTTTTGATGTGCTGCTGGATTCGGTTTGCCAGTATTTTATTGAGGATTTTTGCATCAATGTTCATCAGGGATATTGGTCTAAATTCTCTTTTTTTGTTTTGTCTCAGCCAGGCTTTGGTATCAGGATGATGCTGGCCTCATAAAATGAGTTAGGGAGTATTCCCTCTTTTTCTGTTGATTGGAATAGTTTCCGAAGAAATGGTACCAGCTCCTCTTTATACCCCTGGTAGAATTCGGCTGTGGATCCGTCTGCTCCTGGACTTTTTTTGGGTGGAAAGCTATTAATTATTGCCTTAATTTCAGCAATAATTTCAGTTATTGGTCTATTCAGAGATTCAACTTCTTCCTGGTTTAGTCTTGGGAGGGTGTGTGTGTCCAGGAATTCATCCATTTCTTCTAGATTTTCTAGTTTATTTGCGTAGAGGTGTTCATAGTATTCTCTGATGGTAGTTTGTATTTCTGTAGGATCAGTGGTGATATCCCCTTCATCATTTTTTACTGCATCTATTTGATTCTCTTTTCTTCTTTATTAGTCTCGCTAGTGGTCTATCAATTTTGTTTATCTTTTCAAAACACGAGATCCTAGATTCATTGATTTTTTGACGGATTTTTTGTGTCTCTGTCTCCTTCAGTTCTGCTCTGATCTTAATTATTTCTTGCCTTCTGCTAGCTTTTGAATTTCTTTGCTCTTTCTTCTCTAGTTCTTTTTATTGTGATGTTAGGGTGTCGATTTTAGATCTTTCCTGCTTTCTCTTGTGGGCATTTAGTGCTATAAATTTCCCTCTACACACTGCTTTAAATGTGTCCCAGAGATTCTGGTATGTTGTGTCTTTTATCTTATTGGTTTCAAAGAACATCTTTATTTCTGTCTTCATTTCGTTATTTTCCCAGTAGTTATTCAGGAGCAGGTTGTTCAGTTTCCCTGTATTTGTGCAGTTTTCAGTGAGTTTCTTAATCCTGAGTTCTAATTTGATTACACTGTGGTCTGAGACACAGTTTGTTGTGATTTCTGTTCTTTTACATTTGCTGAGGAGTGCTTTACTTCCAGTTATGTGGTCAATTTTAGAATAAGTGAGATGTAGTGCTGAGAAGAATGTATATTCTGTTGATTTGGGGTGGACAGTTCTGTAGATGTCTATTAGGTCAGCTTGTTGCAGAGCTGAGTTCAAGTTCTGGATATCCTTGTTAACCTTCTGTCTCATTGATCTGTCTAATACTGACAGTGGGGTGTTAAAATCTCCCATTATTATTGTGTGGGAGTCTAAGTCTCTTTGTAGGTCTCTAAGGACTTGCTTTATGGATCTGGGTGCTTCTGTATTGGGTGCATGTATATTTAGGATAGTTAGCTCTTCTTGTTGAATTGATCCCTTTACCATTATGTAATGGCCTTCTTTGTCTCTTTTGATCTTTGTTGGTTGAAAGTGTGTTTCATCAGAGACTAGTATTGCAACACCTGCTTTTTTTTCTTTTTCTTTCTTTTTTTTTTTTTTTTTTTTTTGCTTTCCATTTGCTTGGTAGATCTTCCTCCATCCCTTTATTTTGATCCTATGTGTTTCTCTCCATGTGAGATGGGTCTCCTGAATACAGCACACTGATGGGTCTTGACTCTTTATCCAATTTGCCAGTCTGTGTCTTTTAATTGGGGCATTTAGCCCACTTACATTTAAGGTTAATAATGTTATTTGTGAATTTGATCCCGTCATTATGATGTTAGCCGGTTATTTTGCCCGTTAATTGATGCAGTTTCTTCATAGCATCGATGGCCTTTATAATTTGGCATATTTTTGAAGTGGCTGGTACTGGTTGTTCCTTTCCATGTTTAGTGTTTCTTTCAGGAGCTCTTGTAAGGCAAGTCTGGTGGTGACAAAATCTCTCAGCATTTGCTTGCCTGTAAAGGATTTTATTTGTCCTTCACTTATGAAGCTTAGTTTGGCTGGATATGAAATCCTGGGTTGAAAATTCTTTTCTTTAAGAATGCTGAATATTGGCCCACACTCTCTTCTGGCTTGTAGAGGAGGTTCTGCCGAGAGATCACCTGTTAGTCTGATGAGCTTCCCTTTGTGGGTAACCCGACCTTTCTCTCTGGCTGCCCTTAACATTTTTCCTTCATTTCAACCTTGGTGAATCTGTCCATTATGTGTCTTGGAGTTGCTCTTCTCGAGGAGTATCTTTGTGGTGTTCTCTGTATTTCCTGAATTTGAATGTTGGTCTGCCTTGCAAGGTTGGGGAAGTTCTCCTGGATAATATCCTGAAGAGTGTTTTCCAACTTGGTTTTTTTCTCCCTATCACTTTCAGGTACACCAATCAAACGTAGATTTGGTCTTTTCACACAGCCCCATATTTCTTGGAAGCTTTGTTCATTTCCTTTTATTTTTCATTCTCTAACCTTGTCTTCTCGCTCTGTTTCATTAATTTGATCTTCAATCACTGATACCCTTTCTTCCACTTGATCGAATCGGCTATTGAAGCTTGTGCATGTGTCACGTAGTTCTTGTGCCATGGTTTTCAGCTCCATCAGGTCATTTAAGGTCTTCTCTACACTGTTTATTCTAGTTAGCCATTCATCTAATCTTTGTTTCAAGGTTTTTAGCTTCCTTGTGATGGGTTTGAAGATCCTCCTTGGGCTCAGAGAAGTTTGTTATTACTGACCTTCTGAAGACTACTTCTGTCACCTCGTCAAAATCACTCTGCGTCCAGCTTTGTTCCACTGCTGGTGTGATCCTTTGGAGGAGAAGAGGCGCTCTGGTTTTTAGAATTTTCAGCTTTTCTGCTCTGGTTTCTCCCAATCTTTGTGGTTTTATCTACCTTTGGTCTTTGATGTTGATGACCCACAGATGGGGTTTTGGTGTGGATATCCTTTTTGTTGATGTTGATACTATTCCTTTCTGTTTGTTAGTTTTCCTTCTGACAGTCAGGTCCCTCAGCTGCAGGTCTGTTGGAGATTGCTGGAGGTCCACTCCAGACCCTGTTTGCCTGGGTATCACCAGCAGAGGCTGCAGAACAGCAAATATTATAGAACAGCAAATATTGCTACCTGATCCTTCCTCTGGGAGCTTTGTCCCAGAGGGGCACCCAGCTGTATGAGGTGTCAGTCGGGCCCTACTGGGAGGTGTCTCCCTGTTATGCTACGCGGTGGTCAGGGGCCCACTTGAGGAGGCAGTCTGTCCATTCTCAGAGCTCAAACACCATGCTTGGAGAATCACTGCTCTCTTCAGAGCTGTCAGACAGGGACGTTTAAGTCTGCAGAAGTTTCTGCTGCCTTTTGTTCAGCTATGCCTGCCTCCAGAGGTGGAGTCAGCAAGCCTTGCTGCGCTGTGGTGGGTTCGGCCCAGTTCGAGCTTCCCGGCCACTTTGTTTACTTACTCAAGCCTCAGCAATGGCAGTTGCCCCTCCCCCTGCTGGGCTGCTGCCTTGCAGATTGATCTCAGACTGCTGCACTAGCAGTGAGCAAGGCTCTGTGGGTGTGGGACCTGCTGAGCCAGGTGCAGGATATAATCTCCTGGTCTGCCAGTTGCTAAGACCATTTGAAAAGTGCAGTGTTTGAGCAGGAGTGTACCATTTTTCCAGGTATAGTCTGTCACAGCTTCCCTTGGCTAGGAAAAGGAAATCCCCTGACCCTTGGGCTTCCTGGGTGAAGTGACACCCCACCTTGCTTCTGCTCTCCCTCCGTGGGCTACACCCACTGTCCAACCAGTCCCAATGAGATGAACCAAGTACCTCAGTCAGAAATGCAGAAATCACCTGTCTTCTGCACGGATCACAGTGGAACCTGCAGACCTGAGCTGTTCCTATTTGGCCATCTTGGAACGGACCCACCCAACTTACTTGATTTTCTAAAAACAATGCTCCAATAAAATGCAATGCCCATTTTCTCAAATGGGAAATATTTCCAAAGGAGTATGAGAGTAAATTTTATCTTCAGGATGTTTGACAAATTATTTAATATTCTTCCTTCTACTTCAGTCAGAATAGACGTAATTTATGGATTTTTCTGAATCTTCAATAGGAAGTAGAGACTTGTCTCACTACATAATTCTACAATATATAAGCCTTGTTGAACATTACCCCAAAGGCACTGGATGGGCATCACTGAATGTTTTCCAGCAGGGAACTGAGGAGATCAGATCTGTGGTTTAGCAAAATCTCTTTGGCTGCAGTATGGAGAAAAATTGACTATGTGGGAGGGGAGAAGGGAGAGTGGAAGACCCTTATCCAGGCTACAGATAGTGGTGATCTGAAATAGAGTGAAGTGGAGAGAAGGAAATGAATACGAGAGATGTTTAGAAGACAGCATCAATAAGCCTTGTGGATTTCTTGGATCTTGGCAGTGAGGGAGAGAAACAGGTTAAGTGGGACACCCAGGTTCTGGCTTGGGTAGGAGATGAGATTCAGAATACAGGAGGAGAAGCAGGTCAGCTGCCTTGAGCTTCTCTTGGGTGCCTTGTCCTACTGAAGTATCATTGGATTTTAAATAGCTGCTTAAGCCACACTAATGCTCGGCCTCCCACAACACACAGTCACAGAGCAAAACAAGGTGCAGCCTGCCTGCAGAATTGTGGGAGGGCTGGGTATTGCCTATGACATTTGTATCTTGGAGCCAAGATTCTCTCTTTAAGCATGAGTAAACCCATACTCGGTTTCCCATGGACTCTTCTCAAAATGACAATTCTTAGAACCACAAATTGAGCCCATCATCATAGGCATGATGATGCTTCCTGAAATGCATCCTGGGGTCCTTTGGCATCTCAGGGTGCCGACATGCCCCAAGTGATATCAGGGGCAATCTGAACAAAAATGCCAAATGATTCAAGGCATTAAATAAGTCTGCATGCTCTTCTGTGGCTTTGGTGCCTACCACCAGTGCCTTTAGAGTAGCTTTTTTCGCTCCTCTTGGACATGCCTGTACATTTTCCTAATGGGAAGGCCACCAGTCCTTCATTCTTTCTCTTTAGGAGTGGGAATGAATCTGGAGGCAGACATGGGATATTTACATCCTCAAAATTTTAAAAAAATACTCAATTACATTAAAGTTTCCCCAGGCATTATCCGCTGCATCACTTATTCTTAGGCAATGAACAGTGGTTGCATTTCTTACTTCAACATATATCTGAAATCCATCTTATTAATATTCATAATATCAAGAATAAGTAACTTCCTTTTGCCATTCTTCATGTGCATTATCTCTAGGTGGTCACTGTCATTTGGATGCCCAATGTAGATATGAGGCATCTGAGGCTGTGACTGGCACAATAACAGACCTGGTATCAAATCCCTGACAGGCGATGGAGTCAGGAGTTTTGATGCACTTCCCCTGATGCCCCAGACATTGTTCTTTCCCTCTCTGGTTCATTAAAATGATGCTATTCCCACTAGCACCACCCTCCCTGTCTTACAGGGTTGTCTGTGTAGATTTATGCAGCAGACTCCTTCTTGGCTTTACCTTACCTCCAGCCTCTCCTAATCCAAGGGCCTCTTGGTCATAAGATGATCATAAGATGATCTTCCTAAGGAGCCACTTACTTGTTTCCAGTCACTAGCTTATATTCCTTAGATGCTGGGTTGTGTGCCTTGCTATCTCAATGGGGTTTGGCCCGTAGAACATCCTAAAAAAATGAGACATGATGGATCAAATGAGTGAACGAACAAATGAAGTAATGAGACAATATATATTCCCTCCTTAACATCTCTCACCTCGAGTCATTAGTGTGTTTGTCCCTTAGTCTCAGGTTTTCCCAGTGGATGAGCCCATAATGATCAAGCGGGGGAGACCTTCAGACTCAGCCCGCTGTGCATTTGCATGCCTGCATGCATGTAGTCATGTAGATGTGCACCCATTCATATGTGCACCAGCATTTGCTTGCTCACCTTTATCCTTGCTTCTGGTTCTATGTGAAGGTTCTGACACTGGTCCCTCTGAGATAGACCATCCACTCAGCACTTGTCTATTTAAAATTTAGCACATTTTACCGTATCAGACCTTCACAGAATTCATGAAGAGTGGGCATTCTCATTCCCTTCCTATGGATGTGGAAGCCCAGCATGTAGAAGCCTCACTTAGTTAGAAGCATGGACACAGGAGAGGAATGGGGGCAGGGTATCAACAATAATGGTGACCATTTGTTGAGCAGTTTGTCTCTGCCAGGCATTTTGCATATATGTTCCATTTATAATATAGTTACTGTGATGCCTATAATTCTAAAGATGAGGCATCTGAGACATAACAAGAACAAATACTTGTTCTACATA
The DNA here is from genome assembly GCF_000001405.40 of Homo sapiens. Classification (NCBI taxonomy): domain Eukaryota; kingdom Metazoa; phylum Chordata; class Mammalia; order Primates; family Hominidae; genus Homo; species Homo sapiens. Next base: position 55,440,802 of record NC_000023.11, on the reverse strand, counting down.
TGTGTTAAGTTTTGTGACCTGGGTTCAAGCCCAGGTTTAATTGATGTCATAGCCCATGCCCTTATCATGAAGCCAAGAGTGGGGTGTGGTTGCAGACTGATGGAGTAGGGAGCGGTGTGTGTGTGAAGGATTGGGAGGTGCAAAAAGGCAAGGGGTTATATCCCAGCTGAGATAAATCCCACCTCCCCGAGAATCTTGAATGACTCTGAGGCCAGAGGTCATCTATAGGCCATCTCCAATTACTCCATAATTGCCAGGAGTCAACACTTCAAAAGTAGTAAAACACTTTGTAGCCTGAAAGGTACAGAAAGAATTCAACTCTCTACTTACAATATATTCACAGTTGAGGAGGGTGGGGATAGTTTGCACACATTCTTTTGGTAAATGCAGGTTTTGCCCTCCTCCTTCCTAAGTACATATGGCAGGGCCATCCTGAAAATTGTTATAGAAAGAGTACTCCTAGTTTGGAGATATGAATGTATCAGGGACAACCTGAAACTGTCACCTTAAGGACAATAAAGGGATGCCTTGTATAAGCAATTGAACAGTGGACACTGTATAAGGAGTAGTAGTGAGAAATAAAGGGCCTTTTAAACTGTGGTCAATAATTTAGAGTTATGGGGTTTTAAGCAGGTAAAAAAAATTCAGCTGAATAACTCAGAAACAATTCACTGCATATTATTAAGTGAAGAATTGTTTAGGGCAATAAGAATTATTATTAAGTAAAGAATTATTTAGGGCAGGGGTTCCCAATATTAAGGCAGCATATCAGGATTTTTTCTTTTGCTTAGTAATCAGGCTTTTATACAATTTCGTGTGTCAAGTTAAAAGAAATAATAGAAGCCTGATTACTAAATAAAACCATTTGTTACCTTGTAATTCAGGGGTTGGGGGTGGCAGGATGGTAATGGTGTTAGGAACAGACTCGGAATGGAAGCAGGAAGTTCTGATGACAGCATTTCAAAAGCTGAAATAAGAGCAAAGATATCCTCATCTGGAAATGGGTAGAGGCTAAGGAAAAAAGTTTATGGAATCTGGAATGTTGTACAAAATATTGAACTGACTCTATCACAGACTGATAGAGTTGAATTATATCTTATGGTCTTATAAGCAGGGTTCTAAACTCAAATACACACAGGCACCAAGAAGGAAATGTAAATATATTTTGCAGACTCGATGACATAGGAACTGAGGCAAACTCACAAGCACACTCTCTATCTAAAGTAGGCAGCAGCTGTTGCCATTTGCATGTCTTCTGTTGAGAAATGTCTATTCAGATTTTTTGTCCATTTTTAAATCAGATTATTAGACTTTTTCTATTGAGTTGTTTGAACTTCTTAGATATTCTGCTTACTAATCCTTTTTCAGGTGGACAGTTTGTAAATATTTTCTCCCATTCTGTGGGCTGTCTCTTCACTTTGTTGATTGTATCCTTTGCTGTGCAGAAACTGTTTAACTAGATGTGATTGTATTTGTCCATTTTTGCTTTGGTTGCCTGCACTTGTGAGTTATTACTCAGGAATTATTACTTGCCCAGACCAATGTCCTGGAGAGTTTCCCCAATATTCCCTATTAGTAGTTATATACTTTGAGGTCTTAGATTTAAGTCTTTAATCCATTTTGATTTGATTTCTGTATATGGTGAGAGATAGGAGTCTAGTTTCATTCTTCTGTATATGCATATCTAGTTCTCCCAACACCATTCATTAAAAAGACTGTACTTCCTCCAGTGTAGGTTCTAGGCATCTTTGTCAAAAATGAGTTCCCTGTAGATGTATGGATGTATTTCTGAGCTCTCTGTTTTATTCCATTGGTCTATGTGTCTGTTTAAATACCAGTACCATGCTGTTTTGGTTACTATCACTCTGTAGTGTAATTTGAAGTCAGGTAATGTGACTCCTGCAGTTTTGTTAATTTTGCTCAGGATGGCATTGGCTATGCTGGATTTTTTATGGTTCCATATACATTTTAGGAATTTTTTTTCTATTTCCGTGAAGAACGTCATTGGTATTATGATAGGGGTTACATTGAATCTGTAGATTGCTTTGGGTAGTATGGACATTTTAGTAATATTGATTCTTCTAATCCATGATCATGGAATATGTTTTCATTTTTTGTGTCCTCTTCAATTTGTCACATCAATGTTTTAAAGATTTCATTGTAGAGATCTTTCACTTCTTTTGTTAAGTGAATTCCTAGGTGTTTTATTTTATTTGTAGCTCTTGTAAATGGGATTGGTTTCATGATTTTCTCTTTAGTCTGTTCACTGTTAGCATATAGAAATGCTACTAACTTTTGTATGTTGATTTTGTATCCTGCAACTTTACCGAATTTGTTTATCGGTTCTAAGAGTTTTCTGGTGGAGTCTTCAGGTTTTGCGAAATATAGGATCTTATCATCTGTAAACAAGGATAATTTGACTTATTCCTTTCCAATTTGGATGCACTTTACATCTTTCTCTTGTCTGATTGCTTTAGCTAAGACATCCAGTACTATGCTGAATAACAGTGGTAAAAGAGGGCATCCTTGTCTTGTTCCAGATCTTAAAGGAAAGGCTTTCAGTTTTTCCCCATTCAGTGTGATACTAGCTGTAAGTCTGTCATCTGTGGTTTTTATGGTTTTCATTGTGTTGAGGTATGTTCCTTCTATACTCAGTTTTTTTAGTTTTTTTCCATGAAGAGATGTTGAATTTTATCAAATGCTTATTCAGTATCAATTAAATTGATGATATGGTTTTTGTCCTTCATTCTGTTGATATGATGTATCACAATGACTGGTTTGCATATGTTGAAACATCCTCACATGCCAGAGTTAAATTCCATCTGGTAATGATGAATGATATTTTTAATGTGTTGCTGAATTCAGTTTGCTAGTATTTTGTTGAGGATTTTTGCATCAATATCTGTCAGGGTTATTAGACTGTAGTTTTGTGGGGTTTTTTTAATGTGTCATCTGGTTTTGGTATCAGGGTAATGACCTTATACAATGAGCTCATGAAATCAGTTTGGAATTATTCCATCCTCCTCTACTTTTTGAAAATAGTTTAATTAGGATTGGTATTAGTTCTTATTTAAATGTTTGGTAGAATTCAGCAATGAAGCCATGGGGTCACTGGCTTTTCTTTGCTGTAAGTTTTTTTTTTATTATTATAGTTTTGCTCTCATTACTTGTTATTGATCTGTTCAGGTTTTGGATTTCTTCATGGTTCCATATTGCTAGGTTGTATATGTCTAGGAATTTGTCCATTTATTCTAGGTTTTCCAAATTATTGGTGTATAGTTTTTCATAGTAGTCTCTAATGATCCTTTGACCTTCTACAGGATCAGTTGTAATGTCTCCCTTTTTAGCTCTGATTTTATTTATTTGGGTATTCTCTCTTTTCTTCTTAGTGTGGCTAAAGCTTTGTCGATTTTTAAAGGTCTTTTTGAAAAACCAACTTTTCATTTTATTGGTGTTTTAGTTTTTTTCATTTCAGTTTCATTTATTTCTGCTCAGATCTTTATTATTTATTTTCTTCTACTAATTTTAGGCTAGATTTGCTCTTGCTTTTCGAGTTCTTTAAGAAGAATTGTTAGGTTGCTTATTGGAAGTTTTACTATTTTATTGATGTAGGTGTTTATAGCTATAAACTTTCCTCTTAGTACTGCTTTTGCTCTATCCCATAGGTTTGGCATGTTGTTTCCATTATGATTTCTTTCAAGAATTTTTTCAATTTCCTTCTTAATTTATTCATTGATCCACTGATCATTCAGCAGCATGTTGTTTAATTTCCATGTGTTTGTATAGTTTCCGTAGTTCCTCTTGTTTTTGACTTTTTATTTTATTTCATTATGATCAGAGAAGACACTTGATATGATTTCAATTACTTTGAATGTTTTAAGACTTGTTTCATGGCCTAACATATGGGCTATCCTTGAGAACGATCCATGTGCTGAAGAGAAGAACGTGCATTCCTCATCCATTGGATGAAGTGTTCTGTAAATATCTATTAGGTCCATTTGGTTTATAGTGCAGATTAAATCTGATGTTTCCTTGTTGATTTTCTGTCTAGATGTTCTGTCCAAAGCTGAAAGTGGGGCACTGAAGTCCCCAGCTGTTAATTTATTGGAATCAATCTCTCCCTTTAGCTCTATTAATATTTTCTTTATATATCTAGGTGCACCAGTGTTGGGTGCATATGTATTTGCAATTGTTTTATCCTCTTGCTGAATTGGTCCCTTTATCATTATTTAATGTCCTTCTTTGTCTCTTCTATAGTTTTGGTCTTGAAATCTATTAGTATAGTTACTCCTTTTTTTTTTTTTTTGGTTTCCATTGGCATGGAATATATTTTTCCATCCCTTTATTTTCAGTCTATGCATGTCCTTATAGGTGAACTGTGTGTCTTGTAGGCAACAGATCGCTGGGTCTTGTCTTTTTAATCCACTGAGCCACTCTTTCTTTTGACTGGAGAGTTTAGTCCATTTCCATTCAATGTTACTATTGATAAGTAAGGACTTCTACCATTTGGTTATTTGTTTTCTGGTTGTTTTGTGGTATTCTCTTCCTTCCCGTCTTCCTTTTTGCGAAAGTGATTTTCTCTGGTGGTATGTTTTAATTCTTTCCTTTTAATTTTTAGGTATCTGTTGTAGGATTTTTGATTTGGGGTTACTATAATGCTTGCAAGTAACATCTTATAACCCATTATTTTAAAGTGATGACAACTTAACAGTGATTGCAAAACAGATAAACATACTAACAAGCAAAGAGAAAATTAATGAAAACTGCACACTTTAACTTCATTCCCCCTCTATTTTAAACTTTTTCTTGTTTCAGTTTATATCTTATTATACTGTCCATGTTTTGAAAAGATGTTTTAGTTATTATTTTTGATAGGTTCATATTTTAGTTTTTGTACTCAAGATATGAGTAGCTTACACAACATAACTACAGTATTATGATAGTCTGTGTTTGCCTGTGTACTTTCTATTACCAATGAGTGTTTTGCCTTCAGATATTTTATTGCTTGTTAACAGCCTTTTCTTTCAGATGGAAGAAATCCATTTAACATTTTGTGGGACAAGTCTGGGTGTTCATGGAGTATCTCAAGTTTTTGCTTGTTTGTTTGTTTGCTGTGAAAGTATTTCTCCTTCATGTTTGAAGAATATTTTCACTGGATATACTATTCTAGGATAATCAATTTTTTTTCCTTCAGCACTTTAAATATGTCACACTCCTCCCTCCTGGTCTGTAAGGTTTCCACTGAGATGTCTGCTGTCAGATGTATTGGAGCTCCATTGTATGTAATTTGTTGCTTTTCTCTTGGTGTTTTTAGGGTCCTTTCTGTATCCTTGATCTTTAGGAATTTCATTATAAAATGCCTTGAGGTAGTCTTTTTTTGGTTAAACCTGCTTTGTGTTCTATAGTCTTGTATTTGGATATTGATATCTTCCCTTAGGTTTGGGAAGTTCTCTATTAGTATCCCTTTGGATAAACTTTCTATCCCTATCTCTTTCTCTATCTCCTCTTTGAGGTCAATAACTCAGATTTTTTCTTTCGAAGCTATTTTTTAAATCTCATAGGTGTGCCCCATTGTTTTTATTACCTTTTCTTTTGTCTCCTCTGACTGTGAGTTTTCAAACAGCCCGTCTTTAAGTTCGCTAATTATTTCTTCTGCTTGATCAATTCTGCCATTAAAGGACTGTGATGCATTCTTCAGTATGCCAGATGCATTTTTCAACTGTAGAATTTCTGCTTCTTTTTAATTACTTCAATCTCTTTGTTAAATTTATCTGATACAATTCTAAATCCCTTCTCTGTGTTATCTTGAATTTCTTTGAGTTTTCTTAACATGGCTATTTTGAATTTTCTGTCTGAAAGGTCACATATCTCTTTTTCTTTAAGATGGTCCCTGGTGGCTTATTTTGCTCATTTAGTGAGGTCATTTTCCTGGATGGTGTTGATGCTAGTAGATATTCTTCAGTGTCATGGCATTAAAGAGTTCAGTTTTTATCATAGTCTTCACAGTCTCGGCTTTTTTTGTACCCGTCATTCTCGGGAAGGCTTTCCAGATATTTGAAAGGACTTGGGTGTTGTGATCTAAGATATATCTGCTTCAGTAGGCACCTCAAGCCTCCTCTTGCTTTTTATAATTTTCCTTTTCCCGTACTCTGCTCAAGTCCCTACCATTTCCTCTCTCCTTTTCATTTTTTCTTCATTAATACCCAGGTACCTCTCCACAAACTGAAGCTGTGTTCAGTTTATGCTGGATGCTTTTCCCTATTGCAATAGTATATTGCCAATTATTTTAAAATCTGTCCTTACAACTTCAACACGTCTCCAGCTTTTTTTATTTTGACAAACTCCTTAAAGGTTCTTCAAAGATCTTCAGTTTTAGAGGAACAGCATAAAAATTTGTTTTACTCTAATTCTTTTCTCCTTTCCCATCTTCAATATATTTTCAAATAAGGGAATGATATTATTCTTATCTCATGTTTTGAAAATATGATTTTATGGCAGACCAACAGTTTAGATATTTTCTGTGACTGGCAACAATAATAGCCCTCTTGTAGACATGTGTCTGAGGATGCTATGTACTTCCATTTATGTATAGTCAAAAATCCCAATAAGTGCTTCTTCATGTTTTGAGAAAATTGAAAAGTGACCACAACCTTTCATTATGAAAACCTCAAAATTACAGGCAAGCAGATCACTTTCATTTTATCAGTGGTGTGTGCAAGGTGTGCATATTTAGCAGTTAAGATATTTTCATCTTCTTTGTTACAAGTTTTGTAGACTGAACAGAATTTGCTAAATTTTACATTTGAATGTTCAGGTATATGAGCAAATTCTAATTTGTAGTTAGATAAATTTGGGCCAACTCTGAGGAATGCATGGTCTCAGGACAAGAAATCTAGTGGGAGCGAGGGGTGAGTGTGTGTGGGTATGTACTACTTTCAGATCAGAGTAAATGCTATGAGGAATTTAACCAGGTACGGTGATAAACAGTACCTGTAGGGAGAGAGTACTACTTTAAACAAGAAGAAAATAAAAGGCTTCTTTGGGAATGTAACATTTGAGGTGAGGCCACAACATTGAGACTACTGTGATAGGTAGAGGCCAGATCATGAATGTGTCTTGAAGTCTGGGGTAGCAGGTTTGGATGTTATTATTAATGTAGTGGAAGGTTCTTACAAAGTTTAGTGTATGTGAGTAATATGATCTGATTAACATTTAAAATATTTCACACTTGCAGTTGGGTAAGGAATAGACTGTAAAGGTCAGTAGTGAAAGAACAACTAGTTAGGAGGCTATTGCAGGTGAGAGATGAAGGTGCGTAGGTGTAAGGTTGGCCCAGTGGAGATAAAGCAGATGGTTTTGGAATGTATTTAGGAACTGGACATACTGGACTTGCTGATGGATTGGACGGAGGAATCAAGGGACAGGTTAGAGTGATGGGATGGGACAAAATCTCAAAGGGCCCCTCATAATGGGGCCCTTGAAATACTTCTTTCCAAGTCCTTTGGAAGCCTTCAGTAAACACTTTCAATCCTCTGTTGGATTTCATCTGGCAGAATGTGATGAGATCTGTAGTAGATTTAAAGTTTTGATGGTTAAACAACTCAGCCTTGTAGTGTAATGCATCCATTATTTTGCAAAGTTAATTTTGTCTGAAATTTTATCATAGTTAAATTAATAAATGTTTTGTACTTCACTTTACTGCAGTAATAACACTCAGTGATCCCAAAGTTTCTCCCTTTAGAAGATTCCTTAGTAAGAGACTTTTAGTGGTTTCAGAGACCAAAGAGATAGAGGGAGACAGAGACAACAAGAGACAGAGAGACAGAGAGAGAGAGAGAGAGAATAGTGAATTCTATTGTATTATGTTGTATCTTTTCAAGTCCTATTAAATTCCGTTCTGCACTGTCTGTCCTACTGTACTATAGGTTACAACCCAAACCTCTCTTCTTTTCTTTTTCTTCCCCTTCACCATTCTTCCACTGACCTTCCATCTTCCCCCACTTCCATATTTTTCTTTTTTATTCTTTTATTTTTATTTTTATTGGTAAGTCAGAATATTGTTCTTTTGATGTAAGATTATTTTACTATTTTTTTTCCTATTTGGATGCCTTTTCTTTTTTTTAATTTTATTATTATTATACATTAAGTTTTAGGGCACATGTGCACAATGTGCAGGTTTGTTACATATGTATACATGTGCCATGCTGGTATGCTGCACCCATTAACCCGTCATTCAGCATTAGGTATATTTCCTAATGCTATACCTACCCCCCTCCCCACACCCCACAACAATCCCTGGTGTGTGATGTTCCCCTTCCTGTGTCAATGTGTTCTCATTGTTCAATTCCTACCTATGAGTGAGAACATGCAGTGTTTGGTTTTTTGTCCTTGTGATAGTTTCCTGAGAATGATGGTTTCCAACTTCATCCATGTCCCTACAAAGGACATGAACTCATCATTTTTTATAGCTGCATAGTATTCCATGGTGTATATGTGCAACATTTTCTTAATCCAGTCTATCACTGTTGGACACTTAGGTTGGTTCCAAGTCTTTGCTATTGTGAATAGTGCCACTATAAACATACATGTGCATGGGTCTTTATAGCAGCATGATTTATAATCCTTGGGTATATACCCAGTAATGGGATGGCTGGGTCAAATGGTATTTCTAGTTCAAGATCCCTGAGGAATCACCACACTGACTTCCACAATGGTTGAACAAGTTTACAGTCCCACCGACAGTGTAAAAGTGTTCCTATTTCTCCACATCCTCTCCAGCACCTGTTGTTTCCTGACTTTTTAATGATTGCCATTCTAACTGGTGTGAGATGGTATCTCATTGTGGTTTTGATTTGCATTTCTCTGATGGCCAGTGATGATGAACATTTTTTCATGTGTTTTTGGCTGCATAAATGTCTTCTTTTGAGAAGTGTCTGTTCATATCCTTTGCCCACTTTTTGATGGGGTTGTTTTTTTTCTTGTAAATTTGTTTGAGTTCATTGTAGATTCTGGATATTAGCCCTTTGTCAGATGAGTAGATTGCAAAAATTTTCTCCCATTCTGTAGGTTGCCTGTTCACTCCGTTGGTAGTTTCTTTTGCTGTGCAGAAGCTCTTGAATTTAATTAGATCCCATTTGTCAATTTTGGCTTTTGTTGCCATTGTTTATGGTGTTTTAGACATGAAGTCCTTGCACATGCCTATGTCCTGAATGGTAATGCCTAGGTTTTCTTCTAGGGTTTTTATGGTTTTAGGTCTAACATTTAAGTCTTTCATCCATCTTGAATTAATTTTTGTATAAGGTGTAAGGAAGGGATCCAGTTTCAGCTTTCTACATATGGCTAGCCAGTTTTCCCAGCACCATTTATTAAATAGGGAATCCTTTCCCCATTGCTTGTTTTTCTCAGGTTTGTCAAAGATCAGATAGTTGTAGATATGCGACATAATTCTGAGGGCTCTGTTCTGTTCCATTGATCTATATCTCTGTTTTGGTACTAGTACCATGCTGTTTTAGTTACTGTAGCCTTGTAGTATAGTTTGAAGTCAGGTAGCATGATGCCTCCAGCTTTGTTCTTTTGGCTTAGGATTGACTTGGCAATGCAGGCTCTTTTTTTGGTTCCATATGAACTTTAAAGTAGTTTTTTCCAATTCTGTGAAGAAAGTCATTGGTAGCTTGATGGGGAAGGCATTGAATCTATAAATTACCTTGGGCAGTATGGCCATTTTCACGATATTGATTCTTCCTACCCATGAAAATGGAATGTTCTTCCATTTGTTTGTATCCTCTTTTATTTCATTGAGCAGTGGTTTGTAGTTCTCCTTGAAGAGGTCCTTCACATCCCTTGTAAGTTGGATTCCTAGGTATTTTATTCTCTTTGAAACAATTGTGAATGGGAGTTCACTCATGATTTGGCTCTCTGTTTGTCTGTTATTGGTGTATAAGAATGTTTGTGACTTTTGTACATTGATTTTATATCCTGAGACTTTGCTGAAGTTGCCTATCAGCTTGAGGAGATTTTGGGCTGAGATGATGGGGTTTTCTAGATATACAGTCATGTCATCTGCAAACAGGGACAATTTGACTTCCTCTTTTCCTAATTGAATACCCTTTATTTCCTTCCTGATTGCCCTGGCCAGAACTTCCAACACTATGTTGAATAGGAGTGGTGAGAGAGGGCATCCCTGTCTTGTGCCAGTTTTCAAAGGGAATGCTTCCAGTTTTTGCCCATTCAGTATGATATTGACTGTGGGTTTGTTATACATAGCTCTTATTATTTTGAGATACGTCCCATCAATACCTAATTTATTGAGAGTTTTTAGCATGAAGTTGTTGAATTTCGTCAAAGGCCTTTTCTGCATCTATTGAGATAATCATGTGGTTTTTGTCTTTGGTTCTGTTTATATGCTGGATTACATTTATTTATTTGCATATGTTGAACCAGCCTTGCATCCCAGGGATGAAACCCACTTGATCATGGTGGATAAGCTTTTTGATGTGCTGCTGGATTCGGTTTGCCAGTATTTTATTGAGGATTGTTGCATCGATGTTCATCGGGGATATTGATCTAAAATTCTCTTTTTTGGTTGTGTCTCTGCCCGGCTTTGGTATCAGGATGATGCTGGCCTCATAAAATGAGTTAGGGAGGATTCCCTCTTTTTCTATTGATTGTAATAGTTTCAGAAGGACTGGTAACAGCTCCTCTTTGTACCTCTGGTAGAATTCGGCTGTGAATCCATCTGGTCCTGGACTTTTTTGGTTTGTAAGCTATTGATTATTGCCTCAATTTCAGAGCCTGTTATTGGTCTATTCAGAGATTCAACTACTTTCTGGTTTAGTCTTGGGAGGATGTATGTGTGGAGGAATTTATCCATTTCTTCTAGATTTTCTAGTTTATTTGCGTAGAGGTGTTTGTAGTATTCTCTGATGGTAGTTTGTATTTCTGTGGGATTGGTGGTGACATCCCCTTTATGATTTTTTATTGCATCTATTTGATTCTTCTCTCTTTTCTTCTTTATTAGTCTTGCTACTGGTCTATCAATTTTGTTGATCCGTTCAAAAAACCAGCTCCTGGATTCATTAATCTTTTGAAGGGTTTTTTTCTGCCTCTATTTCCTTCAGTTATGCTCTGATCTTAGTTATTTCTTGCCTACTGCTAGCTTTTGAATGTGTTTGCTCTTGCTTCTCTAGCTCTTTTAATTGTGATGTTAGGGTGTCAATTTTAGATCTTTCCTGCTTTCTCTTGTGGGCATTTAGTGCTATAAATTTCCCTCTACACACTGCTTTGAATGTGTCCCAGAGATTCTGGTATGTTGTGTCTTTGTTCTCGTTGGTTTCAAAGAACATCTTTATTTCTGCCTTCATTTCGTTACGTACCCAGTAGTCATTCAGGAGCAGGTTGTTCAGTTTCCATGTAGTTGAGCGGTTTTCAGTGAGTTTCTTAATCCTGAGTTCTAGTTTGATTGCACTGTGGTCTGAGAGACAGTTTGTTATAATTTCTGTTCTTTTACATTTGCTGAGGAGTGCTTTACTTCCAACTATGTGGTCAGTATTGGAGTAAGTGTGGTGTGGTGCTGAAAAGAATATATATTCTGTTGATTTGGGGTGGAGAGTTCTGTAGATATCTATTAGGTCCACTTGGTGCAGGGCTGAGTTGAATTCCTGGGTATCCTTGCTAACTTTCTGTCTCATTGATCTGTCTAATGTTGACAGTGAGGTGTTAAAGTCTCCCATTATTATTGTGTGGGTGTCTAAGTCTCTTTGTAGGTCACTAAGGACTTGCTTTATGAATCTGGGTGCTCCTGTATTGGGTGCATATATATTTAAGATAGTTAGCTCTTCTTGTTGAATTGATCCCTTTACCATTATGTAATGGCCTTCTTTGTCTCTTTTGATCTTTGTTGGTTTAAAGTTTGTTTTATCAGAGACTAGGATTGCAACTCCTGCCTTTTTTTGTTTTCCATTTGCTTGGTAGATCTTCCTCCATCCCTTTATTTTGAGCCTACGTGTGTCTCTGCCCGTGAGATGGGTTTCCTGAATACAGCACACTGATGGTTCTTGACTCTTTATCCAATTTGCCAGTCTGCATCTTTTAATTGGAGCATTTAGCCCATTTACATTTAAGGTTAATATTGTTATGTGTGAATTTGATCCTGTCGTTATTATGTTAGCTGGTCATTTTGCTCGATAGTTGATGCAGTCTCTTCCTAGCCTCGATGGTCTTTACAATTTGGCATGTTTTTGCAGTGGCTGGTACCAGTTGTTCCTTTCCATGTTTAGTGCTTCCTTCAGGATCTCTTGTAAGGCAGGCCTGGTGGTGACAAAATCTCTCAGCATTTGCTTGTCTGTAAAGTATTTTATTTCTCCTTCACTTCTGAAGTTTAGTTTGGCTGGATATGAAATTCTGTGTTGAAAATTCTTTTCTTTAAGAATGTTGAATATTGGCCCCCACTCTCTTCTGGCTTGTAGAGTTTCTGCCTAGAGATCCGCTGTTAGTCTGATGGGCTTCCCTTTGTGGGTAATCCAACCTTTCTCTCTGGCTGCCCTTAACATTTTTTCCTTCATTTCAACTTTGGTGAATCTGACAATTATTTGTCTTGGAGTTGCTCTTCTCTAGGAGTATCTTTGTGGCGTTCTCTGTATTTCCTGAATCTGAATGTTGGCCTGCCTTGCTAGATTGGGGAAGTTCTCCTGGATAATATCCTGCAGAGTGTTTTCCAACTTGGTTCCATTCTCCCTGTCACTTTCTGGTACACCAATCAGACGTAGATTTGGTCTTTTCACATATTTCCATATTTCTTGGAGGCTTTGTTCGTTTCTTTTTATTCTTTTTTCTCTAAACTCCTCTTCTTGCTTCATTTCATTCATTTCATCTTCCATCACTGATAGCCTTTCTTCCAGTTGATCGCATCGGCTATTGGGGCTTCAGCATTCATCACGTAGCTCTCTTGCCTTGGTTTTCAGCTCCATCAGTTTCTTTAAGGACTTCTCTGCATTAGTTATTCTAGTTATCCATTCGTCTATTTTTTTTTCGGATCTTTTAACTTCTTTGCCATTGGTTCGAATTTCCTCCTGTAGCTAGGAGTAGTTTGATCATCTGAAGCCTTCTTCTCTCAACTCGTCAAAGTCATTCCCTGTCCAGCTTTGTTCCATTGCTGGTGAGGAGCTGCGTTCCTTTGGAGGAGGAGAGGCGCTCTGCTTTTTAGAGCTTCCAGTTTTTCTGCTCTGTTTTTTTCCCATCTTTGTGGTTTTATCTACATTTGGTCTTTGATGATGGTGACATACAGATGGATTTTTGGTGTGGATGTCCCTTCTGTTTGTTAGTTTTCCTTCTAACAGACAGTACCCTCAGCTGCAGGTCTGTTGGAGTTTGCTAGAGGTCCACTCCAGACCCTGTTTGCCTGGGTGTCAGCAGCAGTGGCTGCAGAACAGTGGATATTGATGAACCACAGATGCTGCTGCCTGATCGTTCCTCTGGAAGTTTAGTCTCAGAGGAGTACCTGGCCATGTGAGGTGTCAGTCCGCCCCCTACTGGGGGGTGCCTCCCAGTTAGGCTACTTGGGTGTCAAGAACCCACTTGAGGAGGCAGTCTGCTGGTGTTCAGATCTCAAGCTGCGTGCTGGGAGAACCACTACTCTCTTCAAAGCTTTCGGAGAGGGACATTTAAGTCTGCAGAGGTTACTGCTGTCTTTTTGTTTGTCTGTGCCCTGCACCCAGAGGTGGAGCCTACAGAGGCAGGTAGGCCTCCTTGAGCTGTGGTGGGCTCCACCCAGTTTGAGCTTTGGGGCCGCTTTGTTTACCTAATCAAACAACTAACTCGGCAATGGTAGGCGCCCCTCCCCCAGCCTCACTGCCACCTTGCAGTTTGATCTTGGACTGCTGTGTTAGCAATGCACGAGACTCTGTGGGCATAGGACCCTCTGAGCCATGTGCAGGATATAATCTCCTGGTGTGCCGTTTTTTAAGCCAGTTGGAAAAGCGCAGTATTAGGGTCGGAGTGGCCCGATTTTCCAGGTGCCATCTGTCACCGCTTTCTGTGACTAGGAAAGGGAATTCCCTGACCCCTTGTGCTTCCAGGGTGAGGCGATGCCTCACCCTGCGTTGGCTCATGCACGGTGCGCTGCACCTACTGTCTGGCTCTCCGCAGTCCTGCACCTACTGCCTGGCACTCCCCAGTGAGATGAACCTGGTACCTCAGTTGGAAATGCAGAAATCACCCATCTTCTGCATCACTCATGCTGGGAGCTGTAGACCAGAGCTGTTCCTATTCGGCCATCTAGGCTCCTCCCTCCTGATGTAAGTTTAAGTGTATTGTTTAACAACATTGTGCACAGTGCTCCTTTCATAAAAGTGAATTTTTAAAAACCATTATACTGTACTTAACGTTCCCTTTTTATTCCCATAATTACTCATTTGTGATCTTTCTCTCTCTCTTAACTTTTTTCTTGTCAAATAATCAGCTTTTGGTTTTGTTGATTGTTGATCCTATTGTTTCCTTTCTTTTACTTCTATTTTGTTGTTTTTTAGTTTCTTGAATTATTTACTTAGCTTACTACTTTCAGTCTTCTTTGTTAATACAAACATTTATGTCTTCAAAATTTCACTTTAAATACCACTCTAGCTGCATCTCACAAGTTTTGATGTGTACTACTTTCATTCTCATTCCAAACCTTTTCTAATTTCCCCTATGAATTCTCCCTTGACACACAGGTTATTTATAAACTATTCTTTGAATAGCCAAGTATTTCAGGCATTGGGGGTTATCTTTTGTTATTGATGACTAATTTACTTGTGTTGTGGGAAGACAATGTGATAAAGAGGGGAATGACTCTTTGGTAATATTTGCTCTGTTTTATAGTATGTGTTTACTTTTAAAAAATGTTCTGTTTAGTCTAGAATGAATATGTACTCTTTTTTTTGTTCAGTGTCTTATTTTACATGCATTCATCAGACAAACCTTACTATGTTGTTTAATTTATCTCTATCTTTATTTAGTATTAGTTTGCTTCATCTACCAATTACGGAGAGGAATTATGTTAAAATTCTATAATATAAATGTGATTATCAATTTATCAGTTTCTTCTTGTAAGTCTGATGGTTTCTGCTTTACATATTTTGAAGCTATATTCTTTGGTTTATAAATATCCTGAATTGATACAGATTTTGAGTCAGTTGTATAATTTAGTGTTATTTAGAAGGTTTTAATTTATTATGTGTTTTTCTGCCTTAAAGCCAGCTTAGTCAGATGTCAATATAATTTCACCAGCCTTCTGTTTATTATTTTTGTGTGTATAGTTTCTTCATTCATCACCTCTAAAAACTTCATTTTGAAATAATTACAGATAGAGAGAAATTTGCAAAGATAATACAGAGAGTTCCTTTATAACCTTCTTCAAGTTTACCTAACTGGTAACATCTTACATAATTATGGCACAATATCAAAACCAAGAAATGGTCATTGACACAATGTTTGTGTATAGTTTTATGTTCTACACATATATAATATGTATAGTTCATATTATCACATATGTAGATTTTAATAACCACCACTGACTTAAAATACAAAACTATTCAATTACCCCTTTACAGCCACGTCTACTCTCTAAAATCCACCATCCCTAAGCCCTAATAACCTCTAATCCATTCTACATTTCTATACCTTTGTCAATTCGAGTATGTTATATGAATGGAATATACAGTATGTGATCTTTTGAGATTGGCTTTTTTCACTCAACATAATCCATCCTTGAGATCAATCCCAATTGTTGTGTATATTAATACTTCATTGTTACCTATTTGCTCTTTAATCGATAAATAAAAATTATATATACTTATCATATACAACATGTTTTGATATATTTATACATGTAATGGCTTAATCAAGCTAGTTAACATATGCATTACCTCACATACTTATCATTTTTGTGGTGATAGCACTTAAAATCTATGCTCTTAGCAATTTTCAATAGTTAACTATAGTTATTATATAGTATAGTTTAGTTAACTCTAGTTAACTATAGTCACCATGTTGTACAATAGATCTGTTGAACTTATTCTTCCTATCTAACTGAAATTTTGTAATATTTGACCAACATCTTCCCAGTCCTTGGAAATCATCAGTCGATTTTCTACTTCCATCAACTCAACTCTTATAAATTCCACATATAAGTGAAATCACATGGTACTTATCTTTCTGTGCCTGGCCTATTTCACTTAGCACAGTGTCCTCTAGGTTCACCTATGCTGTCACAAATGGCAGGACTTTCTTCTTTTTTAAGGTTGAATAGTATTCCATTGTGTATAAATGCCACATTATATTCATCCATTCATCCATTGATGGACACTTAGCTTGATTCCATATTTGACTATTGTGAATAATGCTGCAGTGAACATGGGAGTGCTGATATCCCTTCAACGTACTGATTCCATTTCCTTTGGATATATACCCAGTAATGGAATTGCTGAATCACATGATAGTTCTACTTTTTGTAAATTTTTTATTTTATTATATTTTTTAAGTTCCAGGGTACATGTGCAGGATGTGCAGATTTGTTACATAAGTAAATGTGTACTATGGTGGTTTCCTGCACCTATCAACCCATCACCTAGGTATCAAGCACAGCACACAATAGCTTTTTTTCCTAATGCTCTCCCTGACCCCTGCCCTCCCCTGACAGACCCCAGTGTGTGCTGTTCCCCTCCCTTTGTCCTTGTGTTCTCATTGTTTAGCTGCCATTTATCACTGAGAATATGTGGTGTTTGGTTTTCTGTTCCTGCATGACTTTGCTGAGGATAATGGTTTCTAGCTTCATCCATGTCCCTGCAAAAGACATAATCTTGTCCTTTTTTATGACTGCATAGTACTCCATGCTGTATGTGTACTATATTGTCTTTATACAGTCTATCATTGATGGGCATTTGATTTAATTTCACATCTTTGCTATTGTGAATAGTGCTGCAATGAACAGATGCATGGATGTATCTTTATAATATAATGATTTATATTCCTTTGGGTATATACCCAGTAATGGGATTGCTGGGTCAAATGGTATTTCTTGTTCTAAATCTTTTGAGGAATCACCACACTGTCTTCCACAATGGTTTAACTAATTTACATTCCCACCAACAGTGTAAAAGCATTCCTATTCCTCCACAACCTCAACAGCATCTGTAGT
Source organism: Homo sapiens (assembly GCF_000001405.40). Classification (NCBI taxonomy): domain Eukaryota; kingdom Metazoa; phylum Chordata; class Mammalia; order Primates; family Hominidae; genus Homo; species Homo sapiens. The sequence goes on along the minus strand of NC_000023.11, from coordinate 55,423,632 downwards.
TTCTTGACTTTTTAATAATCACCATTCTGACTGGCATAAGATGGTATCTCATTGTGGTTTTGATTTGCATTTCTCTAATGATCAGTGATGTTGAGCTTTTTTTCATATGCTTGTTGGCCGCATGTATGTCTTCTTTTCAAAATTCTCTGTTCATCTCTTTTGCCCACTTTTCAATGGGGTTATTTGTTTTTTTCTCATAAAATTTGTTTAAGTTCCTTGTAGATTCTGGATATTAGACCTTTGTCGGATGGATAGATTGCAAAAATTTTCTCCCATTCTGTAGGATGTCTGTTCACTCTGATGATAGTTTCTTTTGCTGCACAGGAGCTCTTTAATTAGATCCCATTTGTCAATTTTTGCTTTTGTTGCAATTGCTTTTGGTGATTTCATCATAAAAATATTTGCCCATGCCTATCTCCTAAATAGTATTGACTAGATTTTCTTCTATGGTTTTTATAGTTTTGGGTTTTACATTTAATTCTTTAATCCATCTTGAGTTAATTTTTGCATAAAGTGTAAGGAAGGAGTCCAATTTCAATTTTATGTATATGAATAGCCAGGTCTTCCAGCACCATTTGTTAAATAGGTAATCTTTTCCCCATTGCTTGTTTTTGTTGAAAGTTTGTCAAAGATCAGATGGTTGCAGATGTGTGGTTTTACCTCTGAGTTCTTTATTCTGCTCCATTAGTCTATGTGCCTGTTTTTGTACAGTACCATGATGTTTTGGTTGCTGTAGCCTTATAGCATATTTTGAAGTCAGGTAGTGTGATGCTTCCAGCTTTGTTATTTTTCCTTAGGATTGTCCTGGCTATACGAGCTCTTTATGATTGTATATCTAGAAAACCTCATTGTCCCAGCCCAAAATCTCCTTAACCTGATAAGCAACTTCAGAAAAGTCTCAGGATACAAAATCAACGGGCAAAAATCACAAGCATTCTTATACACCAATAACAGACAAACACTGAGCCAAATCCTGAGTGAACTCCCATTCACAATTGCTTCAAAGAGAATAAAATACCTAGGAATCCAACTTACAAGGGATGTGAAGGACCTCTTCAAGGAGAACTACAAACCACTGCTCAATGAAATAAAAGAGGATACAAAGAAATGGAAGAACATTCCATGCTCATGGGTAGGAAGAATCAATATTGTGAAAATGGCCATACTGCCCAAGGTAATTTATAGATTCAATGTCATCCCCATCAAGCTACCAATGACTTTCTTCACAGAATTGGAAACAACTACTTTAAAGTTCATATGGAACCAAAAAAAGAGCCTGCATTGCCAAGTCAATCCTAAGCCAAAAGAACAAAGCTGGAGGCATCATGTTACCTGACTTCAAACTATACTACAAGGCTACAGTAACCAAAACAGCATGGTACTGGTACCAAAACAGAGATATAGACCAATGGAACAGAACAGAGCCCTCAGAAATAATGCCGCATATCTACAACTATCTGACCTTTGACAAACCTGACAAAAACAAGCAATGGGGAAAGGATTCCCTATTTAATAAATGGTGCTGGGGAAACTGGCTAGCCATATGTAGAAAGCTGAAACTGGATTCCTTCCTTACACCTTATACAAAAATTAATTCAAGATGGATTACAGATTTAAATGTTAGACCTAAAACCATAGAAACCCTAGAAGAAAACCTAGGCAATACCATTAAGGACATAGGCATGGACAAGAACTTCATGTCTAAAACACCAAAAGCAATGGCAACAAAAGGCAAAATTGACAAATGGGATCTAATTAAACTCAAGAGCTTCTGCACAGCAAAAGAAACTACCATCGGAGTGAACAGGCAACCTACAGAATGGGAAAAAATTTTTGCAATCTACTCATCTGACAAAGGGTTAATATCCAGAATCTGCAAAGAACTCAAACAAATTTACAAGAAAAAAACAAACAACCCCATCAAAAAGTGGGCAAAGGATATGAACATACACTTCTCCAAAGAAGACATTTATGCAGCCAAAAAACACATGAAAAAATGCTCATCATCACTGGCCATCAGAGAAATGCAAATCAAAACCACAGTGAGATACCATCTCACACCAGTTAGAATGACGATCATTAAAAAGTCAGGAAACAACAGGTGCTGGAGAGGATGTGGAGAAATAGGAACACTTTTACACTGTTGGTGGGACTGTAAACTTGTTCAACCACTGTGGAAGTCAGTGTGGCGATTCCTCAGGGATCTAGAACTAGAAATACCATTTGACTCAGCAATCCCATTACTGGATATATACCCAAAGGATTATAAATCATGCTGCTATAAAGACACATGCACACGTATGTTTATTGTGGTACTATTCACAATAGCAAAGACTTGGAACCAACCCAAATGTCCAACAATGATAGACTGGATTAAGAAAACGTGGCACATATACACCATGGAATACTATGCAGCCATAAAAAATGATGAGTTCATGTCCTTTGTAGCGACATGGATGAAGCTGGAAACCATCATTCTCAGCAAACTATCACAAGGACAAACAACCAAACACCACATGTTCTCACTCATAGGTGGGAATTGAACAACGAGAACACATGGACACAGGAAGGGGAACATCACACACTGGAGCCTGTTGTGGGGTGGGGGGAAGGGGTAGGGATAGCATTTGGAGATATACCTAATGTTAAATGATGAGTTACTGGGTGCAGCACACCAACATGACATATGTATACATATTTAACTAACCTGCACATTGTGCACATGTACCCTAAAACTTAAAGTATAATAGAAAAAAATTTAAAATAGTCTTTTTCTAATTATGTGAAGAATGTCAATGGTAGTTTAATGGGAATAGCATTGAGTCTGTACATTGCTTGGGGCAGTATGGCCATTTTCACAATATTGATTCTACCTACCCATAAACATGGAATGTTTTTCAATCTTCTTGTGTCCTCTCTGATTTCCTTGAGGAGTGGTTTGTATTCTTCCTTGAAGAGGTCCTTAACTTCCCTTGTTAGCTATATTCCTAGGTATTGTATTCTCTTTCTGGCAATTGTGAATGGGAGTTCATTCATGATTTGGTGCTCTGCTAGGCTGTTGTTATTGTATAGGAATGCTTGTGATTTCTGCACATTGATTTTGTATCCTGAGACTTTGCTGAAGTTGCTTATCAGCTGGAGAAGCTTTTGGGCTGAGTCCTGGGGTTTTCTGGATATAGAATCAAGTCGTCTGTAAATAAAGACTATTTGACTTCCTCTCGTCCTATTTGAATACACTTTATTTCTTTCTCTTGCCTGATCACACTGGCCAGAACTTCCAGTACTACATTGAATAAGAGTGGTGAGAGAGGGCATCCTTATCTTATGTTAGTTTTCAAGGGGAATGCTTCCAGCCTTAGCACATTCACTATGATATTGGCTGTGGGTCTGTCATAAATGGCTGTTATTATTTTGAGGTATGTTCCTTCAATACCTAGTTTATTGAGAGTTTTTAACATGAAAGGATGTTGAATTTTATCAAAGGCTTTGTCTGTGTCTGTTGAGATAATCATGTGGTTTTTGTCTTTAGTTCTGTTTATCTGATGAATTACATTTATTGATTTGTGTATGTTGAACCAGCCTTGCATCCCAGGGAAGAAGCTGACTTGATTGTGGATAAGCTTTTAGATGTGCTGCTGTATTTGGTTTGTCAGTATTATATTTAGGATTTTTGCATCAATGTTCATCAGGGATATTGACCTGAAGTTTTTTTTGTTGTTGTATCTCTGCAGGTTTTGGTATTAGGATGATGCTGTCCTCATAAAATGAGTTAAGGAGGAGTCCCTTCTTTGCAATTGTTTAGAAGAGTTTCAAAAGAAGTGGTACCAGCTCCTCTTTGTACCTCTGGTAGAATTCAGCTGTAAATCCATCTGGTCCTGGGGTTTTTTTGGTTGGTAGGCTATTTATTACTGCCTCAATTATAGAAGTTGTTATTTGTCTATTCAGGTATTTAACTTCTTCCTGGTTCAGTCTTGGGAGGGTGTATGTGTCCAAGAATTTACCCATTTCTTCTAGATTTTCCAGCTTATTTGCATAGAGGTGTTTATAGTATTTTCTGATGGTTGTTTGTATTTCTGTGGGGTCAGTGGTGGTATTCTTAACATTTCTGATTGTGTTTATTAGAATCTTCTCTCTTTTTTTCTATATTTGCCTAGCTAGCAGTCTATATATTTTACTGATTTTTTAAAAAAACCAGGTCCTGGATTCATTGATGTTTTGGAGGGTTTTTCGTATCTTTATCTCCTTCAGTTCTGCTCTGAGCTTGGTTATTTGTTGTCTTTTGCTAGCTCCGGGGTTTGTTTTCTCTTCATTCTCTAGTTCTTTTAGTTGTCATGTTAGGGTGTCAGTTTGAGATCTTTCTAGCTTATTGATGTGGACCTTTAGTGCTATAAATTTCCCTCTTAACACTGCTTTAGCTGCATCCTAGAGATTCTGCTACATTGTCTCTTTGTTCTCATTAGTTTCAAAGGACTTCTTGATTTCTGCCTTAATTTCATTATTTACCCAGAAGTCATTCAGGAGCAGGCTATTCAATTTCCATGTGATTGCATGGTTTTGGGTGAATGCCTTAGTCTTGTGTTCCAATTTGATTGTGCTGTGGTCAGAGAGGCTGTTTGTTATGATTTCAGTTCCTTTGCATTTGATGAGGAGTGCCTTACTTCCCATTATGTGATTCTGTGGTGATGAGAAGAATGTATATTCTCTTGTCTAGGGTGGAGAGTTTTGTCAATATCTATGAGGACCACTTGATCTGGGTTTAGGTCCCAAATACCTTTGTTAATTTTCTATCTCAGTGATCTGTCTAGTATTGTGAGTGAGGTGTTAAAGTCTCCCATTATTTTTGTGTGGAAGTCTAAGTCTTTTTGAAGGTCTCTAACAACTTGTTTTATGAACATGGGTGTTGCTGTGTTGGATGCAAATATATTTAAGATTGTTAGCTCTTCATATTGAATTGAACCCTTTACCATTACGTAATGCCCTTTTTGGCTTTTTTTTTTTATCTTTGTCAGAAACTAGGATTGCAACCCTTGATATTTTTCTTTTTCATTTGCTTGGTAGATTTTCCTCCATCCCTTTATTTTTGAGCCTATGTGTGTCATTGCATCTGAGATGGGTCTCTTGAAGATAGCATACAAATGGGTCTTGGTTCTTTATCCAGCTTGGCACTCTATGTATTTTAATTGGGGCATTTAGCCCATTTACATTTAAGGTCAGTGTTGATATGTGTGGATTTGATCCTGTCATCATGTTAGCTGGTAATTTTGCAGACTTTTTATGTGGTTGCTTTATAGTGTCACTGGTCTGAAGTACATTGTGTTTTTGTAGTGGCTGGTAATAGTTTTTCTTTTTCATATTTAGTGCTTCTTTCAGAAGCTCCTATAAGGCAGGTCTCAGCATTTGCTTTTCTGAAAAAAGATCTTATTTCTCCTTTGCTTATGAAGTTTAGTTTGGCTGGGTACAAAATTCAGCATTGGAATTTCTTTCCTTTAAGAATGTTGAATATTGGCCCCTAATCTCTTCTGGCTTATAGGGTTTCAGCTGAGAGGTACATTGTTCTTCTGATGGGCTTCCCTTAGTAGGTAACCTGGCCTTTCTCTCTAGCTGCCTTTAACATTTTTTTTTTCATTCCAACTTTGGAGAACCTGAAGATTATATGTCTTGGGGATGATAATCTCATGGAATATTTTACTGGGGTTCTCTGCATTTCCTGAATTTCAATGTTGGTCTGTCTTCCTTGATTGGGGAGGTTTTCATGCATAAAATCTGAAACATGTTTCCCAAATTGGTTCCATTTCTCCAATCTCTTTCAGGTACACCAATGAGTTTTAGATTCAGTCTCTTTTCATAATCCCATATTTCTAAGAGGTTTTATTTCTTTCTTTTCATTCTGTTTTCTCTATACTTGTCTGCCTGTCTTATTTGAGAAATGTAGTCTTCAAACTCTGAGATTCTTTCCACTGTTTGATCTAGTCTGCTATTAATACTTATGATCGCACTATGACATTCTTCCAATGTGTTTTTCAGCTCTATCAGGTCAGTTACATTCTTCTCTCTCGGCTATCTTGTCCGTCAGCTCCTGCTATGTTTTATCATGATTTTTAGCTTCTATGTATTGAGTTACAATGTAGTCCTTTAGCTCAGTGAACTTTGTTCCTATTCATATTCTGATTTCTACTTCTGTCATTTCAGCCATCTCAGCTTCAGCCTGGTCTGAACCCTTGCTGGAGAGGTGGTGCAGTCATTTGGAGGAAATAGGGCACTCTGGCTTTTTGAACTTTTGGCATTCTTGCACTAATTCTTTGTCATTTTTGTGGGCTTATCTACCTTCAGTCCATGAGGTTGCTGACCTTTGGATGTGAAATAGCAAAGATGGCAGCCTGCCCCCTGCTCTGGAAGCTCTGTCCCAGGGAAGTACAGAACTGTTGCCAGCCCAAATGCACCTGTAGGAGGTGGTTGGAGATGCTGTTTGGGAGGTCTCACCCAGTCATGAGGAATGGCATAGGATACCTGCTTAAAGAAGCAGTCTGGCCATGCTTGTATAGAGCAGTTGTGCTGTTCCAGAATACTGCTTCCACCCTCTTTTGGTTTGAACTCTCCCAAGGCTGCTGGCTGAAACAGCTGAGTTGCCCAAACAACAAAGATGGCATTCTACCCCTTACTCCAGGAAACTCTTTCCCGGGGAGGATTCCAATCTCTATCAGTCAGAGAACACCAGTGGGAGTGGCTGGAAGTCCAGATTGCAGGTCCTGCCCAGTAAGGAGGAATGGATCAGAGACCTGATGAAAGAAGCAGTTTGGCCATGTTTTGGTAGAGCAGCTGTGCTGTGCTTAGGGATCCCTTCTGCTCCTGGTTGGACTCTCCAAAGCCTGCAGGCTGGAATGGCTGAGTTACCCAAACAACAAAGATGGTGGCCCGCCCCTCCCCCTGGGAACTCTGTCCCAGGTATGGGTGACACTGGCTGGAATTCCAAGCCAGTGGGTCTTATCCTGGGAGGCTTAGTGGAAGTGGGGCCCACAGACCATTGCTACTCAGCCCCCTTCCTAGAGATATGTGCGGAGGTTCAACCCCCTGCCTTGCCTGAGTTGCAGTCACTTTTGCCAGGAAGCCCGGAGCTGGAGTATGTAAAGCTCCTGGGCCTCCATGCAAGCCTGAGTGGCTACTCTGCCGAGATTTCACACTGCGTGTCAGCCTGAAGGCCCTGGTGGGTTGTCTTCATAAGAGGGTCTCCCAACCAAAGGGTTGTAAAGATCAGTGGCAGAAGCATGGTTTCCTGGGGTCAATCATTCACTCACTGCTTCCCTGGGTTGGGGAGGTTCTCCTGGCTCTGTGTCACTCCCAGGTGGGCTCTTGTCCTGTCTTGCTCTTCTCCTTTCTCTGTGGGTCGAGTTGTTTCCTTGATTAGTCCCAATGTGAGTACCTGGTTTTTTCAGTTGAAGGTGCTATATTTACTTGCCCCTTTTGTTTCTCTCCGTGAGAGGCATGCACCTTAGCTGCTTCTAGTCAGCCATCTTGTCCCAAATCCTTATTTTTTTAAATCACTTTGTAGATGTTATAGTGTCTTCTAGATTTTACTCTTCCTATTGAGATGTCATCTAAGAGGTTAAATGTAATTCTTTTGTAGATAATTACATATTCTTTGCTGCTTAGAACATATCTTTGTTTTTGGGTTTCTGTAGTTTTATTATAATAAGTCTAGGTGTGAATTTAGTTTTATATATTCTATGTGGGGTTTACTAGACTTCCTGAATCTGAGGATTTATTTCTTTCATAATTTCTGAAATATTCTCAGCCTTTATATTTTTAATATCACCTATTTCTTATTCTTTCTGTTATCTATTTCTGACATTACAATTTGATGAGTGTACAACCTGCATACCATATTCTCCATATCCTTTAATTTCTCTTTCATATTTTTAATTTCTTTATTTCTCTGAATTTCATTCTTGTTAACTTATTCAAACACATATTCCTGTTTACTTCATCTCATTGTAGACATGATCACAATTATATCACAGGCTAAATGTGTTAGGTAGTAGAGAGTGGTAAGTAGAACCCACTCAATCATTATATTCATCATCTTAATCCTTCACAAGTCATCAACCCAAATTGACAGAGATAAACAACTATTTTATAGTATAAATAAGCTTCTTGTGATAATCAGGATATAATTATGCTAAAATATTCACCATATAGCTAAAATTCAATTTAACAAGGTATCCTGTATTTTATCAGGCAAGTTTAATGAGAAGTCAATTTCTACCAAAGAAGCTGAGACAGATATCAAAGATATCTTTGTGATGATGTAAATTAACTTGTTCTTCAGTGCTAACTCTAGTAAACATATAATGTAAATCTAAAGTTAGGACATATGAACTGCCAAAGATTTTTATGCTATCTCTGAATGTGAGAGACATACTAATAAAATTTCCAGGTAATTTTCTACCTTGTGTATGGACAGGAGGAAGAATATTGGATATCAGAATTTTTCTAAATATTCAGGTCATAATTTATATATCACTGGGTATAGGACAATTCCAGTTAGTAAGAAGTTACATAAAGCATTTTTCTCTCTAAACAAAGGATGATTCTCTTTTGGAGACTCATTCTTGGTGTTACAGATGCTTTTTCCCCCCTCTCGTGTGTGTGTGTGTGTGTGTGTGTGTGTGTGTGTGTGTGTGTCCGTGTGTGTGCCTGTGTGTCTGTGTGTGTGTTAAGAACACTAAACATGAGATTATCCCCTTGACACATTTTAAGTGCACAATAGAGTATTGTTAACTATAGGCACAATGTCGTACAGCAGATGTTAAGAATGTATTCATCTTGCGTAACTGATACTATATAACTGGTGGACAGCAACTCCCCATTTTAAGGATACTCACTCTGTTGTCTATTTTTTAAATTTTAGATGTTTTAAGATTACACAATTGTGGCAAATCAGATGCAATTATTATAACCCAAGTGACCCAATGGAGACCCCAAATTACAGTTAGTGGAAAATAAAAATGCTGTTCACATTCATTAGTCTTAATCTCAGAAAGTTAGAATAGTGTTTAGAAATTATAATTTCTTATCTGAAATTATCATATATACAAGTGAGATGGTATTGAAATGGTGCTCATCAGCCAGAGTCATAATCAATTTGAATTATATGTAAAGTGAAACATAATCTTTTTTGGTTTGACTAGCTAAGCACAATTCCAGACAGAGAGGATTCAAAATTATTCAGTTGGCGTTTAACTCTCATTGGGGAAGCCTAAACTGACATCTTTAACTTGATGTAAATATTACCATTTAGGCAATTAATCTCTTGAGAAAATGCTAAATCTCAGCAAAATTTTGAGATATAACAGTTGTCAGATACTTCTGTAACTAAGCTTATTTTAATATTATTGCCAATACTTTGAATTGATTTAAATCATTAATTTGAATTAGTTTGTATCACTCTTCACTGTCTTAGGCTGGATATCTACTAAAGCCATAATTGAAGATTCTTTAAAAACACATGTTGCAAATTAGGACTACATATTGCATAGAAACAAGTAGATTAAATTTATTTGTCAATTTTATGTGCAAAATAAACATACCAAAGTACTTTGGGAATGTACAACTTGACTGTGCTTTTATAGCACTGACTCTAACTCCCTGCCCCAAGTAATTCTTTTATTTGCATGGTTGATAATTTGATCTGATCTTACTATTTCTAGATCTAGTTCTCAACTTTCTTTTCTGTTCCACTGTTCTATATGTCTTTCTTTATATCAGTATCACACTGTCTTGATTGTAGCTTTATAATAAGTCTTGAAATCTGGTAGTTTAAGGCTTTCAAGTTTGTTCTTTTTTTCAAAATTATTTTGTCAGTTAGAGATCCATATAATTTACAAACAAATTTTAGCAGTCTTGTAAACTTCAACAAAATAACCTGCTAATATTTTCACCTGGGTTGTGTTGACAGTGTAGATAAATTTGGGAATAAATGATCTTAACAACATTGAGCCTTCCAGTGAATGTAGTATATTTCTCTACCTACTTAGTTTTTCTTTTATATATCTCACTAATGTTTTATAATTTCTGTGCATAAAATTTAGAATCATCTTGTCAATAGCTACAAAAAAAGCTTCCTAGCAAGAAAACCATATGACTCTCAAATCAATTTAGGTCTTCTTTAATTAGGTCTCTAAACAATGTTGTTTTGTTCTCAGAGTACATATTTTATCAAACTTACCCCAAAGTATTTCTGGTTTTGTGATGCTGTTGTAAATGGTATTTTTATATTATTAACTTTCAGATAGTTGCTGGTATATAGAAATACAATTGAGTTATGCATATTGACCTTGTATTCTGCAACCCTGCTAAACTAATTTTTAGTTCTAGTATCTTTTTTAAATACATACACAATCATGTTGTCTAAAATATGTTAAAAGTAGAAAAATAGTTTTTCTATTTAAAAGAAATCTGTATTCCCTTTTTTACTTGACTTATTACATTAGTTAGCATCTATGGTAAAAATTCAAATGGGAGTTTTGAGAAAAGATTTCCTTGGCTTACTCTCAATCTTGAGGGGAAGCACTGTCTGATGGTACTTATAGGTATTTTGTAGTTGCCCTTTACCAGGAAGAAGTTTGTTCTATTCCTAGTTTGTCGAGAGGTTTTATCATGAACATTTGGATTTTGTATAATGTTGTTTTCTGCAGTAAATGAGATGATCATATAGACTGTACTTTTTAGACTGTTAATATGATGAATGCTACTGATCAGTTTTCAAATATTAAATGAACCTTGCATTCCTGGGATAAACCCCATGTGGTTATAACCTACAATATTATTAGGCCAGGTGCAGTGGCTCATGCCTGTAATCCCAGCACTTTGGGAGGCCAAGGAAGGAAGATTGTTTGAGCCAAGGAGTTCAAGACGAGTCTGGGCAACAAAGTGAAACCCCATCTTACCAAAAATTTTAAAGCAATTAGCTGGGCATGGTGATACATGTCTGTAGTCTTAGCTGTTCAGAAGGTGGAGGCAGGAGGATCACTTGACCCCAGAAGGTTGAGGCTGCAGTGAGCTGTGCTCATGCCACTGCATTCCAGCCTGGGTGACAAAGCAAGACCTTGTCTCAAATAAATAAAATAAACATAACATATGATTTGTGTGTGTATGTGTATATATATAATATATATAGCATATATATATATACACATGCACACATCTATATATGATTTGCTAAAATATTAGTAAAGATTTTTGTATCTATATTCACAATATATATTGATGTCTTCTTGTAAACTTCGTTTTGTTTTATTTTTGTATCAGAGTAGTGCTCACTTTACAGAATGGTAGGAAAGTGTTTCCTCTTGTTCTTTTATTGGAGTAGATTGTGGAAAATTGGTGTTATTACTTCCTTAAATGTTTGGTAGAATTCTGGGCCTGGAGTGTCCTTTCTAGGAAAGTTATTACTAATATGTAGGACTATAAAAACTATCTATTTCTTCACAAGAAAGAGCATCAACTGCCTACCTACACTCGGCAGTAAGAATGAGCCTCTACCACTGGATATTAATAGAGGTCAAGTGGAGAATCTGGAATTCCACTCCCATATGGAAGAAATGAGGAAGCACCCCTCTTTTCCTGACAGCATGGGAGAAAAAATATTTAAATAAGGTCCATAGCGTCATAGCACCCAAAATGCCCAGGTTTCAATAAAAAATCATTTACAATACCTGGAACCAAGAAAATCTCCACTTAAATTAGAAAAGACAGGGCCATCTGAAATGACAAGAAAAAATCTTCCCATAACAGCTACAAGAACACTGGTAAAATATGTCAAACAAAATTTTCAAAACTGGAAATTAGCTAAATATTTGTAATAACTGAGAAGTGTTTATTCAAGAAAAATGTTGAAACTCAACAAGAAATGTGAACTTCATGGAGTTTTAACTTGCCCTTATTATATCCCCCACTTTTTACTCTCATGGTATCCTTGGAAAGTAATAGCCCCAGTGCTACAGTACCTGTGAAAACCAGCAACCTAGCAGCAAATGTGGGTTGGGAGTGGAGGATGCATTTGGAGATCCCCAAAAGCTTCACCCAGAGAATTACTACAATTTGACTTGTCTGGAAACTCACTGAAAAGCTTCATGCTCAAGGCTTATATTTATTTGACAAAACTCAGAGATCACTCTGAAAAACTCTATTGCCAAGGCATTTGTCAAAAACATCAGAGGCGAGTGTTTAACATAGCAGCTGCCTTAGAAGAAGTTAGGGCTAATGAGAGGTTACAAAAAAAAATTAAAAGAAAAAAACTAGAGAATGAGGGTTTCATGTGGGGCTTGGAAAACCTACAACATATTCTTGGGAATTTAGAAGGCCATGCATATATGTCCAAGGCTTTGCACATACTCAAGAAAGACATGAGAAGGCCCTAATCTCTCACTTGTGGTTTTGCACAAGTAGTAAATGAAGGTGAAGGCAGAATTGTAAACTGCCTGCTGGAGCATTGAAGGTGTATCTCAACACATACACAGAGCTTCTTGGTAAAGGCTGGGAGACTTAATGGTTCAAGGCATTTAAGGAAATCTCTACCTTATCATTAACTGACTACTAAGCTAACTGAGCAGAGAGTTAATTTGCTGTACATGACAAAAAATACAGACTACAGAATTGGTTCCGTAAAGTCATTAAACAAACAACAACGAAAACAAACTAGCAACAACAAGAAATCCTAGTACATTAATGGCCTGCTGATGTAGTTAATTCACGCAAACTTAGTGGCTTAGGACAACACAAATTTATTATTTTACAGTTCGGGAAAGCGGAAGTCTAAAATGGGTCTTAGTTGACTAAAATGAAGTTCTCAGCAAGAATATGTTATTTCTGGATGTCTTAGGAAGGAATATTTTTTCTTACATTTTCCAGTTTCTAGAGTCCACCTACATTCCTTGGTGTGGCCCCATTCCTCCATTTTCAAATCCAGTAACTGTCTTTTGTCATGCTACAATCTCTCAGGTTATCTCTTCTGATTTCCTCTTCCACTTTTACACAACCTTGTAATTACATTGGGCCACTCAGTTAATCCAGGATAATCTCCCTATTGTTAAGTCAGCATGTTAGCAAAGTTGATTGCATGAGCAAACTTAATTCCCTTTTACAATATAATCTGTTATAACAGAAGATTCTGGGTAATTAGGACATTAAACATCTATGAGCAGTAATTACTTCTGTTTGCCCTACCTGTAGTGAGGGATACCTCATTGCCAGAATTGCTTCATTATATTATTTAAAATGCCAAGTTTTTAACAAAAGTTATGAGAATGCAAAAAAGTAGGTAATTATGGCCTATACACAGAAAAACATTCCACAATCAATAGAAACTTTTTGTGGAAGCATGAATATTGAACTTAGTAAACAAAGAATCTAAATCAGCCATTTTAAATATGTTCAGTGAACTAAAGGAAACTATGTATAAAGAACTAAAAGAAAGTATGAAAACTATGTCTTCCCAAGTAGAGAATATCAATAAAGATATGGAAATTATTTTTAAAATGATCAAAATTATGAAGAGAAGTACCACTAAAATGAAAATTTTCACAAAGGAGCTCAACGGCAGGTTCGAACTAGCAGGAAAAAGGAGTGAGCAAGATATAGATAGGTCAACTGATATTATACAGTCCGAGAAACAGAAAAAAAGATGAAGAAAAATAAATAGAGCCACTTGGACCTATGGAACAACATCAAGAGCACCAACACAGGCATAAGATTCTAGGAGAGGAGAGAAGTGAGAAAGAAAGAACGCTGAAGAAATCATCACCAAAATTATGAAATTTGGTGAAAAACATTAACCTACACATCCCAGAAGCTCAACAAACTCCGATTAGGATTAACACAGAGAGCCACAGCTGAGGACCTCATAGTCAAACTGTCAAAAAGCAAGGGCAAATAAAAAATCTTAAAAGCAGCAAGAGAAAAGTGACTCATATACAAGGTATCCTCAAAAACATAATAGCTGACTTCTCATCAGAAACCATGGAGGCCAAGATGTCATTGGGATGACATATTCAAAATGATTAAATAAAAAGGCTGTCAACCCAGTATTTATATCTGGAAAAAACTACCCTTCAAAAATAAAAGAATAATTAAAACTTTATTTGATAAACATTGAGATAATATATCACTAGCAGATTTTACCTACAAGCAAAACAAACCAAATAACCAAATTACAAAATGGGCAAAGAACCTAGATAGACATAGCTCCAGAGAAGATATGCAAATGGCAAATAGGCATATAAAAATGTGCTCAATGTCACTAATCGTCAGGGAAATACAAGTCAAAACCACAGTAAATGATCACCTCATAGCTGTTAGGATGCCTATTATTAAAAAATAAAGGAAAGGTGTTGATGAGGATGTGGAGAAAAGGGAACTCTTTTACATTTTTGAATGTACATATGGAAATGTAAATTGGTGTAGTCACTGTGGAAAACGATATATACACTATTCAGCAATAAAAAGAATGAACTTTTGATGCATAAAACATGATAAATCTCAAAATAGTTTTGCTGAGTGAAGGAAGACAGGCAAAGCAAAAGAGAACATGTCTTCAAAATTTTACAAAACAGAAACTAATGTATAGTGACAAAAATACATCAGTAATTGCCTAAAGACAAGTCACAAAGAGGGATGGGAAGAAAAGTTAGATTAAAAAGGGGTATAAGGAAACTTTTTGGAGTGCTGGATATGTTCACTGTTGTACACTTTACGTGCAGTTTATTGTATGTTAACACAGCTATTAAAAATCATAGATGAAATATTTAGATTTTTTTTCATATTATGTCTTCAAATTCCAGAGTGTGTTTCACCGTTACACAATATCTCAATATTTCTAGCCCTATTTCAGCTGCTTAGTAGCCACATGTAGGTAGTGGCTATTATATTGGACAACACAGGTCTGCACTGTTCTTAGCAGGAGGCCCACATTCTGGAGGGACATAAAAGAGGCTCAAGACAACACCCTGTCTCTTCATGGAGAAGATACTTCTAGTGAGAACTCATTGGCTTCTATGAATAACTAGCTGAAAAATATCAATGTGAGTTTTTTAGTTCTCTCGAAAGCAGTGTTTGTGCACAAGAAAGGCCACTTCGGTTAATGTTGATATAAGCATATAATTTGTTAAATTTATGGACTAAAAATCCTAGTTTTTTAAAGTTTTTAATGTCAAATTTAAATTATTTTTATCAACTTACTTTACCAGTCATTTTCAAGGGAGCATTTATAAGTTTATTAAGTTTCTTTGCATATTTTAAACTGAATTGATAAATTTATATTTGAGTTTCATTTTAAATACCTCAATTTTCTCACAAACAAATCTTCTCAAGATCTTAGATAAAACATCAAAATAATCATATAAATATAGTAAAACTGAAGTTCTCCTAAATATTCCAATATAATTTATAAGTTTTGCAAAATTCTCATATAACTTTCAATATAAAATTCTCAAATCTAATCATTAATTCAACTACACATTTAAAATTAGTAACCACTGAACTCTCTAATATGCCCAATTCTCTTACCATTGCAAACCTTTAAATAAAAGATATATAGAGACTATTCCTAATCTGTACACAAAATTTTAAGAGCATGGATTCAATTCAGTTTGTCATATGTATATTATTTATAATCTTTCTGGAATTAAAACTCACCCATGTAGAAAGCAGTTCAAGATCCAAGATTTTGGAATTTTCATCTTAGACACTTGAGGTAGAATATCAAACCTAGAGCTTTTGGCTGTGATGCGAGATACAGAGCTGCAGAGATTTCATTGCTGACTCCTCTTTACATCTTTATGTCTTACTCAGAGGGCTGGTTCCTCTATTCTACATTAATTTACAACTATGGTTCTTGATGCCCATGAGTTCCATGAAGTTGCCTTGAATACTACCTTGGGAAGCAAGGTAGAGAGTAAGCTAGTGAGAATCTGGAATTTACTTGAGGGGTTCCAAGTAATATTTGCAAAAAGTTCTCTGCTACTGAATGCTTCAACCAAAGTTTTATGCTTTGGGGTTTGAGGTAATATGTGAAGAAAAGGTTCTGCTACTGAAAAAAATGTTTTTACAACACCATGTGGAAGATCTTAGTCCGTAGAGGAATAATGTAGTTAACTATATCTGTAATTTATTTGGACAGTAATCCAATAAGCTGTAGAGATCTGGTTTCCTTCCTATTAACTCTTAATCTGGCTTAAGTTGCTCCTGATAGAGCTTTCTGTGATCTGGTACAAGGAATACCATCACCACCAACTTTAGTGTCCACTAAAAAACTGAGGAGACTTCAGATGTTGTACTTAGTTCACTGAACATACCAGTCTGATGCCTCCTTGTATGTTCTTCCTAGGATGTTCTTCTATAAGACTTATGTGTAATAAGAAGTGGTAAACTGAGGACATTATATGTATAGAAGACCCTCAGAAGACCTGTAAGGAAATGCATGACATTAGGAAATAGCTAAGCATTGTATCACTGCAAGTGTGGATACTCTCTATTGTCTGTAACATGCGAATAGCCATTCAAATAGAGTTGAGCCCCACTACACTCTCCAAATACTGGGACCACATTGAGGAGGCACTGGTCAAAGGTGATCATGATTGTGTGTATCTCATATCCATGCATGTTCAGTCATCATAATTATCTCCAAAAGAATTTTTAGAGCATTACACCTCACAGAAATGTTGCATTCTGACATTGCAGCTTTTCTCACATGTTCTATAATAGGCAGTTCTGGCTGTAAACAGTGCATATCGAAGTGGATCCTTCTAGCTATAATGTCAATGGTGCAAGTCAAACTGGAACTGGAAAAATGAGGCTTATGTCTTCTGATTTACATAAGATGATGGAGAATGGAATGATCAGAACTTCAGTAAACATGAGTTTTTACCCTCTAAAGTATTGTACACTGTCCTTAACTGATATGTTTCATATCGAGTGTGGAAGTCTACCCTACATAGACAATCTTGAGAGTAAGAAAGAGGGACAAAGGTATTACTCTAGCCTGAAAGGGTCTTGCGAAACAATGTCTCCTGACTTCATTATTTAAAGTGCTGGTTTGGGCATAGAGAAGGTGGATTGGTGCAGGTTAGTGCAAGGCAGAAAGTTAAGCAGGGTTTTGAGTTGCTGCTAGATCAAGGGTCCATTTTTGTGATCAAACTCTTAGGACACAGACATTTGGGGTGAGGTGTATGTAATAACTGACAAAGCCCAGGGAGATGACACAATCATCAAAAAGGACAGAGGAAGGGACCACGAGCTTGGTCAGATTCTCAGATAGGTATGTGGCTTAGGGAATTATAAAAAGTACTTTGACTGGGAGAAGCTCTTGTCTAGAAGTAGACCTCTGTAGAAGTTTAGGATGTGATATTGACTAACAGTGTGCCTTGGACAAGTTGCTTAAATTCCTTAAAGCTGCAGTTTTTCTTTCTGTGCAGTGGGAATGATAATACCTGTTTCAGCATCATTGTCAGAAACACATTGTCAGGAAGCACATTGTAAATCCAAAATGCTTTAAAATGCAAAGTGTTCTGGTGTAGCACAGATCCATTCTTTAATCAAAGTGAAGAGTTGTGTTTGATGAGAAAAGAAAGCAGAAAATTTGTTTGTCAAGGAAAATAAAGTTTCTATATGTGACAATGACATTTTTAATGAAGCAATTATTTGTTTGAAATGCACTGATTGCTTTGATTATTTGTATCATATGTGTTGGTAATAACAATAGTGATACTGATGCCTTATATTTCCAAAGTTTATAGCACTCTTGATTTATCTTACCAGATGTTCCCGATAGCTGTGTCTTACTCTTGAATGTTGAATAGGTTCATGACTGGGACCATAGTGTTCCATTGCCATGGTTTCACTGGATTTCATAAACTGTTGCTTAGCAATCCCACCTGTCACCCAGCTATTTTCCCTTTGCACTGTCTTCACATTGTACCACCAGCAAAATGTAGCTGAGCCTCTTGGTGAGGGAAAATACTAGTCTCCTAACAAAGTTTAATCTTCCCACTTTGGGCTATTTTCTTTTTTAAAAAAATCAGAATGCCAGATGCCAGAGAGCTTTATATTTTAGTGATAAATATAGGGTGTGTGGAGTCAAAGCAGACCTGTATTCACATCTTGGGCTTGACAACTTATTAGCTATTTGATCTTTAGTCAATTACTTAATCTCTCCATGTCTCATATTCTTCATCTATAAAATGTGATAATTATATTCATCCCAGGGGGATATTGTGAGGATTAAATCAGATAACACATCAAAAATGCACCCGGCACTTAATAGGGCCCCATAACTGTTATTTGCATTATTAAGACAGAAAGCAGGTGGTAAAAACACATCTGCCTAATGCACACCTTTCTGCAGCAGACTGCTCTAATGTGCTGGTGAGAGTCTTAAAATTCTACATCAACTACTAACGTTGAAAAACCTAGTTTTGATAGCTGGTATAAGGCTATAATGCAACGCTTACAATCAGCTTGTAATCAGTGAAACACTGATCAATACATTCCTATTGGTCCAAATGCCAGTTCCATGGGTCCAAATGACTTTAATCCCTAGATGAGTGACAGCATGCTGTATGTATGTTATATTTTATTTGCTTCTAATAGATATCTGTAGGTGGCTATCTGAATGGATACTGCTAATGAAGTAACATGAGACTCAATGTCTCCATCCTACCTAACAACAACACTAATATGCCCGTTTATATTGTATATGTATCCATAGGAAAACAATGTTTACTTAAAATTCTCTATTGCCTTTTAAGGAAGTCAGTTATACTAAGTGGAGGAGATTGTTTTTTTCTGAGTGCTGTTTTTAGCTTTAGAATACTAAATGTCTTTTTACATATTTCAAGGCAAAATTCAGTAAAGGGTAAGGTGTTCCCATTTAGCTTTAGAAACTGAGAGATTCTTACATTTGATTTATAATTGTTCTATTGTAATGGGGGTAGAGGGGAGCTGATAACCAAGTAGGGCAAGATCTAGAGAAATTTAGAGGCTTCCCAGAAGAAGAATATAGAGGGGAATCCTTCTGGTTAGAGAATGTGGCCAATGCAGGTTTTTCTGGTGAAACACTGAGGAATAAACTTCATCTGCTCCCTGAAATTCTCACTCACTGCTGTGATGTGAATGGATTATTCTAAAAAAGTCTAGGCCGGGCACAGTGGCTCACGCCTGTAATCCCAGCACTTTGGGAGGCTGAGGCAAACGGATCATGAGGTCAGGAGTTCGAGACCAGCCTGGCCAACACAGTAAAACCCCATCTCTACTAAAAATACAAAAATTAGCTGGGCATGGTGGCGGGTGCCTGTAATCCCAGCTATTCGAGAGGCTGAGGCAGGATAATCGCTTGAACCCAGGAGGCGGAGGTTGCAGTGAGCCAAGATCGTGCCACCGCACTCCAGCCTGGGTGACAGAGCTAGACTCCATCTCAAAAAAAAAAAAAAAAGAAAGAAAGAAAGAAAAAGAAAAGTCTGAAAATATTCTGATTCCTATTTCAGGTTTGGGTTTGGAAATAAGAGTCTGCGTGTCTAGGTAGCAAACATGAGGTTTACATTTAATCTCCACAAACCACACTTGTGTGAATGAAGAAGCATGATAATGTGAAAAGACATAGAGATCACCATTCACAGGTTACACAGCAATGGAGGGTATGTACTCTGCTCTAGCTAGAAGCCTACAGTCTAAATAAGCACATGAGAAGCCTGAGGCAGTCTCCTGAGTCACGTGATAATTGAAAAGTCTCTAGTGAGAGGCCCTAGGCTCCTGGGGTTTCTGACACTGCCCTCCTAAAGGAATGCTTGAGTTTCATTTTTTTTTCTTTGTTTTATTATTATACTTTAAGTTTTAGGGTACATGTGCACAATGTGCAGGTTTGTTTCATATATATACACATGTGCCCTGCTGGTGTGCTGCATCCATTAACTCATCATTTAACTTTAGGTATATCTCCTAATGCTTGTATCACCACAGATACTAACTAGAAGGAATATTACTGTACCTGCTGTCACTCAGATACCAGCTGGGGCAAATCTTGAGAGCTCTGTAGAAGATAAGTGGAAACTTCCCAGTTGAGAAGATTCAAACAGTTTCCTTGAAAACAAACTTTCAAAATCAAAATAATACGGTCATAAATCATTTACAATCACTCTTTTTACCATTTAGAAATTATTTTTCAGCATTAATTGTTTTGTTGCTTTTTCTCCCAGGCCACAAGTTTATTCCTGTCACTTTTAAAAATATTTTGATCCTTTGTTTTTACTAAGGCAATGGATATTTTTTAACTTTTCTCCCCCAAACAAATTGTGCACTTATCAGAATCAAGGGGCGTTATTGATTTTGTATTTCATAAAGATGATTTTTATAGATTTTTATGTCTATTTTAACATTTTATTTATTATTTTCCATATTTGAACATTTTAATATATTTTCATAAAGATGTACCTACTGTATTTTTAATTATTACAAATTGTTCATACATGTAGAATAATCATTTGGAAAACAAAAGGTTGACAAACAGAAGGGTGATCAGAGTGATTAATCCCCAATTAATCCATTCATTCTTGGAACATGGTAACTCATTCTCTCACCTTTATGGAGATAAGCACAAAAAGTGATATTTTACACTGTTTGTAAAGTAAATATGTGTGTCTTTGGAGAATGTTTTCTCTTGTAAGCATCCTGTCTCAGTATATACCCAATCCTTGGTCAGCTCTAAAAACGGCTGCTTGGGACTAAAGCTAGACAAAATGGATTCAATTGTGAAGCTGTTAGTAGGCAGAACCTGGCAGTGGCAAGAAGGTAAACTGAGCACACGAATTAAAGCAGTGAATTGAGAGTAAATTGAAATGTAAATCAATCTGGAGCAGAACTTGAGAGGAGCTGGACACTATGGGGAAGATAATAAAAGGACAATTGAAAGAGGCATGAGAATACAGAATGTTTTTTATTATACTTTAAGTTATAGGGTACACGTGCACAATGTGCAGGTTTGTTACATATGTATACATGTGCTATGTTGGTGTGCTGCACCCATTAACTTGTCCTTTACATTAGGAATATCTCCTAATACTATCCCTCCCCCTTCCCCTGACCCCACAACAGGCCCCGGTGTGTGATGTTCCCCTTCCTGTGTCCAAGTGTTCTCATTGTTCAATTCCCACCTATGAGTGAGAAAATGCGGTGTTTGGTTTTTTGTCCTTGCAATAGTTTGCTAAGAATGATGGTTTCCAGCTTCATGCATGTCCCTACAAAGGACATAAACTCATCCTTTTTTATGGCTGCATAGTATTCCATGGTGTATATATGCCACATTTTCTTAATCCAGTCTATCATTGATGGACATTTGGGTTGGTTCCAAGTCTTTGCTATTGTGAATAGTGCTGCAATAAACATACGTGTGCATGTGTCTTTATAGCATATAATCCTTTGGGTGTATACCCAGTAATGGGATGGCTGGGTCAAATGGTATTTCTAGTTCAAGATCCTTGAGGAATCGCCACACTGTCTTCCACAGTTGTTGGACAGTCCCACCAACAGTGTAAAAGTGTTCCTATTTCTCCACATTCTCTCCAGCACCTGTGTTTCCTGACTTTTTAATGATCACCATTCTAACTGGTGTGAGATGGTATCTCATTGTAGTTTTGATTTGCATTTCTCTGATGGCCAGTGATGATGAGCATTTTTTCATGTGTCTGTTGTCTGCACAAATGTCTTCTATTGAGAGGTGTCTGTTCATATACTTTGCCCACTTTTTGATGAGGTTGTTTGCTTTTTTCTTGTAAATTTGTTTGAGTTCTTTGTAGATTCTGGATATTAGACCTTTTTCAGATGAGTAGATTGCAAAAATTTTCTCCCATTCTGTAGGTTGCCTGTTCACTCTGATGGTAGTTTCCTTTGCTGTGCAGAAGCTCTTGAGTTTAATTAGATCCAATTAGTCAGTCTTGGCTTTTGTTGCCATTGCTTTTGGTGTTTTAGACATGAAGTCCTTCCCATGCCTATGTCCTCAATGGTATTGCCTAGGTTTTCTTCTAGGGTTTTTATGGTCTTGGGTCTAACATTTAAGTCTTTAATCCATCTTGAATTAATTTTTGTATAAGGTGTAAGGAAGGGATCCAGTTTCAGCTTTCTACATATGGCTAGCCAGTTTTCCCAGCACCATTTATTAAATAGGGAATCCTTTCCCCATTTCTTGTTTTTGTCAAGTTTGTCAAAGATCAGATGGTTGTAGATGTGTGGTATTATTTCTGAAGGCTCTGTTCTGTTCCATTGATCTATATCTCTGTTTTGGTACCAGTACCATGCTCTTTTGGTTACTGTGGCCTTGTAGTATAGTTTGAAGTCAGGTAGTGTGATGCCTCCATCTTTGTTCTTTTGACTTAATTGACTTGGCAATGCAGGCTCTTTTTTGGTTCCATATGAACTTTAAAGTAGTTATTTCCAATTCTGTGAAGAAAGTCCTTGGTAGCTTGATGGGGATGGCATTGAATCTATAAATTACCTTGGGCAGTATGGCCATTTTCACGATATTGATTCTTCCTATCCATGAGCATCGAAAGTTCTTCCGTTTGTTTGTGTCCTCTAGTATTTCATTGAGCAGTGATTTGTAGCTCTCCTGAAGAGGTCCTTCACATCCCTTGTAAGTTGGATTCCTAGGTATTTTATTCTCTTTGAAGCAATTGTGAATGGGAGTTCACTCATGATTTGGCTCTCTGTTTCTCTGTTATTGGTGTATAGGAATGCTTGTGATTTTTGCACATTGATTTTGTATCCTGAGACTTTGCTGAAGTTGCCTATCAGCTTAAGGAGATTTTGGGCTGAGATAATGGGGTTTTCTAAATATACAATCATGTCATCTGCAAACAGGGACAATTTGACTTCCTCTTTTCCTAATTGAATACCCTTTATTTCCTTCTTCTGCCTGATTGCCTTGGCCAGAACTTCCAACACTGTGTTGAATAGGAGTGGTGAGAGAGGGCATCCCTGTCTTGTGCCACTTTTCAAAGGGAATGCTTCCAGTTTTTGTCCATTCAGTATGATATTATCTGTGGGTTTGTCATAGATAGCTCTTATTATTTTGAGATACGTCCCATCAATACCTAATTTATTGACAGTTTTTAGCATGAAACGTCATTGAATTTTGTTGAAGGCCTTTTCTGCATCTATTGAGATAATCATGTGGTTTTTGTCTTTGGTTCTGTTTATATGCTGGATTACATTTATTGATTTGCGTATATTGAACCAGCCTTGCATCCCAGGGATGAAGCCTACTTGATCATGGTGGATAAGCTTTTTGATGTGCTGCTGGGTTCGGTTTGCCAGTATTTTACTGAGGATTTTTGCATCAATGTTCATCAAGGATATTGGTCTAAAATTATCTTTTTTGGTTGTGTCTCTGCCCGGCTTTGGTAACAGGATGATGCTGGCCTCATAAAATGAGTTAGGGAGGATTCTCTCTTTTTCTATTGATTGGAATAGTTTCAGAAGGAATGGTACAAGCTCCTCCTTGTACCTCTGGTACAATTCGGCTGTGAATCCATCTGGTCCTGGACTTTTTTTGGTTGGTAAGCTATTGATTATTACCTCAATTTCAGAGCCTGTTATTGGTCTATTCAGAGAGTCAACTTCTTCCTGGTTTAGTCTTGGGAGAGTGTATGTGTCGAGGAATTTATCCATTTCTTCTAGATTTTCTAGTTTATTGGATATAGGTGTTTGTAGTATTCTCTGATGGTAGTTTGTATTTCTGTGGGATTGGTGGTGATATCCCCTTTATCATTTTTTATTGCATCTATTTGATTCTTCTCTCTTTTCTTCTTTATTAGTCTTAATAGTGGTCTATCAATTTTGTTGATATTTTCAAACAACCATCTCCTCGATTCATTAATTTTTTGAAGGGTTTTTTGTGTCTCTATTTCCTTCAGTTCTGCTCTGATTTTAGTTATTTCTTGCTTTCTGCTAGCTTTTAAATGTGTTTACTCTTGCTTTTCTCGTTCTTTTAATTGTGATGTTAGGGTGTCAATTTTGGATCTTTCCTGCTTTCTCTTGTGGGCATTTAGTGCTATAAATTTCCTCCTACACACTGCTTTGAATGTGTCCCAGAGATTCTGGTATATTGTGTCTTTGTTCTCATTGGTTTCAAAGAACATCTTTACTTCTGGCTTCATTTCATTATGTATCCAGTAGTCATTCAGGAGCAGGTTGTTCAGTTTCCATGTAGTTGAGCAGTTTTCAGTGAGTTTCTTGATCCTGAGTTCTAGTTTGATTCCACTGTGGTCTGAGAGACAGTTTGTTATAATTTCTGTTCTTTTACATTTGCTGAGGAGTGCTTTACTTCCAACTATGTGGTCAATTTTGGAATAGGTCTGGTGTGGTGCTGAAAAAAATGTATATTCTGTTGATTTGGGGTGGAGAGTTCTGTAGATGTCTATTAGGTCTGCTTGGTGCAGAGCTGAGTTCAATTCCTGGATATCCTTGTTAACTTTCTGTCTCATTGATCTGTCTAATATTGACAGTGGGGTGTTAAAATCTCCCATTATTATTGTGTGGGAGTCTAAGTCTCTCTGTAGGTCACTCAGGACTTGCTTTATGAATCTGGGTCCTCCTGTCTTGGGTGCATATATATTTAGGATAGTTAGCTCTTCTCATTGAATTGATCCCTTTACCATTACTTAATGGCCTTCTTTGTCTCTTTTGATCTTTGTTGGTTTAAAGTTTGTTTTATCAGAGACTAGGACTGCAACCCCTGCCTTTTTTTGTTTTCCATTTGCTTGGTAGATCTTCCTCCATCCCTTTATTTTGAGCCTACGTGTGTCTCTGCCCGTGAGATGGGTTTCCTGAATACAGCACACTGATGGGTCTTGACTCTTTATCCAATTTGCCAGTCTGTGTCTTTTAATTGGAGCACTTACCCCACTTATATTTAAAGTTAATATTTTTATGTATGAATTTGGTCCTGTCATTATGATGTTAGCTGATTATTTTGCTCATTAGTTGATGCAGTTTCTTTCTAGCCTTGATGGTCTTTACATTTTGGCATGTTTTTGCAGTGGCTGGTACTGGTTGTTCCTTTCCATGTTTAGTGCTTCCTTCAGGAACTCTTTTAGGGCAGGCCTGGTGGTGACAAAATCTCTCAGCATTTTCTTCTCTGTAAAGTATTTTATTTCTCCTTCACTTATGAAGCTTAGTTTGGCTGGATACGAAATTCTGGGTTGAAAATTCTTTTAAGAATGTTGAATATTGGCCCCCACTCTCTTCTGTCTTGTAGAGTGCCTGCTGACAGATCAGCTGTTAGTCTGATAGGCTTCCCTTTGTTGGTAACCCAATCTTTCTCTCTGGCTGCCCTTAACATTTTTTCCTTCATTTCAACTTTGGTGAATCTGACAATTATTTGTCTTGGAGTTGCTCTTCTCGAGGAGTATCTTTGTGGCGTTCTCTGTATTTCCTGAATCTGAATGTTGGCCTGCCTTGCTAGGTTGGGGAAGTTCTCCTGGATAATATCCTGCAGAGTGTTTTCCAACTTGGTTCCATTCTCCCCGTCCCTTTCAGGTACACCAATCAGACGCTGATTTGGTCTTTTCACATAGTCCCATATTTCTTGGAGGCTTTGTTCATTTATTTTTATTCTTTTTTGTCTAAACTTCCCTTCTCACTTCATTTCATTCACTTCATCTTCCATCACTGATACCCTTTCTTCCAGTTGATCGCATTGGCTCCTGAGGCTTCTGAATTCTTCACGTAGTTCTTGAGCCTTGGCTTTCAGCTCCATCAGCTCCTTTAAGGACTTCTCTGCATTGGTTATTCTAGTTATCCATTCCTCTAATTTTTTTTCAAAGTTTCTAACTTCTTTGCCATTGGTTTGAATTTCCTCCTGTAGCTTGGAGTAGTTTGATCATCTGAAGCCTTCTTCTCTCAGCTTGTCAAAGTCATTCTCTGTCCAGCTTTGTTCCGTTGCTGGTGAGTAGCTACGTTCCTTTGTAGGAGGAGAGGCACTCTGTTTTTTAGAGTTTCCAGTTTCTCTGCTCTGTTTTTTCCTCATCTTTGTGGTTTTAATCTACTTTTGGTCTTTGATGATGGTGATGTACAGATGGGTTTTTGGTGTGGATGTCCTTTCTGTTTGTTTGTTTTCCTTCTAACAGACAGTACCCTCAGCTGCAGGTCTGTTGGAGTTTGCTAGAGGTCCACTCCAGACCCTGTTTGCCTGGGTGTCAGCCGTGGTGGCTGCAGAACAGCGGTGGCTGTAGAACAGCGGATTTTGGTGACCCGCAGATGCTGCTGCCTGATCATTCCTCTGGGAGTTTTGTCTCAGAGGAGTACCGGGCCGTGTGAGGTTTCAGTCTGCCCCTACTGGGGGGTGCCTCCCATTTAGGCTGCTTGGGGGTCAGGGACCCACTTGAGGAGGCAGTCTGCCTGTTCTCAGATCTCCAGCTGCGTGCTGAGAGAACCACTACTCTCTTCAAAGCTGTCAGACAGGGACTTTTAAGTCTGCAGAGGTTACTGCTGTCTTTGTCTTTTTGTTTGTCTGTGCCCTGCCGCCAGATGTGGAGCCTACAGAGACAGGCAGGCCTCCTTGATCTGTGGTGGGCTCCACCCAGTTCAAGCTTCCTGGCTGCTTTGTTTACCTAATCAAGCCTGGGCAATGGCAGGCACCCCCTCCCCCATTCTTGCTGCCACCTTGCAGTTTGATCTCAGACTGCTGTGCTAGCAATCAGCAAGACTCCGTGGGTGTAGGACCCCCCTAGCCATGTGTGGGATATAATCTCCTGGTGCGCCGTTTTTTAAGCCCATTGGAAAAGCGCAGTATTAGGGTGGGAGTGACCTGATTTTCCAGGTGCTGTCTGTCACCCCTTTCTTTGACTAGGAAAGGGAACTCCCTGACCCCTTGTGCTTCCCAAGTGAGGCATTGCCTCACCCTGCTTCGGCTCATGCACGTT
This sequence comes from Homo sapiens, assembly GCF_000001405.40. Lineage (NCBI taxonomy): Eukaryota > Metazoa > Chordata > Mammalia > Primates > Hominidae > Homo > Homo sapiens. Next base: position 55,396,672 of record NC_000023.11, on the reverse strand, counting down.
GCACTGCACCCACTGTCCTGCACCCACTGTCTGGCACTCCCTAGTGAGATGAACCCGGTACCTCAGATCGAAATGCAGAAATCACCCATCTTCTGCGTCGCTCATGCTGGGAGCTGTAGACTGGAGCTGTTCCTATTCAGCCATCTTGGCTCCACCCCAACCTAATTATATTTTAAATGTCAAGTAATGTTTGTTCTTCTCCATTATTTTCTCTTTTCCTGGCTCTTCTGGTACTTTGATCTTTCAGAAGAACTTGAAAATCTTTCAGTCAGATGCCAAAAAAAATTCTGTTGGAATGCTAATTGCAATAGTATTTAGTTTATATATTAAGTTAGGAAAAATCATCGTGTTTCTATAACTAGGTCTGTTTATCAAAGAAAGAAGTAATTGCCGAATTTCTCCCGTCTTCTATCATTTTCCTCAGAAGGATTTTATTATTTTATTATTTTTATTATATTACTTCTTTACATTCAGGTTACATTTATAACTAGGCTAGAGGAGAGCACAATACACACACACACACACACACACACACACACACACACACTTTTTTTCCTCCATCCGTATCATTAAGTCAAATAAAAACAATCTAGTCTTAGATAAGGAAAGACTTTTTTCAAAAGCACTATTATCATAGGAAGAATGCTCTGACTTCAGAGTCTTTGAGAATCTCAGAATCAGAAAAAGGCTTTCCTTTACAGGAAGAGATAAGCAGGTCCAGCAGGAACATTTGAAGGGAAATTGGGGGAAAAAATGAGACTGAACAGACAATATGACCAGGTGACCTGACAGAAAATATTGTATGCTGTGGTCAATTGCTTCTCAGGATAAGCTATTAAGGTTAGATTTTGAATTGTAGTGACTGCTCCCTCTGTCTAGGGAGCAAGCCAATGTTTAGGTGCCTGTAAGGAAGAAAGGAGCCTGACTAAGGTCAATCCAAGCCAGAGTGTAAGTAATAGCCAATTGTTAACACTTGGTCACCCATAATGAAACAATATTTAGTCCTCTGTTGATTCGTCTGTATTGGTTCAATAATCGGTAAAGTTGAGTAGCTGTGATAAAGACCATAAGTGGTGCTCTCCTCACTTGGCACTGTTGCTTGTCACACTATAAATCTCAGAGATGCAGTTACAACTTGACATAATTTTTAATTACTATGCCATTTATTTACTACCCTACTTCCATCTTTTTTATTCACTGAGGATTCTGAAATCTGTGCACCACCAGCAGTTCCGGCAGTGTCCTGGGCACAGACACCTTAATCAGTGCCCTCAAGACTCACCCTATCTTTAACTAAACACCTTCCTTCTGCAGCCTTTCTCTTTTGCCTTAGCTCCATCATGAGGAAAAGAGTCATGGCAAAGTCATCACCAGAGAAGAGAAGTAGACTGCCTGCTAAGACAAAAATATCAACATTCTTTATAGAATGTACACAAGACCAAGAGTCTCATGACCTGATATTCAAAATTCCCAGAATATAATTAAAAATTCTCACAACATGAAGAATTGGGAAAATCTCAATCTACATGGGAAAAGACAACTTACAGATACCAAAGCCAAAAAGGCAGAGATGTTGGGATTATCTGACAGTCTTAAAGCCAAAATTGTCAAAATGCTCCAACATGCGATCATGAACACTTCTGAAAGAAATAC